>NC_000005.10:153958419-154258737 GCF_000001405.40 Homo sapiens | reverse complement strand
CATAATACCCTGCACCTGCCTGGAGGAAAAGTCCAAAGAGCAGGAAATAAGAATCATTTACAGTGATGAACAGGCTGATCATTCTGCACTAGTGTCAAGAAGCATAGAAAGCCCACATCCGTGTAAGTGACAAGGGTCACAGGCTAGAATCAGTGACCAGGCCAGTGGATACTCCATTTATCTGTGATCAGAATCCCAAAGACTTCACCAATCTCTTCCCAGTGTGAGTCCTCACTAGACAAGTCACACAGCCTTGAACTTATTTTATAGAAAAAGGACAGAACTCTTGTCTTGCCAAGTCTACTGATTTAGGTATATGTGTGTGGATTTTAATGTTATTCATTTAAAAAAGTTTGACTATCTGGTTTCCCCGGCAATGCCCAATTATTCCCTAGCATAATGTAAGGAATAAGCAGTGATGGAGAACTGCTCAAGACAATAGACACTGAATAAGAAAAAAAGCACTGTAGTTTGGAGACACAGGCTCTCAGTACATTCTGGGTCTACTTTTCTCTAAAGGCTCATGGACATAGAGAAAGGTATGGGAGAGGAGGGAAAGGTGGCATATTGATAGTAGCCTGAATCAATTCAGGCTTCATCTCAAAAATCCCTAAGAATTTTGCACTCTATTTCATAACATACTCATGTTTATTTTTATATAAAAATTACAGTCCTTCCTAACTCCTTTCTTCCTTCTTCTCCTGAAAAGAAATGCCGTATTTATTCTGTAGATTTTTGTACCTGCTGACATATACCTTAACTTCTAGAAGCATGATGCAAAAAGGCTCAGAAAATGTTAATTTATGTATTGTAACAGCGTATTCTGGTAGTGCAAAGAAGTGTTTCAAGAAAGATTTTTAAAAACAGATTTAAATCTTAATAGCACAAACATATCTGCAAAATCTACTCATCAAGAAAAACCTCACTCCCTAATGATGTCAGATAAATGTAACATTGCTTTACCAGGAAGCTATGTTAAGACCCTAGGAAATCTATATTGTACATATATTAGTCATGCATGGGAAAATAAAGCTTGCCCTTTCCTTTTCTCTTTTTTTTTTTTTTTAAAACGGAGTCTCACTCTGTTGCCAAGCTGGAGTGCAGTGGTGCGATCTCGGCTCACTGCAACCTCTGACTCCCTGGTTCAAGCGATTGATTCTCCTGCCTCAGCCTCCCCAGTAGCTGGGATTATAGGCACGTGCCATCTTTTCAGTTACAGAAGCCAATAAATTCCCTTTTCCACTTAGGCCACTTTGAGACAAGTTTCTGTCACTTGCAATTGAAAGAGTCCTAAGACAAATGTCGTTTAAAAATGGAAAACACAGGAAGGCAGAGATGAAGTGGGTTTTTCTAATCTCTAAAACTCAACTTTAAGATCCAGGGTGAGGCAGCTTTGGTCAGGTGAAAGTATAGTCACAAAGACATGAAGGTATAAAGGAGTAAAAGGCACACTGGTTTCAATGTCAGCAAGCCAATTTCAAAATGGACTCTGCAACTGGCTAGATAAGTAGCTTTGGGGAACTGCTAAACCTGAGTCTCAGTTGGACTTTGCAACTGGCTAGATAAGTAGCTTTGGGCAATTGCTTAACCTGAGTCTCAGTTTATTTTCATTTATTTTTTATTTTTTTGGAGACGGGGTCTTGCTATGGTGCCCCAACTGGTCTCAAACTCCTGGCTTCAAGCAATCCTCCCACCTTGGCCTCCTAAAGTCCTGGGATTACAGGAATGAGCCACCTGTAATGCCTGGCCGAGCCTGTTTCTACACCTTGAAAATAAAGGTGACAACTTCACAGGTTTGGTATGAAAACCAAAGAGTTAATGGATGAAACAGCTCAGCACTGCCCAATCAAAAGAATCCTTTCTTTTCTTTGCTGGGGTACATGATAAGATGGGAGGAGATGGGGTGTGCATGCACTGTTGGGAGAGCATCTGAATTTGGGGAGACATCTGTTGAAGCCTGTATAGAAGGACTAACATCAAAAACATCAGCCATTGACTCTGGAACAAGGGGGAAAATCAAACCATCTCACCCAAACACTGTGACAGTGTTTGAAGAATATGTGAACCAAACATTTGACTATATCTTCATCACAAGCCCTCTCTCTTTTACAGAATTGCCTACTCCTAATATTGAAGAACACAATTGTATTCATCTTATGGATCTTCAGGGGAATTATCCAGTATTAGGTTTTTAAAAGCTGGCTCCTGTGACACACCTAAAAAATTCCACTCCCTAGTGATATGAAATAATAAATGAATGAGTGAAATGAATGAAAACAGATGAAACTGAATGAGAGAAATCAAATAATGAAAAAAAGTCTCAAACTGCAGGTCTAAGGTCATCCATCTATAAGGGACCACACACAATATTAAAAAAAAAAAAACAAAAACAACAGCCTCTGTTTAAAAATCCAGAAAGTTCTCTTAAAAAATCCAAATGTCCAGTTTCTGTCAAAAAACCAGAAGCCCTGGCAAGCCAAGCCCTGTATTCCTGCATGACAGCAGTTGGCAGGAGCTAAGTTGGCAGAGATGACCCCGGGGATGGTGGGCATGTTCTCCAACTCATCCACCTTCCAGTCTCTTAAATAGGCAGTGTCACTCATTCAAGTGGCATACCCAAAGCCCTGTAAGGATCTGTTTTTGTCTACCTTGAGAAGGAAGATCTGGGAGCTCAGGGAGCCATAACCAGGCTTCTCCTCTGTCAACCTCCCCACTCTAGAGGCAGTTATATGGTTACTTAAGAGAGTTATACTTCACTGGTAATGGATGCACAAGTCTATGATAAACTAAAAAACACTGAAATGTGAATCATATCTCAATAAGACTGTTATTTAGAAGAAGAGAGAGAGGAAGAAGGGAAGGCAGGGGAGAGGAGGAGAGGGGAGGGGAGGGGAGGGGAGGGAAGGGAGGCTTCCTGCAGGGTAAGGTTAGGTTTTGTGATACTGACAAGGCCTACCCCTTAGTAACCTCCCAGCTCTCATTTTAATGCCCTTTGCCTACTCCTTGAGAGAAAAACTTGGTTTCCAGCCAGCCACCAGCGTGGGAAAGTGTGGGAAAGTGGAAGACATACTAGACCTGGAGGGAGGAAACCCTGCTTTATCATTTTCTTGCTCTGTGACCTTGTACAAATCAATATGCCCCTCTGGGTCTCAGTGACCCTACTATAAAATAAGGAGTATAACCATTGAGCTGCTTAGGTCAAGGAGTGTTGACCAACAGTAGAGATAATGTCTGTGAAAACATTTTTTTAACCTATAAAAAGTTCTATCAGGTGCAACCAATACATGACCTCATGATATCACATCTCTGTCCTATGCTTGTGGCAGATGTAGTTTATCAATCACGACACTCTTTCTCATTATACCCGGCACTGCAATTGCTTATCCAAGAGCCATTTCCTCCTTTTGCCATGCCAGCAGGGCCCTGACTTTCACATACGTACCAGATTTCCCTCACATAATTGAGGGATATACCTTGATGAGTCTGCACCAATCCTGGTGGTCCCATTTTCCTAATTATTAGAGATTAGTTCAAGGATAGGGCCAATTGAGGGAGTCTGTTCGGGGTTAGAGACAGGAGTTAGGGAAAGGATTTTCTCACTGATTAGAAGGTAATAAAGGGGCTGGGCATGGTGACTCATGCCTGTATCCCAGCACTTTGAGAGTCTGAGGTAGGAAGACTGCTTGAGCCCAGGAGTTGACCAACCTGGGCTACATAGTGAGACCTTGTCTCTAAAAACAACAACAACGATGCCCTTCTCTGCTTCTGGGAGGAGCTCCTACAGGAATCTTACATCTCTGAAGGAAAAAAGCAGACATGCAGAGGATGATAGCAAAGAAAGATAGGAAGAACCAGGTCCCTGATGACATTATTGAGCTGCTAAATTACCTGCCCCTGAACTTCTTGTTGTCTTAATATATTCAATGCACTTATTGTTTTGGTCATTTCGAATAGAGTTTTCTGTTACTTGCAGCCAAAAGTATGCTAATTTATATACCCAGCAAGCTGTAATGTGGCCTTAGACATCTTCTCAATACAATGCTTCAGAAAGTCATTATCAATTGATCAGAATTACCACTCGGCATAAAAGTATGCTTGCCTTCCTGGGGCTACAGACTTTTTTCAAAGAGGTATTGATGCCAGTAAAAAATTCCTGATTTGATGTTATCCCTCTTTCAGGAATTCATTACTAATAAAAGTTACCTGGAGACAGAAAAAAAAAAAAAAGAAAAGAAATAAAGAAAAGAAACACCTCTGTGGGAATTCTGGGACCAAAAGGGCTGCAAAAAACAAAACATCTCTTAGTAAACATTTCTTTGCCAACAGGAATGATTCTTCAGTGTGATCTCAATATTTATGAGCATCTACTATATATGTAAGAGGCACTGGAAGAATCAAAGGGATGAAGAATAAGATGGCCATAGAAGCAACAAAGTTCTTCAGTATCTCTGAATCCCCACAGAAACACACACAAAGCAAACATAGAAAAATCCATAAAACAACATATACAACCAAATTTGCTAACAAGGCATCCCTATGAACCCTATACAAGTGGGTGAGAGCAAACCACTACTAACCATGAGGCTTCCATGTTACCAGCACCTGTGTGGGAGGAAATAGGAAGCAATGGAAACAGTGGCTGCTGGTCCTGAGAGCATAACAAAAAAACAGCCAACATTCTCTGGGAGAGCACTATGGGCTAAGGTAAGAACTGCAGTCAAAACTGGGAGGATTTCTGCCCAATGCAGTAATGGGTGAGTGTAGAAGGTCCACAGTGAGCAGGTCTGAAGGGGACGGGGCCACCTCACTCCTATGAACTCTTAAAGCTGATCTTCTAGGGCGGATCAAGACCTGCACTGAGGTAGATCTGCAAAGAGGTAAGTCCAAACTGAGCAGGACAGGAACAATGGAGACAAAGGAAAGAGGAATTTCAGATAAAAGTAGGAGAGAGAAACACAGCCAGGAAATCTAAGAAAGCAAGCCACCATGTTTTTTAATACCACACCAAAAAAAAAAAAAAAAAAAAAAAAAGAGGAGGCTTTATGAAGTTAGAAAAGCTTTCCTGAATCCCACCTTCTTCTGAAAGTTCAAGACAACTAATTTCACCAAAATATGGATAACTTAAAAGTACTGATGTCAAATCCCATACTAAATTGTTATTTTTTAAAAAAATACAAAGCAGAATATTTTCTTTTTTTAATTATTATTATACTTTAAGTTTTAGAGTACATGTGCACAACGTGCAGGTTTGTTACATATGCCATGTTGGTGTGCTGCACCCATTAACTCATCATTTAGCATTAGGTATATCTCCTAATGCTATCCCTTCCCCCTCCCCCCACCCCACAACAGTCCCCGGTGTGTGATGTTCCCCTTCCTGTGTCCAAGTGTTCTCATTGTTCAATTCCCACCTATGAGTGAGAATATGCGGTGTTTGGTTTTTTGTCCTCGCGATAATTTGCTGAGAATGATGGTTTCCAGCTTCATCCATGTCCCTACAAAGGACTTTCTATAGACAATGAAAGCATGCCTGAAAGACATGGTCACAAAACAGATCAAACTGCAACCTATGTTTTCAAAATTAGTTAAAAGACATTAAGAAAATGCTCTAAGGTATACGACGTAAGTTAAAATTAGACTCAGAAACGAGGCAACAAATTCAGCAAAGAACTAGAAATAAAAGAAAAAAAACCATTTCACAAATGAAGACTAAACTAAAAAAAAAAAAAAAAAAACCACTAAAAAACCAACCAACCAAACAAACAAAAAACAGTTAATGCCCCAAATAAGTGAAAGCAGATAAAAATTTTAAATCAAGATGAAATGGGGAAAAAAAGAGGTAAAGACTCAAGAGAAAGTGACTACAGAGAAATACCAAAGACAGGTAATGAAGATCTAACATACAGATAAGATGAGCCCCTGAATAAGAAAACCAAAACAAGGTAATAAGGAAAAAATATGAAAAACTAAAATTCAATAAAAATTTCCTGAAATTTAAGGGAAAAGAAGATTTGAAAGCACAAACTGAAAGAGCCCAGGACATAACTTAAGAATGTCAGCTCAGGACAACCAACACTAAGGCATTAATGTACTGAAAAAGAGGAAGGAAGGAATGAAGGAGAAAAGGAGGGAACATCCTTTTAGATATCTAGAAAAAAAGAGCAAGGGACTTATAAAGGAAAAAAAAATAGATTATCACCAGATAGTGTAATGGTAGTAAACATCTTAATGCCAGAAGAAACTAGAACAACAAGATACGCAAGGAAAGAAAAAGTGAACAACAAATTTTATATCCAGCAAAACCAACTTTCAAGTATAAAGGGCAAAACTGTTATCAATATCTAAGTACTCAGAAAATATTGTTCCCACTAGTGCTCCGTAAGGAATCTACTAGAGGTAGAGCTTCAGGCAAGCAAACTGATTGGAGAAACATCAACATACAAACTGATGGTGAATATTAACTATATACTCACCTATATACTCACCTGTAGAACTAAGTGGAAGTTAAGAGGGAGACAGTGGTATAACATAGATACAGGACAACTATAGAAACAATGGGGGAAATGGGAGAGCATATGCAAAAAATACTGTTTAGTGTTTTCCATAATCATATCAGCGGTAGCATTAGTATTGCTATTCTGATATTGTTGTGTGTATAACATGGGTAAGACAAGAATCTAATTCTACTACCTCCTGTATCCTTGAAAACCAGGGCTCTTGCTATAAAGAAAGGAGCTACAGAAATATAATAGAGAAAAAATTCAACAGTCTTTAATTTATATATTTATGAACTCACAGGGTATTTTCTCTTTAAATGTAAATAAAATACAACTATAAACATATTTATAATCTCCTCCCCCTGTCCAATCTCAAGGCAAGAAACAAGCCCAGTAGCAAAGAGCATTCCTAATGCCCAATTTGTGGTCTTAAAATACCATTTCCCTCTAAAAGAAACCAAGCAGTTTCTTAGAGAAATGATGAATTCCAGGTCTGGTGTAGGGAATGTGCCAGATGGATCTGGAATATCTTAATGCAGCAGAGAGCAAGGCAGTCATCAAAGACTACTGAGGTCATGTCACAAGGACTCAGGGTCCAATTTGAAGAGATTCCCACTGAATAAATGAAAAAGAAATGATAAAATACCAGAAGATGTAATGTGCCTCCTGGTGTAGAAACATGGCATCCCCTAATTCTTGCCAGAGGGGTCAATGCCAGTCTGACCAAGTCTCTGGATCCAGCTGCCAATTTGCAAAAAGTAAAGAAAACTGAGGAATATGTTAACTTGAACTACGAGAGTAAAATCAGCAAAATCCAGACTGTGGAAAATCTGACAGGTCTGTGTTGTTCAACAGATAAATTGCAAGGAAAAGAAAAAATGAAGGGGAAACCTGTAGATTGAGACTTTAAAAACATCACACTTAAAAATGGGTAAGGCTAAACTAATATGGGTACACATTCGGGTGATAAGTCCATTTTTAAAATGAAAAGAGTGACTGGTATAAAAGTAACGTTACTATTAAGGGGAAAGAGGGGGCTGTGATCAGAAGGGGCACAAGAAGGGGTTTCTGGAGGGAATGGCAATGTTCCACTTTTTAGCCGGTAGTGGCTCCAAAGGGGTTCACCTTATAACAATTCATTACGTTCACAGTTTTGTTTAGCTTTCTGTATCTTGTATTTTATTTTGCAATAAAAAGATTGTCTAAAAAAGATAGGGACAAGAGGGAGAATAGAAAGTCTCTGCTTTTATCCCGGTCCCTGGACATGTTTGTGTTGAGACAGGGATCATGAACAGAGTATATTCCAGATACAGGGCACAGCCTAAGCAAGGCAAGAAAGTAGAAACCAGACATGTGGCAAATTCTGGCAATAGCAGATATTCCTGTTTGGCTGTGCAATGGCTATATGCAGAGGATATGGGAGAAAATAAAAACTAAGAAGTCAGGGCATACTGTGGAAGTCAAATGATGTCAGGACAAGATGTTTGTAATCTTTTAAGCAGCAGAGAATGGGTAAATGTTTCTCAACAAGGATTGACACCTAGATTGAGCGACTCTGGTGGTTATTTCTCACTCTAACCCCCTCCTCCTTCCTAACAGAACTCTGATTTTGTCCAGTGATCCATCCTGGAGGTTTCAGTGTCTATGTGTGATGTCTGGAACTGCACCAGCCATCTTGGGGCGATGAGAAACTTTAACCTGGGGAGTACATGCTGTACATGTACATTTAAGTACAGAGAAGTGGCAGGAATATGAATTTCAGATTATGCTGCTGAGCCACTGAATGAATTAACCCCATAGTCCCCCTTGTGCCAGGGTTCTTGATAAATGAAATAATGAATCTCCATATCATTTAAATGAGCTGGGTCTTCCATCACTTGCAGCTGAAGCAGCCAAAATGATGCATGGGCTTTATCGAAAAATAATTTAAAAGCCCACCTAGACAATTGGAAGTAAGACTCCAAGAAAGAAAGACCAAAATGCCTTTAAATAGTTTCCATGCCATCAGTGGTCCAAAGGACTGACTTATCAGTTGCCCTGAACAATCTCCCAGTTCCACAGAAACACATAGGGGGCTGCAGCAGCCAGTTTAAGTTTACCACTTAATCGCACAAGTCTAGCTGGTGTCAAGCTCTTAAAGGAGTTGATCCCCGGGAACGGGGAGAAAAATGAAAAGGAAATAAAATTGAACAGTTGCCTGCAGAAAACACCAGCTGTGCATGATTGATTTCCATGTAATCTCCATTTGTCTCCCTGGAATTTCTTCATCAGATTTCTGGCACAGGGTCACAGGGAGGCCTGATGCTGCTCATGCCTAGAGTGTGGTCAAGAAAAAAAAATTCCCTTATATGCCCCTGAAGGCCAAGGAGGCCAACATGGGTGATCTGTGGGGTAGCAAGAGAGAGAAGCTTTTCTTCTCCTCACCCAAAGGCAATACTCAGACCATAGGCTTCTGCTGCCTAGGGTAAAGGGCAGCCCTGTAGGCTACTTTAGTAGAAGTTTTGTCTCTCAAACTGGTAGACTCCTGTGACATGGGGAGTTTGTGCCTCTCTTGGGTATCTTCAGTCCATCAACTGTTTGGGGCAGGTGTCTTGGCCCTGACCACAGTTGGTATATAGGACTCCTCCATGGACCCATCTATCCTGAAACCCACAAAGGGAAACAAGTTACTGGGGGGGGCTGGAGTTGGCCTTGGTCTTACTGGTGGTGGGCATAGGATTAAAAAAGAGTAGGAGAGAATGGAAGGGCAGGATGAATTCTACTCTGTTGTCATTTCAAAGTGCCACCCATTTTGCTTGATTTATGCTGTCTGCCTTGGACTGAATGCCCTCTGGTATTAATATTGGTGTGTGCATTTGCCTGCTTTGTCTCTGCCCACTGGAATGGAGCTCACTTGCTCAAAAGGAACAGAAAGAGCACCTAGGACAGTGCGGTCCCCAGTCCGGCAGCATTAGCATCTCCTAGAAACTTATTAGAAATGCAAATTCTCAGGCTCCACATCAGGCCTACTGAATCACAACTTTGGGCATGGGGGCCAGAAATCTGTGTTTGAACAAATGCACGTCAAGACTAGACCAGGAACTGCATTATGTGAAAGGAAAAGGGGCAAGCCCAGGAACTTAAAGTGACTTACCTAGGATCAGATAGCTGGTAACACAGGGACTAAACTAGAAGCTGGATTTGACTCCCAATCTTTCTCATTGCACCAGAAAAGGAAAGCAAAGCTGCAAAGCTACTGAGAGCTCTTTCAAAACCATTCTTAGCCATTTCTAGTATCTCCATAGACATTCCAGCAACTTATCTGGAGCCTGGAGCCTAAAATACTGCCATTCCTCATATGGGACTATAAGACTGGGTCAACCTCTCCCGCTCTGACTCCTCTATATGACCAGCATGAAAGAAAAATGCCCTCATTCCCTCAGTGGCCTAAGCCAGAAACCCAAGGAATGGTGAGGCGCAGCAGTTAATGAATCCAGGAGCTGATTTTTTGAAAAGATCAACAAAATTGATAGACCACTAGCAAGACTAATAAAGAAGAAAAGAGAGAAGAATCAAATAGACGCAATAAAAAATGATAAAGGGGATATCACCACTGATCCCACAGAAATACAAACTACCATCAGAGAATACTATAAACATCTCTATGCAAATAAAGTAGAAAATCTGGAAGAAATGGATAAATTCCTCAACACATACACCCTCCCAAGACTAAACCAGGAAGAAGTTGAATCTCTGAATAGACCAATACAGGCTCTGAAATTGAGGCAATAATTAATAGCTTACCAACCAAAAAAAGTCCAGGACCAGATGGATTCACAGCTGAATTCTACCAGAGGTACAAGGAGGAGCTGTTACCATTCCTTCTGAAACTATTCCAATCAATAGAAAAAGAGGGAATCCTCCCTAACTCATTTTATGAGGCCAGCATCATCCTGATACCAAAGCCTGGCAGAGACGCAACAAAAAAAGAGAATTTTAGACCAATATCCCTGATGAACATCAATGCAAAAATCCTCAATAAAATACTGGCAAACCGAATCCAGCAGCACATCAAAAAGCTTATCCACCATGATCAAGTGGCTTCATCCCTGGGATGCAAGGCTGGTTCAACATAGGAAAATCAATAAATGTAATCCAGCATATAAATAGAATCAACGACAAAAACCACATGATTATCTCAATAGATGCAGAAAAGGCCTTTGACAAAATTCAACAGCCCTTCATGCTAAAAACTCTCAATAAATTAGGTATTGATGGGACGTATCTCAAAATAATAAGAGCTATTTATGACAAACCCACAGCCAATATCATACTGAATGGGCAAAAACTGGAAGCATTCCCTTTGAAAACTGCCACAAGACAGGGATGCCCTCTCTCACCACTCCTATTCAACATAGTGCTGGAAATTCTGGCCAGGGCAATCAGGCAGGAGAAAGAAATAAAGGTATTCAATTAGGAAAAGAGGAAGTCAAATTGTCCCTTTTTGCAGATGACACAATTGTATATCTAGAAAACCCCATCGTCTCAGCCCAAAATCTCCTTAAGCTGATAAGCAACTTCAGCAAAGTCTCAGGATACAAAATCAATGTGCAAAAATCACAAGCATTCTTATATACACCAATAACAGACAAACAGAGAGCCAAATCATGAGTGAACTCCCATTCACAATTGCTTCAAAGAGAATAAAATACCTAGGAATCCAACTTACAAGGATGTGAAGGACCTCTTCAAGGACAACTACAAACGACTGCTCAATGAAATAAAAGAGGATACAAACAAATAGAAGAACATTCCATGCTCACGGGTAGGAAGAATCAATTATCATGAAAATGGCCATACTGCCCAAGGTAATTGATAGATTCAATGCCATCCCCATCAAGCTACCAATGACTTTCTTCACAGAATTGGAAAAAACTACTTTAAAGTTCATATGGACCCAAAAAAGAGCCCGCATTGCCAAGTCAATCCTAAGCCAAAAGAACAAAGCTGGAGGCATCATGCTACCTGACTTCAAACTATACTACAAGGCTACAGTAACCAAAACAGCGTGATACTGGTACCAAAACAGAGATATAGACCAATGGAACAGAACAGTGCCCTCAGAAATAATGCCACATATCTACAACTATCTGATCTTTGACAAACCTGACAAAAACAAGAAATGGGGAAAGCATTCCCTATTTAATACATGGTGCTGGGAAAACTGGCTAGCCATATGGAGAAAGCTGAAACTGGATCCCTTCCTTACACCTTATACAAAAATTAATTCAAGATGGATTAAAGACTTAAATGTTAGACCTAAAACCATAAAAACCCTAGAAGAAAACCTAGGCAATACCATTCAAGACGTAGGCATGGGCAAGGACTTCATGTCTAAAACACCAAAAGCAATGGCAACAAAAGCCAAAATTGACAAATGGGATCTAATTAAACTAAAGAGCTTCTGCACAGCAAAAGAAACTACCATCAGAGTGAACAGGCAACCTACAGAATGGGAGAAAATGTTTGCAATCTACTCATCTGACAAAGGGCTAATATCCAGAATCTACAATGAACTCAGATAAATTTACAAGAAAAAAACAAACAACCCCATCAAAAAGTGGTCGAAGGATATGAACAGACACTTCTCAAAAGAAGACATTTATACAGCCAAAAGGCACATTAAAAAATGCTCATCATCACTGGCCATCAGAGAAATGGAAATCAAAACCACAATCAGATAACATCTCACACCAGTTAGAATGGCAATCATTAAAAAGTCAGGAAACAACAGGTGCTGGAGAGGATGTGGAGAAATAGGAACATTTTTGCACTGTTGGTGGGACTGTAAACTAGTTCAACCATTGTGGAAGACAGTGTGGCGATTCCTCAGGGATCTAGAACTGGAAATACCATTTGACCCAGCCATCCCATTACTGGGTATATACCCAAAGGACTATAAATCATGCTGTTATAAAGACACATGCACACGTATGTTTATTGCAGCACTATTCACAATAGCAAAGACTTGGAACCAACTCAAATGTCCAACAATGATAGACTGGATTAAGAAAATGTGGCACATATACACCATGGAATACTATGCAGCCAAAAAAAATGATGAATTCATGTCCTTTGTAGGGACACGGATGAAACTGGAAACCATCATTCTCAGCAAACTATCGCAAGGACAAAAAAAAAAACACCGCATGTTGTCACTCATAGGTGGGAATTGAACAATGAGAACACATGGACACAGGAAGGGGAACATCACACTCTGGGGCCTGTTGTGGGGTGGGGGGAGTGGGGAGGGATAGCATTAGGAGATATACCTAATGTTAAATGACGAGTTAATGGGTGCAGCACACCAACATGGCACATGTATATATATGTAACAAACCTGCACGTTGTGCACATGTACCCTAAAACTTAAAGTAAAAAAAAAAAAAAAAAGCGCTTAAGATATCACCAGACATCCCTGGCCAGGCCCACTTTTATCCCAGATGCTTACCATTTCCATTGTTTATTGACGTCCATAATATTTCAAATGAATTAATCATACACATCCTCTTTTCATCATTACCTGGTAGACTAAATGCTTAGATTCTCCCCTCTGATTGTGGCTTACATATATTAATGTATTAATATATGAAGATCACAAAGTGATAAAAGTGTTCAAAAGGTAGAATTTATTAAAGGACGACTATATAATTAAAAAAAAAAAGCCAGAGCTCGGAGTCCCAGCTATATGACTCATTCACTGTGACCTGAGGACAAGTTTGAACCTTTCTGAGCTAGTTTTCTCAGCTGTGACATGGGTAGAGCAAGCTTACAGGGGTAGTACCCACTGGTGAGGATAAAATGAGATCACCCATGTCAGGTGCTTAGCACCATGCAGGGCACATAGCTAAGTGCTCAATGCACAACAGCTGTCATTGCTAGCCTCAACATCACCTGTCCCTCACCTCCCCGTATCCGACTGGTGACCAAGTCGTGCTGACTCCACCTCTTGGACTCTTCTGTCCTCTCATCCTTGTCTTTGCATGCCCATCCTCACTGCCACCATGGTGGCTCTAGTTGTCATCTCCACCCCCTTGCATCACCACACAAGTCTTCAACAGCTCTCCTGGACTCCAGTGTCCATTCCAGCCTGCTTTCCAGGCTGACAGCCCAGTGAGCTTTCTAAATTGCAAAGCTGTGCAGCTCATTTTGCTGCATGAGCTTCCAGAATCCCTGCAGTGGCACCCCATGGACTTCAGCTCCAAGGAAGAACCCACAGGCCCCTGGTGATCAGCACCCCCAATCTCTATCTTACATCTAGGTCTCCCCTCAACTCCATGTTCCACACTTAAGGAGTTTTGAGACCACCAAAAATGGTGAACTTTTCATACTGTGCTGTGTTCTCTCTGCTGGGAAAGTCCCAACCTCCATTTGCCTAGAAAACACACATTCATCTTTGAAGATATACCCCAGCAGTGATACCTCCTTGAGACCTGGTTCCAGGCTGAAGTGGCTGCCCCTGCTTTTTGCCCTCTCTGGCTGCTGCCTTTGCTTCTCTCACAGCACCTGTTCCCCTTTACTGGGCTCACGTGTTTTCACATCTGCCACCCTTGCTGTCTGCCGGATTATCACTCCATCCTGGGCAGTCCTCCAGCATAGAGAAAACACTCTTAACTAACTTATTACACGGATAAGCACTGAACTCCCCCAATCTCACCAGTCCCAGCTTTGCCCTCTGGGCTCACAGTAGAAACTTGATCCAGCATTCCCCCAAAAAAGCCTTTCATATGTTGGAATCTCATCTCACTTTCAAAGCAGGTTGAAATAATTCTTTTTTTTTTAATTAAAAAAAAATTTTTTAGAGACAGGATCTCACTATGTTGCCCAGGCTGGTCTTAAATACCCAGCCTCAAGCAATCCTCCCACCTGAGCCTCTGAAAGTGCTGGGATTACAGGCATGAGCCACTACACCCAGCCTCCTGAAATAATTCTTAATATTATACAAATGTGGCTGTGGCTATGCAAGGAATAATACAGGCCACATGACTGCTATCTAACTACGTAATCCATCACTTGCTAGGCGGTCACTCCATTCCCAGCAGTGGCAAAGCTCCCGTTTAGGGAGAAAATGAGCCTTCTCATCCCTTGCAGGTTGCGGAACATGGCAATGAAAACTAAGTGCTTGCTGTCATGGTCCGAGCCCTGGGCTCTGGTTCTGGTTCCTGGTGCTGCTACTCACCCACTGAGTGACCAGGGCAAGCTTCCTCCCTGTCTGGGCCTCTTATCCTCATCTATAAAATGAGGACTCTGGCCAAGAAGCTCTCTAAGCACCCTTTAAAGCACTAACATCTCAGGAATGTAAATCCTTATTAAGCCACCAGTGGCTGAAGAGATGGGGACCAATTTATAATATCTGTCAAACAATGGCTTAGAGGAAGAATTCTGAGTGTTAAGACCAGCTCCCCTAGCAACTTCTTGAAATGCCTTTAGACAGCAATACTCCTTCCCTGAAAGATCTTTGAAAGAACATAATAATAACAACTTTCATCAACGGTTTACTCTGTGACAGACCCTATTTAAAGAATTAATTCTATTAACTACTTTAATCCTCATGATGACCACATGAGAAAGAACTATTATTGCTTCTCTTTTATAGATGAGAAAACTGAGACACAGAGTGGTTAAATAATTTGCTCAAGGTCACACAGCTATCAAATGGCAGAACAGCAGTCAAATCCAGGTAGTCTAATTCTGGACTATGCATTATTAACCACTACGTAATATTGGCACTTTTGGTTAAATTCTCCCCAAAAGGGAAAGTTGCTTATGTGGGAAAGTATACCCAGGTACACCTGGCAAGCAGTCCTATGTTAAATAGTACTCAGATGGAAACAGGAAGAGTCAAATAATTTGTTCAACAAATATTGCATTTCTCTTCTGTCTGTTATGGGAACTGCAAATGCTCAGAAGTGAGTGGGAGTAGAAAGCAAAAGAGTAGTCCCTGTTCCCGAGGGAGGATACAGTGATACCATCAATGACAGTGTACCAGGCACACTGCTAATCACCTTCATTCATTATCTTATTTGAGATAAGATAAGTTGAGACCCCATCTCTAAAAATATTTATAAAGTGAGGGCTGATGCTATCTCATTTTGCAGATGGGAGAGAAGGCACAGAGACATGAAGTAACCAGCTCAAGGTCACACAGCTAGTAAGTGGCAGAGCTATAATGTGAACCCAGATCTGCTTGTGTTTCATGGTCTGTGCTTTTAACAGAACTGACTTACTACACTCTTAGGAAAGTAATTTAAGCTTTGCAGAATCAAAAGACATGCCAAAATAGAACAAATAACAAAGCTGTAAGAGACCAGGGCTGAAAACAGTAACTAGACAAGCTTGAAGCACTTTTAAGGAGTGGTGGCTATTGTGCTCCAAGGAGACCAATGAAAAGGAAGGGCTTTTTAAAATGCATGGGTTATATCTGGGAGTCTGGGTTGAGGGTAGGAGCTAGAATAACCTCAGACACTTTAGGCAGACAAGGTCAGCAAGGCTGAGCCAGGACAATACTGTCACACAGAGGAGGGCTCTGAGTGCTTGGGCATAATCCCACAAGTGCCCACGGTCATTGAGCTCTCAAGAGAGTGACAGGAGGGAAGCAGGGATTTAGGAGCTTTTGCCTGGCCACTGGGACCCTCTCCAGGGAGGGTTTATGCCTCATAGGATCACAGTTATTATTAACCCTGGAAAAGCTGCCTGGGCAGATGCACCAAAGAGTATTCAAAGAGCATAATACAGGAGAAGCAGGAAGAAGAAAAGTGCCCGAGGGACACAACAGTGCTGCAAAGGGCCCAGGCTCAGACCAGCAATTCTCAAACCATAACAGTCACCCTAGAAACCTTAAAATGCAGCTTTCTGGGCTACCACCAGAAAAGTGCGGCCTCAGGAGGTTCAAAGTGGGGCAGAGACTGTACCCTCCTCAAACAAGATGGCTGTCCTGCAGGGAACCCTGGACCAACCTAAAAAAATAGTGCTTTATTATCAAAAGACTCATCGAATTAGACTGAGTGGAGTAGAATCAAGACTCTGGTAATTACTATTTTCTAATTATGCAACTTTGAGCAAGTCCCTTAAAAGTTCCCTGAGATTCCATTTTCTAATCTGCAAAATGGAGTTACCTTGCCCTGCCCACTTCACAGAGCCAGTCACATGAGACAAGGACTGAAAATCCTTTGTGATTCTGAAGGACTGGGCACTGTAAGTTACTGTGGTGGTGGTGATGGTGATGAAGAATAAGAAGCCTGTTCCCAAACTCCAGCATCCTTTCTCTTAATGCCACTTCTAAGTCTTGTAGTGGCGAAGGGGAAAAAAATGTTATTCAAAAAGCCTTATGATGACTCCAATTCTCAGGATTTTTACTGAGGAAATAACTGGACAAACAAGCCAATATGTGTTGAAGAGAATGCTCAGTGTGCGTTGTGTATAATAATGAAAAACTGGAAATAATCTAAATGTCCAATAACATAGGAATGGTTAAAGAAACTAGAATTCATCTCCCAAAGAGGAATAATATCTGGTATTTTTAAATGATGAGGCACAACTCTATTAACAAAATAATTCCTATTCACAATATATTAAGTGAAAAAAAGCTTGGTTTTAATTTTTAGTTGACACAATAATTATATGTATTTATGGAGTACAATGTGATGTTTTGATACATGTAAAAAAAAAAACCTTGTTAACACAAACCTCTCTATTATCTCCTTAAAAATATATAAATTGCATGCTAAAAATGTGAACAGATATATGCAATGCAACTATGGTTATCTCTGGATGGTCACAATTACTGGGAAATTTCTTTTGTTTGCACTTATCTGCATTTCGTGAACTTTCTATAATGAGATTATGTTGCTGTTGTCCTCTATACCCCACCCCTCTCTGCCCCTTTCCACATTTCAGTGACTCTGAACTGGCTAATCCCACAGCTCTGCCCCTCAGCTGGGGCCCAGAATTCTAAGGAACTGCCAAACACCAAACCCATACTCCTTAGGAATGGGCTGGGGTAGGGCCTCTCCAGAAGGCCTCGTCTAACTGGCAATAGCACATTCTTTCCATGGACATTTCCAGAAAAACCTCAGTCAAAAGCGAGAATGACAGGAATCTGAAATAGACCATCTATCAGGCAGAACACCGTGGGGCTCCAAATCTGAGCAAGAGGCCCCCTCAAAGCAACACCTCCAGCCATTTACTGAGCATTTAAGCTCTACTCCTCACTGGAAAGCTGTACTAAATGCATTCTGAACATTACCTTATTTGATCTCCACAATTTTGCAAGGCAGGTATTTTTTCCTTCAAATTACAAATGAGGACACTTGAGGCTCTGCTATATTTTGCCCAGGTCACACAGCCAGGAAGCGTCTGAGAGGGCCTCAACCCCAGGTCTAACTCTGCTCCATACCACAGTGAAATAGCACCTTCTCATTGGTTTTGTGTACCTGGCCTTGAATTTCTCTTTCCTTATCCAAGGAACTGGACTCTTATCAACGCTCAAGATTACTCAATAAAATACTTTCAGCTACACTTGCATGATTTTTCCCAACTTCCCCAGCCACAAAATATAATGGTTGTTTTCAATCAATTAATAGCATTTATTAGGTGTTGAGTACACATCCATCTTGTCTGCTAGGAAAGTTCACCCTCTTAACCCAGGACACAGAAAACTATCAGAAATGATCCATGTCCTTAAGTATCTGAAGAACTCATTGTAGCTCTAAGACCAATGACTGAGAAGTCCACAAAATTGTGTCAAGCTGACCCCATACTGAGTACTCTAACCTGGGATTATGACCTCACTAACACTTGCAGTCAGTGCTATTGTGTATTGGGTCTACTATATACTAAGTGCTTTATGTACTTCCTCTGTTCCACTCTTTATCATAATCCTGGGACATAGGTTTTATTATCGTCATTTTATAGGTGAGGACACTAGGACTGAGAGAAGTTAAGAGATTTGCCCAAGGTCAAGTAGTATCTATAATCAAATTTGAGGGTTATTTTTGTGTCTGTCTGTCACCCCACCAGATGGCAGGCCCATAAGGATAGCAATGACCTAGTCCTGTGCCTGATGTATGGTAAGTGTAAGCCTGTGTATACACGAATACACATTCTCATACACACATGGGCAACACTACAAGGGAAGCAATCAAGGTAACTCAAAAGGGAGCTTCTGGATTCAGGCAGATCTGAGTTTGAAAAGCAGCTCTGCCAAGTCCCAAATGTCTCTTCTTAAGCAATTCAGTCTTCTAAGAGCTCTAGTTTCTTTACCTGTTACATGGGGAGAACAAAACACTCACTCACTAAGGAGGGGATGAGGAATCAACAAGAGTCATGGATATCAATCTATGAGCAGAAGGTCTGGCATGTGGGAATTGCTTATTAAAACACAGATATCTATTACTACAAGGCCAGAAACAGAAGTGCCCAATTAATGGGACACCTGGAACTCAAGGTGTTTTCTTCCCTCAGTAGACTGTGAGCTGGTTGAGGACAGGAATGGGCGGTTCACATCTGTAACCCCAGCACTAGCCAATAAATGATGTTCGATTAATGGCAGAGACCTTATACCAGCAGTCCCCCAATCTTTTTGGCACAGGGACTCGTTTTGTGGAAGACAATTTTTCCACGGATGGGGACCGGGGTCCGGGGGGTGAGGGGAGTGCATTACATTTATTATTAGATTCTCAGAAATAGTGTGCAACCTGGATCCCTTGCATGCACGTTCACCATAGGGTTTGGCTCCTATGAGAACCTAATGCCACAGCTGATCTGACAGGAGGCGGAGCTCAGCTTCACTTGCTCGCCCCACCGCTCACCTCCTGCTGTGCCAGCCAGTTCCTGAAAGGTAGTCCGTGGCCTGGGGGTTGGGGACCCCTGCCTTATACGTGCCCTGCCCAGGGTGATGACCCTGAACTGTGCACAGAAGGACAGGTAGGCAGAAGGGAGGCGAGAGAACCTCCTTCAGTGGCAGCAGAGGACTCCTGAGCCAGCCCTACTATAAATAAAGACAGTACTTACCCTGCAGAGTTATCTCAGAAAGACTTGTATTCCCCAGAGACCAACAAGAAGAGGAAGGAAGATGTGAAGATACAGAAACAAAGTGGGCAGTGAGGCTGGGAAGGCACTGAATGGTGAGGTAAAGAGAAGCACTAAGAGGGAAGGCTCTGGAGCTATATGGCTAAGAATTCAAAGCTCAGCTCTGACACTGACCAGCCCTGAGATCGCCCCTCCCTGAGACTCGGCTTCCTCAGTTCTACAAGGAGGAAAATAACAGAACCTCCCCCATGAGGCTGGTGCGAATCAAATACAAAGTTTGCCGAACACTTGGTGCACAGTAACAGCACAATAAATGGTAGTCATATTATGAAGGATATACTTTTTTCTGAAGGTAAAAGCCAACATCCTCAGACAATAACAGCCAAGAAGGAATTCAGCTTAGTACAACTAAAATAAAAATAGGACAGCTGAAACTGTTTCCTGAGGATGACTATTTATGAGGCCAATTTCGCTTTCCCAGTGCTAATGAATCCCCCACGGCAGCCTCTGTGCAGCTCTGCGTCCAGAGAGCAGGGACTTGCCTTCCCTGGAGTTCTTCGAAGCACCGCAGACACTTCCAGTGCTCAATCAGCGTTTAATAATCACAGCAATAATCCTAATAATGACCAGGGTAAAGCGCAGGGGGAGAAGGAGAAGATGCACGTGGGGAGAAATAACACTTAAGCTATTTTGCTTCCTCAAGACAGACTTCTGCCTGAAATAGATTAATTCAATCTGCATATTAATGTGGATTACTAATTAATGACTAAAAAATGCTTTCACCAGAGAAAGTGCTATGCAAATGCCTAAAAAATAATATCCAGGAGTCTCAGGATAACTATGGAAAGGAAATAAGCTAGGCTTTTTTTTTTTTTTAACATTTAAAACTTTATGGTTGAAGGAAATAGAGGGCATTAAGAAAATTCACTTAAAGCACGGAAACAGAAAACAGAAAAGCCTGGTGTGAGGCGACTTCCTTTCCACGCCTGTGGGAACTTCTCACTGCACTTTCCTTGGGTTGTTGTAACTGTTGCTACATGTGTCTGTGTTGCCTTCTAGACCCCAAATGCCTCAAGGGCACAGGCCATGTCTTACGTATGTAACTCCACAACCCTGGTACCCAACACTGTGCCGGGTATGCAGGCAGCAGCCAATAATGTTTAATGAAATAAACAAATGGCCCCAAAAGCCTTCTCAAAAGAGGAGGCCAAGGGCAGCTTATAATGACTTCCTTCAAAGAGTACAGTATGAAAAAGAAGAAAACATGAGTCATGGTGCGGTGGAGAAATCTAGCAGGCGCGACCTTCACCAGGTGATCAAGGTCAACATCGACAGTGATAAGTCATGTTAATAGTAGGTATCCTTGATGTGATGCAAGGAAAATGGCACTTTACCTCTGTAATCTTGCTCCCCAAACCCATAACCCCCATCTACGCATCAGAAAAACATCAGACAAATTCCAACAGATTCTAAAAAAATGCTTGGCCAGGGCTCCTCAAAAACAAGGTGAAGTCTGATAAACTGTCCCAGCCAAGAGGAGCTTAAGAAGACATAGCAACCTAATGTAATGCAGTATCCTGCAGGGATTTCCCAATTGGAGAAACAAAGCAAGGGGAACCGGGATCTGTCCAAGGTCTCACAGAGATAGCCGAGTCAGGACTTGCATCCTCACCTCAGACTCTTTGGTAGACAGATTCTCACAAGCGTGCGGATGCATTACAGTGATGGAGATGGTATTCTTTTTCACACACAATGAATAGCCTGGATTTAAAAACAAAAAAAAACCCCACAACTTAAATGCAATTTCTTCTCTCCTCTCAAAACGCTCAACTTCTTTTGACCAAAAATCCCAAATAATTTCACAGTCAAGCACCTCTCTGAAATCAAGAGATTCAATGGGGCTGAAAGAATGGTCCTCAGAGCTCACCAAAACCAAATCCTCCCATTTAGCAGAGAAAAAATTGAGGCCCAAAGGGGGCGACAATGTCCTGCCTCTTGCCAGTTCAGTATATTGGTGCCACACTTAACTCATGCTTCCTCACTTGCAAGATCCCAAACTCTCTGCTACCTGGGACACAAAGAACCAGTTTAGGACCATGGAGGAATTCCTGCCAAATCCTAGCTCTATCTTTGCCAATCTCACGGCTGTGAAGGGCATCCATATGGAAAATGGTTTTGGTATTTAGCTACACATCTTTTTGCCCCAGACCCCTAGACACTGCCAAGCAGAAAGCCCAGGCCTGGCAGGCTGAGGCCTGAGACACAAAGATAGCTTCCAACTGTGGTATGTGGAAAGGGCACAGCGCAGCCTGGCTGGCAGGCCACACTTCCCCTGTGCAGCCCCATCCATCAACCACCCTGGGGGATCTCAGTTTCCAGCTCGGTGGTACATTTTCCAGGGTACATTTTCTAAATGTGACCCTGTTTCTGTTATGAGAATCAAAGTGCTCCAACCGCAAGATCATAAATACTCAAAAGTGACAGCTAATGGCAATGGCAGTTTGCAAAATGCCAAATGGCAGCAAGAAGTGGACGCCATAAATTACATCCTGATTCCTCCACTCACACTGAGGTGTTTTGTGGGTTTTTAGTGATGAAATCTGCTTTCAAGTGGGTTTACAGGGGCTCCCCATGAATTCAGGCAGAGCTTTTAAAAATACTTCTAACAGATGCTAAAAAGAAGACCAGAGGAGCCTACAATTTAAGCCTAAAACAAGTTGATTAAAAATGTGTTTAATGTGCAATGACCAAAATATGGAAAGTAGCTCATTTAAAGATGGATACATTTAGTGTGAATGTGCTAATAGTTACATTAACAGTAACAATGACAGCTAAGATGCATTGGGTCAGGCACTGAGCTGGGCATTTTACATGGATTATCTCACGGAATTCCTGCAATAGTTCCATGTGGTAGGTACCACTGTTGTCCTTATTTTGCACATGAGAAAATTCAGGTTCCAGGAGGTTAAGCCATTTGTTCTGGTGACACAGCTGGGGAGTGACAGATTGGAACTGTGAACACAAGGGATCTAACTTTAGAGCTCAGGTTTTGACTCCCTCTGCTAGTCTCCCTCCCAGTCCAAGCAGACCTAAGATGGGGCACATCAAGGGCTCCCCAGACCTAAGCAAAACATCATTGTGCACAAGAGTGGTCTGGGAACTATGTAAACATCAAATTGTGGGAACTTGGCACAATGAACAAAAGGGCAAACTTTTAGAAAATACAAAGGATCCCTATTCTAAAATTATGGATTTCCAGGTCTGGCTTTGCTTCCTCCTAAGTCTTTAGCCTCAGTTCCTTTATCAGTAAAATGAGGGCAATATGACTTCTTGCCATTAAGACAACCGGTGAGATTACATATGTGAACAGCTCTTTGAAAACCCCAAAGCACTATCCAACTTGTGTTATTAACGGGAATAGCTAGACAAAAATTTTTCAAGTTGAGTACTAACATTAATCCTCTCATGCCTCCTTTGCAGAGGTAGAAATTGAGGATCAAAGTGATTAAATAACTGGCTCAGGGTCACAACATTAAGAGTTACTGGTACAGCCATGACGGAATGTCCAGAAGAAGGTCATAGGTTTCTCATGTCCTCAATTGTTGGTCCCCCAAAACACTCAAGCACATAAACACACACGTGGGTTCCAGAGAACAGTTTGAGAACTCCTGTTCTCAAACTGAATCAACCCCTAAGGCCCTTTCCTAGTACTGAAGCTACAAGTCTCTGTTCAGCTCTCCAGGTGGTAAGGAAAGACTCTGCAAAGACTGCAGCCTCAGAGGACAGGAAAACTCAAGGTCTCAGAATGAACCCCATCTGTGCTGCTGTAATCATGGTATTACCAGCTGCTGCTGTGGCTGGTACCCCATTGGTAGAACCTACAGGCTCACTGAGACCAAGAAGGCCCCCCAACTGAATGTTCATTTTATTTATCTGCAGCTAGTCAGGGGCATTTCTGGTGATAAAGGAGAGAGAAGCAGGTTTTTGTGGCAATGGTGCTGGGCTTCGAAGGGACCGCAGCCCAGTGCCATTGCCAGAAGTCTAGGGAAATGTCTCCAGGTTCCTTGTCCTTCCACAGATTTCTTTCCTTTGGGAACTGTCCCACTTTCTCACTAAATTCTATGTACTAGACTATTTCCCTCAGGCCCTGTTTCCTCTATTTTCTGACTTTCAGTAAAGTTGTGGAAGGGAAAGTCCCAGAATCCTAGACTCTCAAGGCTCAGCAGATCTCAGATGCTAAAGGGTGTCTAGTCCACTCTCCTCCTATCTGGTACTTAGGCCTCCTCGAAAGTATTCCTGCTCAAGTGTTGTCCAGTCTCATCTTGAACATCTCCCAGGCTGGGGAACTCAATACTTATTGGGGCAGCTTGTGCCATATTCTGCCTACTGTCAGAATAATGTAGTGAGAGATAAGAAGCACAGGCCCTGATCAGGACCAATCCCGTATATGCAGGGCCTCTCTCAGTGCAGGGCCCTGTGCATATGCACTGGTCACATGCCCACAGGACCTGATCCTGACACCAGACTCAATGGGTTTGAATCCCACTATCAAGTTACTTGACCTCATGGTACCTTACTTCCTTCACGTGTTAAATGAAGGTAATCATATCTATTTCATAAACTTGTTTCTGAGGATTAGAGTTACTATGTAATGATGTGCTTAGAACAGTGCCTGGCACAGAGGAAATGCTATCAATTTTGTACCCAATTTATGTACCAGGAATAGATAAATATGCTTAGTAGTCTCCATGCCAGCCCTTTTGGTGTCTGCAGACAGCTCTTTTAGCCTATGAGCCTGTTCTTCACCTGGAGCAAAGTTGCTGGTTTCTGTCACCACTGCCTGCCACTAAGACCCTGGGTAGGAAAAATCAAAGCCACCACCATGGGCAGGTCTGGTTTTGTGGGATCTGATGTTGATGCTTTGGCAGGTGGGGATGAGGAGAGGCTCTTTAAGAAGAATATGAAATTAAAGCATGCACATAATGCATTTTATAAGTGCCGTTAGATGTATCCCAACTCAACTTTCCCACCACAGAATCTTAAAAATGCCTGTGGCCACTCCACCACCAGAGAGGAGGGGAAGTTAGAGAGAAGAGAGACAGTGGTTGTAACTGATCATAGTTAAATGCTCTTTTGCAAATGTTAAGAGAACTGATGACCATGAAACACATTGCTAGGGCCCCTCCCAGAGCCTTGGAAGGAAGGGACTCTGAAGCTTCATGGTGAATCTGACATTGGCCACCACCATAGCTCAGGACATCTGGTCAGATAATAAGGAGAAAAGTAAACTGTCCAAGAAGCTACCCACAGCAATTCTAACCCACGACATCCTCTACCTGCCCACCAAAAGCACTTCTGTCACCTTCCTGCCATTACAGTCTCCCAGCAAGACTGTAGGTGCTATGAAGGCGGCCCTGTCTACCCTGTATCCTCAGGGCCTAGCACAGTATCACAAACATGGCAGCCACTCGACAACCATGTGCTGTGGAATAACTGTTTCAGAATGCCAAGAGCAGAGGGCTGGGGTACAGAGACCATGGTGGGCGGCTGGTGGGGGGTGCTCTGAAGAATCTCATCCCAGTGCCACCACTAACCTGTTGGGCACCCCAGAACAAGGCCTCCACCCCTTGGTGCCTCACCTTGGTCTCTTTTCAGAAGCCAGAGCCTTTGTTCATAACACAGTGCTGCCTGCAGAAGCCCACTTTTCCTTGCAGAGACAGCACAATGAGACCATTTTCTTTTTGCTGAGTTTCCCACACACAGAAATCTTGCAGGTGCAGCCTGACTTTGGAGCCCTTCATTTATTATTCATTTATTTCCTTGTAATACCATTTCTGCCGCACTCAAAGGACAAGCCCTAGAACAGGCTTCCCACCTGCAAGTTAACATTGATACAACCCCGCTACAGAAAATCTTATCTGAGAGTACCCCATTACCAACAGCCAAGCAGGCCCAGGATGCAAAGAACCAACCTGGAGTCAAGACATTCTCTTTCCCATTAACAATGTCCTTTAAGCATCCCAACCATTTTCATATTTATCATTTTGTTAAAATTTTTTTATAACAATCTTCTGAAGAATGGAGCTCAGAGATTATTATCCCCATTTTACAGATAAGGAAACTGAGGCCCAGAAAGGCTGAGTAACTTGTCCAAGATCAGCGACCTTGTAAGTGGCATAGCTGATGTGAACCTGGGGCTAACTGACTCTACAGGCCATATATACTCTGTTAACTACTCTAGAGTAATTCTCCCTTCCATATTCTAAAGATATTTTAAAGAATGATTTTAATATCCAGAACATATCTATAAATTAATTTTGTTCCCAAAGACAAATAAGCTTGAAAAATAGGAAGAAATGCATGAAAACAAGTTGTAGCTACTCAACACTTTTTGAAATTGACCACATGTCTGTTACTTGTCACGATGCTCCTGCCACACTGCACTCTTTCTCGTCTTCAAGCAAGACAGCCCTTTGCAGCCTCATGACCCCTGTACTTGCTGAGCCTGCTGGCTGGACATTCTTCCCCAGGCTTCTTCCTGGCTTTGGATCACAACCTGACCCTCATATCTTAAGAGAAACCTTTTCTAACCTCCTCCCCTGACCCTTATGCCAGCCTATTTGTTTCCTTCATAGCACCTATTATCACTGTTTTATTTATTTGTTTGCTTGTTTATTGTCTGTTCCCCCACCACCCCACTGGAATGTAAGCTTCCTGAAGGCTATATATGGTTTTCTCACCACTACACAGAAAGATGCCTGGCACATAGCAGGCATTAGCCACAAGTGTATTGAATAAGTAAATGAATCCTATTTGCATTTGACCATTATCAAGCTCACAGTATCTTACTCATAATAACCAAAGCACATATAATAGCCAATTAACCTTACAATAAGCAACTAAAAGGACAGATAACAGCATTCTGTTTTTATTAAGGATGAAAATAAAAGAAAAGACCTAGAGAGGTTAAGTGGCTTGCCTGGAGCCACACAGCACTAAGAGGTAGAGGTGGGCCTGTGGGGTGGCTTTCAACTTACTTTCTATAAAAATCTGCTTATAATATCTTTCCTTTAGTTTATTCCCACTGCCTTAAAGGTTCTCATAGGTCACTGTTTGGTAGTTTGCTGAGCTCCTGGCTCTCTCCCCCCGGAGGGCAGAGGGCCATCCATGCCTGCAGCATTTCTTTGAGCTGATATACAGTGAGGACATGTGACTTAACAGGCTCTTTGGGCTGAGGCTAATCCACAACTGGACTGTATGCAGGATCCTGTGCAGAAAAGCTGATGGGCCCCAAAACCTGGGTTTCTGGATTACCAACAAAGACAAGTACGTAAGTATCAAAGGACTTTTCTGTATCCCAGAGAGCTACAAAGGCACATAGAGGTAGAGATGTGCCAGCAATTAAGCTCATGCCAAACTCATGACCTACAAACATGTATGGCCTTGAGATAAGAGACCAAGATGTTGTCCCACAATGGCCTCATTACCCCCACAGGAGACTGGGGTTCACTCTAATTCAAACGTAGTATTCCCCAAATGACTTGATATACCCCTGGGCAGAGAGAGGCACTTGATAGTTAACAGGACTAAAAAGAGGGCTGAGACAGGGGTTTGAGCATGGTAAAAAATAAAATCAAAAATAAACCAAAACCCAACTTCACAGCTAATAAGAACAGAAAAGTGTCTCCCACCCTCTCATAACCCATACATCAGGAAAACTTGAGGTTGTCCAATTTCGAAGTCATCTAACCTGGCATTTCTGACTTCTGAATTCAATGGGCTTGAAAAGATTTTCCCAAAAAAGTGGTGTTGGGAAGAGACGATGTTATCAGCTTTGTGTTCTGTGCAGTATATACATTCAAACCAACCAAGAAGGCAAACAACCTACCGTCTGCTATTACTACCATTTTATAAAATAAGAGGATGCATTATACCAACTTGGAAAGATGTCCACTCAGGATCAGTAACACACAGCTTTCTGAAAAACTCACCACTCTCTCCTCATTTTCCCTTGGACTGGTAAAAATTTTAGCCACAGAAACAGGTCTGTGAACCACAGGAAAAGAATCACAGCTCTAGCCTATTTCTCTCATCTATATATAAGGACAAGGAGGCCTAGGAAGGCCAGGCAGCCAACGTTCACAAAGCTGGTTCGTGGCGTCCTCAGAAGCTGCAGGGACCCGCCTTGTCTGGTGTATGCCTTGCCATCTCTGTGAAGTCACATGAACAAAAAACGTCAAATAAGCTTGACTTTCTTTTATTTACCAAATGGTACATCTGCTCTTCCTGGTCTAGGTCAGACCCCAGGACTGGCCTGGATTCCAGAAAGAATAAGAACTGTGACCTGGATTAGGTTCAGGGTCACTGACCTTTGGTTTACTCCAGAAGCTGCTAGTAAGTGGTGCAGAGGAAGTGCACAGGAGGAAAGGATGCTGTGGGCACATACAGCTCCTATCTGACTTGTGTCTTCTCAGAGGCACATCTTGAGCCCAGGGATGTAGGTGGTCCTATGCAAGAGAGGCTCACAAGTCTCAGAAGCACAGAACTGTGGGCTTGTTACCTGTTATCTCTCTAGTCCCATCAGACCTAGAAAACAACTTCTAAGACCATAAAGCTGCTACTCATAAGCCAGACACAGAAGCCTATGGTGCAGATTTGGGGCCTTGAAAGTCTTGCTGCATACCAAGGGGCAGTGTCCCCTTATCTGTGCCCTGTGCTGCAGGGCCCAGGAATTTTCTACTTGTGTCCACTTAGGGCTTCTACAGGCAGGCCCAGTGGTTGCTGCCCACAATCTCCACACTCCGTAACTAGTAAACCCCTTGGGGACAGGAACTTAGGTTTTCTTTTAAACTTAGTATTCCCCAAATGACTTGATACACTTCTGGGCGTAGAGAGGCACTTGATAGTCAACTGGACTGAAGAGAGGTTTGACATAGGAGTTTGAGCATCACATAAGGTACCTACCTGAGACTGTTTCAGGGACATAAAGCTTTGCGTACACAGGATTATAGTATTTAAAACCTGGATAGCTGATCAACAGTGAGGTTCTACCTCAACACAAGTCTATTCACAAAACAAAAAATTTATTATTTGAATATGGAAATTCCAGTAATGGGAACACTGCCTTTTTCCCACTGGACTGAAGATCCCTTGAGAGTGAGACTTGTGTTTTACTCATCTCTGCATTTTCCAAAGGTGCCCAGCATGGAGACTGACACAGAGTAGGGGCTCCACAGATGGCTGTTGGACCAAACAAAGTTATCACAGATGTCTGCTTCCTCAATGTATCCTGACAAACCCTGTTATTCATTCATTCATTCACTTTGTTTATCAAATGCTCTTTATATGCCAGGGACTGTGCCAGAAAGTAGGGATACTACGGAAGGAGTAAGACTGTCCTGGTCCGTGATTGCATGGAACTTAGATTCTTTTTTTTTTTTGAGATGGAGTCTCACTCTGTCGCCCAGGCTGGAGTACAGTGGCGCATTCTCGGCTCACCGCAAGGTGCGCCTCCTGGGTTCACGCCACTCTCCTGCCTCAGCCTCCCAAGTAGCTGGGACTACAGGCACCCGCCACCATGCCCGGCGAATTTTTTTTTTTGTATTTTTAGTAGAGATGGGGTTTCACCATGTTAGCCAAGATGGTCTCGATCTCCTGACCTCGTGATCCACCTGCCTCAGCCTCCCAAAGTGCTGGGATTACAGGCATGAGCCACCACGTCCGGCAGGAACTTACAATCTTTGCAGGGAAGATTAAAATCAATAGTCATACAAATAATCATATTGTTTTAATTATACTAAATAATCTAAAAGAGAGGTAGAGCATACTATGCAAGTAGATAAGAAATTAACTCTAGATGTGGTGTAGTGCAGGAATTTTAATCACACTAAAATAAAACTTCAACTCATTTGGCACAGATGATTTAGTAAGAGGGAAAGATGTAAAGCCCAGGAGTTCATTAGGTGGTGATAATACCACAATGTACAGACGACCAATATAGGAAAAGTAAGTACCTTCCTCCTCTGGTTCTCTAGTGCTTACCAAAAGAAATGGAAACAAAAACTAACAAAAATGCAATCAATCCCACGTTACCAGAGAAGAAACATTCCTAACAATATAAAAAGACCAAGACCCAACCTCCATTTCCAGCAGTATGGTAGAATACCCTGGCCAACCCACTAGGTGAAAACAATGAAAAAGGCAGAATTAAAAGCAAAAGCAAAATCACATTTTTAAAACGCATGGACAAACTTGCAAGAAAGTAAGAAATAATCAGAAACCAAAAACCAAATGAAAATGAGAACCCAGAGTTAAGTGGAGAACTGAAACTGGCTTTCATTTTGAGGGCGTTTACTAAACCAGGTTAACTTGAATGTGGATTTGCACATCCTCTTAGAACACAGGACACAGAGAACAAAGCCCAGAGTCCACGCAAGGTGGGAGTTTGGCAGTTCACTCTATACCACCACCCACATACAATTGGGACTCCCGCCATCCTTACTGTGAGTGAGAAATAAACCCCCCAATTCTGGCAAAGAGTAAATGGGATGGGAAGGAATCTCTCTTGAGAATTTGTTACTATGCCAGCTCTCGTACAGGTTTTTGGTCCATAATCAGAGTACCTGGGAGATCTGACAAACTTCAAACTGAAAATTTAATGTAAAGTGATTTTATTAGGCACATGGCAGAAGCAAATGCCAATCTTTACTGGAGGAGCCCGCCTTTACCTAGCCCTCGAAGGATCCCCAGAGAAGTTTCCAAGAAATATGAGTTCATATACATATGCATATATGGGCAACTAATTTTTGACAAAGATGCAAAAGGAATTACTGGAGAAATGATAGTCTACTCAACCAATGATACCAGAACAACTGAGTATCAGTAGAAAAACAAGAACTTTGATCCATACTTTATACCACTGTGGTAGGCCATTCTTGCATTGCTATAAAGACATACTTGAGACTGGGTAATTTATAAAGAGAAGAGGTTTAATTGGCTCACGGTTCTGAAGGCTTTACAGGAAGCATGGTGCCAGCATCTGTTTGGCTTCTAGGGAGGCCTCAGGAAGCTTACAATCATGGTGGAAGGTGAAGTAGGAGCAGGCACATCACATGGAGAATGTAGGAGCGAGAGAAAATGGCTGGGAGGGGAGGTGCCACACAGTTTTAAACAACCAGATCTTGCAAGAACTCACTATCATGAAGACAGCACCAAGCCATGAGGGATCCACCTCCATGATCCAAACACCTCCCACCAAGCCCCACCTCCAGCACTGGGGATTACAGTTCAACATGAGATTTCAGTGGAGACAGATATCCAAACTATATCAACCACATACAAAAATTAACTCAAAATGGATCACAAATCTAAATGTAAAGTCTAAAATCATAAAACATCTAGGAGAAAACATAAGGGAAAAAAAAAAACCTTGGGACTTATGGTTAGGCAAAGACATCTTAGATACAACACCAAAAGCATAATACATAAAAGAACAAATTGATCAATCAAACTGCATCAAAAGTTACAACTTCTGCTCTTCAAAGGACACTATTAAAAGAATAAAAGACAAGCCAGAGGCTGGGAAAAAAATACTGCAGAAACATATCTCTGATAAAATACTTGTATATAGAATATAAAGGACTCTCAAAATTCAGTAATAAGAAACCAACAACCAAATTTTTCAAATGGTCAAAGGTATTAACAGACACATAACAAAAAAAAGATGTACAGAGGGAAATAAGCATGCAAAAAGATGCTCAGTATCATTGTTCATTAGAGAACACATTAAGATTAAAACCACGTTAAGATATCACCACATACATATTAGAAAGGCTAAAATTTAAAAGACTGATCATACTAAGTGTTGGTGAGGATGTGGGGAAACTGAAATTCTCATATACTGCTGCTGGGAATGTAAAATGGTGCCACCACAGTTAAATATACACATAATCCAGCCATTCTACTCCTGGGTATTTACCCAAGAGAAATAAAAGCATATGGTCACAGAAAGACTTGTACATGAATTTCACGGTAACTTTGTAATAGCACAAAACTAGAAACAACCCACATGTCCATCAACAGGTAAATGGAAAAGTAAACCATGGTATAACCACACAAAGGAATATTATTTCCCAATAAAAAGGGAACAAACTATTGATACATGCTACATGAATGAATCTCAAAATAATCATGGTCACTGAAAAAAGGAAGTTTTTTTTTTTTTAAAGAGTACATACCGTATGATTCCATTTGTATAAAACTCTAGAAAATACAAACTAATCTATGGTGATAGAGGGCAGTGGTTGCCTGGGATTAGAGGAGGTGCAGGAGGGACAGGAGGGAGAGGTTACAAATGCAAAGGGACACGAGGAAATTCTAGGGGATGATGGATATAGTCATTTTCTTGAGGTGGTGATGTTTTCATGGGTGTATAGATATGTGAAAACTTACAAAATTGAATACTTTAAACACGCAGTTTAATTTATGTCATTTATATGGCAGTAAAGCTATTTTTAAAAATCTACATTATGGTGAAAGTACAGAACACTGAAAACAGAGATAACATCTTAAAAGTAGCTGGATAAAAGACAGATGTCATTTAAAGCAATAATCATTAGATGACCCCTGACTTCTCAGCAGCTATAATGGAAACCAGAATGCAGTAGAATAATATATTGAATATACTGAGAGTAAACACTGTCAACTAGAATCATATACCCAGCAAGAACAGGAGAGAAATAAAGATATTCCCAAGCAAACATGGAGAGTTTGCTATCAAGAGCCCTTGCTGAAGGAAATTTAAAAGAATAAGCTTCAGGCAGAAGGAATGTGATTCCCCTTGGAAGGTCTGTAGAAAACAGTAATACTATAGTCTTAGGAAATTAAAAAATATAACTAAAATACATGACAACCATAGCATATATAGGTCAAAGTATGGTGATCAAAGCTGATATGCTAAGTTCCCTGTATTAGCTATAAAAAATTAATTAATTTTAGATTCAAGAATGCATGTTAAATTTCTTTTTTTTTTCCTTTTTTTATTATACTTTAAGTTTTATGGTACATGTGCACAATACGCAGGTCTGTTACATATATATACATGTGCCATGTTGGTGTGCTGCACCCATTAACTCGTCATTTAACATTAGGTATATCTCCTAATGCTATCCCTCCCCCCTTCCCCTACCCCACAACAGGCCCCGGTGTGTGATGTTCCCCTTCCTGTGTCCAAGTGTTCTCATTGTTCAATTCCCACCTATGAGTGAAAACAATGGCATGTTAAATTTCTTGGTTAACTATTCAAAGTAGAGAAATAATACGAAACTCTTTTAGCAGATGAGAGGGAAAAAGTAAAATGAGAAAAAAATCCAAAGGAAAGAAAGCAGAGGAAAAGGAACATAGAAAGGTAAGACAAAAAGAAAATCCAAAAGAAGATGGCAGAACGAATCCTCCATTAAAATGTGAACTTTGGCTGGGCATAGTGGCTCACACCTGTAATCCTAACACTTTGGGAATCCGAGGTGGGAGGATCGCTTGAGCTCAGGAATTCAAGACCAACCTGGGCAACACAGTGAGACCTCATCTCAACAAAAGATAAAAATAATAAAAAAAAAAATTAGCCAAGTGTGGTGGCACATGCCCGTAGTCCCAGCTACTCAGGAGGCTGAGTTGGGAGGACTACTTGAGCCCAGGAGGTCAAGGCTGCAGTGAGCCATGATCATTCCACTGCACTCCAGCCTGGGCGACAGAGTGAGACCCTGCCTTTAAAAAAAAAAAAAAAGGCCGGGCGCAGTGGCTCACGCCTGTAATCCCCAGCACTTTGGGAGGCCGAGGTGGGCGGATCACGAGGTCAGGAGATCGAGACGATTCTGGCTAACAGGGTGAAATCCCATCTCTACTAAAAATACAAAAAATTAGCCGGGCATGGTGGCGGGTGCCTGTAGTCCCAGCTACTTGGGAGGCTGAGGCAGGAGAATGGCGTGAACCCAAGAGGCGGAGCTTGTGGTGAGCCGAGATTGCGCCACTACACTCCAGCCTGGGTGACAGAGCAAGACTCTGTCTAAAAAAAAACAAACAAAAAAACCCCAAAAAGGCCAGGTGTGGTGGCTCACGCCTGTAATGCCAGCACTTTGGGAGGCTGAGGTGGGTGGACTGCTTGAGGTCAGGAGTTCAGGACCAGCCTGGCCAAAATGGTGAAAGCCCATCTCTACTAAAAATACAAAAAATTAGCCAGGCATGGTGGTGCACACCTGTAGTCCTAGCTACCCAGGAGGCTGAGGCAGGAGAATCACTTGAACCCGGGAAGTGGAGGTTGCAGCGAGCCGAGATCCTGCCACTGCACTCTAACCTGGGAGACAGAGCGAGACTCCATCTCAAAAAAAAAAAAAAAAAAAAGAAGTGAGCTTCTTGTAGACAGAGACTGTGTTCTGTTGTCCACTGTATCTTCAGTATCTACCACAATGTCTGGCACATATTAACATATTAGATACTCCATAAATATCAAATGACTGTTTATAGAATGAATAAATGTTTGGATGAATGAATGGTAAATGAATGAATCTGGTTAGCTTAATGAATGAATAAATAAATGTACAAATAGTATAAAACTTCATTTTAGCCAAAAGTTTCTGCCTTTTCCAGGAACCACCTCATTTATCAGAATTAGCTAACAAATTACAAGCTGGACAAATTGAGTTTCTCTCTTCTCCCTTGTTACGTCTGAGAGCAATGAAGTATGCAAAATACAGATGGACGAGGAAGAAGGAGGAAGCAAGAGACTGGGTCAAATTAGTCCCAGATTATAGAAGAATTGATAGAATAAGAATGATGAATGGGGAAGGTGGCTACTACTTTTGGATTATGTATTTATCCTTTCTTGTCCATTTCTGTGGCTAATGACCTAGCTGGGGGCCCCAACACTTACAGTGGGGACCACAAGATCCCCAACGGTTCTCTGTACCTCCTCTACTTCCTTGTCCTTCTAGGACACACAACCTTCTATAATACTTCCCCTCCCCGCTGCTCAAATGCTTCAGTGGATCACTATTGCCTCTGGAATCAAATTCAAACTTCTAAGCCCAAATTTCAAGGACTTTTGAGAATAGATTTTAATCGCCTTTTCTCTCTGTTCCCCTTAAGGAAAATGAGGCTATAGTCAACAGATCCCAGGACCATTCCCACCTCTGCATCATTACTTATGCTGCTCCCTCCAATTGTTCTGCTGTTGTTGTTTAGTTTTTTAGTTTTTTTTTTTGAGACAGGGTCTTGCTCTGTCACCCAGGCTGGAGTGCAGTGACGCGATCTCAGCTCACTGCAACCTCCACCTCCTAGGATCTGGTGATCCTCCTGCCTCAGCCTCCTGAGTAGCTGGGATGACAGGCCTGCACCACCACGCCCAGTTAATCTGTGTATTTTTAGTAGAGATGAGGTTTCACCATGTTGGCCAGGCTGGTGTCAAATTCCTAACCTCAGGTGATCCACCCGCCTCAGCCTCCCACAGTGCTGGGATTACAGGTGTGAGCCACTGCACCCGGCCTGCTCCCTCCAATTGTTATTCCCTTTCTGTCATCTTTGTTGCCAAGGTTAAGTACATCCTTCAAGGCCTAGCTCAAATGCTAACCCCTTCATGGTGCTTTCTGGCACAGAGCCAAAAATAAATGTTCACTTCTTGCTCTACAATGCTCTGTTTATAACTTGCTTATAGTTCCTTAATACAGTCTACCTTATACTAGAGAGGCAATTTAGCCCAAAGGTTAAGAATGGGGCCTTCAAAGTCAGACAGTATTGGGATTGAATCCAGGTCCCCCATGTCCTAGCTGTACGAACTGGGGAAGTGACTTAACTTCTCTAAGCCTGTTTCCACATCTGCCAAATTAAGACAATCTACCTCAGAGGGTTGTTCTGAGGATTATCAAGCCAATAAAGCAGATCACGCATGCAATAATGATTAGTATTAGAATGCATGCCTTACGCCTCTCCCTCCACAGATGAGGGCATCCTGAGAACAGTGTCCATGTCTGATTATGTCTGTACCTTTCCTTCCATCTCTTCTAGCACCTAGTACGGTGCCCTACACAGTGTTTTTCTCAAATTATGCAAAATAATATCCAAACTCAGAGTTAATATGATAAATATTCATGTTGGTACCACATTCAGGTTCCACGGGATTCTTAAGGTTTACTACATTTGTTAAATTTCAATGTCTTACTTATCCCTGGAAACCCCATATGCTCTAGATTTTGCCAGATGATACTGATACCTTATTAGGAAAACAAAAAGGCAAGCCACAGATTGGGAGAATATATTCACAAAACATATATTAGACAAAAGACTTGTAGGCAGAATACATAAAACATTCTTAAAACTCAACAAGACAATCCAATTAAAAAATGGCAAAAGATTTTAACAGATACTTCACAAAAGACATAAAACGGCCAATAAACACATGAAGAGATGCTCTTCATGGCAGAATGTAAATTTCATGTGAGACATTAAGATGTCACTTCTTCACATCTACCAGAATGGCTAAAATTAAAGACTGACCATTCTAAGTGTTGGTGAGGATGCGGAGCAGCCAGACTCTTATACACTGATGGTGGGAATGCAACATGATACAGCCACTTTGGAAAACAATTTGGCAGTTTCTTAGAAAGATATATATATACCATACAATCCAGCCATTCCATTCCTAAGTATTTACCCAAGAAAAACAAAAACATATATATACACAAAGACTTGTATACAAATGTTTATAACAGCTTTATTTGTAATAACCCAAAGCTAGAAACAATCCAAATGTCCATCAACAGGTAAATGAATAAATGAATTAGTCTATCCATGTAATGGTCTACTACTCAGCAATAAAGAATGCACTGTTGATACACACAAGAACATGGATGAATGTCAAAAAGCATCATGCTGAGTAAAAAAAAAAAAAACAGGCAAAAAGGAACACATACTATATTATTCCTTCAATACAAATTTCTAGAAAATGTAAACTCATCCAGAAAGACAAAAAGCAGGCAGGTGGTTATTAGGGGACACAGAGAGGAATGGGTAACAAAGGGGCACAAAGAACCTTTTGGAGGTGATAGAAAGGTTCATTCTCTTGACTGTGATGATGGCTTCACAGGTTTATATATATGTTAAAATTGATCAAGTTGCACACTTTTAAAATGTGCAGTTTATTGTAATTCAAATATACTTCAACTAAGCTTCACGGAAAAAAAAGTACCAATACTTAAAAAAAAAATCCTTTAAAAAACAAGCAGGCAGTCCACTGGCAAAGTAAGCAAGGCCTCAAGTTGGTCTGAAAGCTGCTACTGTAAGCGCGGTGTCAGCATAAAGAGTGGCAGGAAGGCCAAGAAGCAGGAAGCTAGGCAGACAGGCCTCAAGTCGCACTGCGGAGTGCTGTAAATGTGGCTTGAAGATGACTGGCTTTTTGAGGTTGCCTTCGTGGCAAAACTAATTTCTTCAGTACCCAAGTCCTGGCAGTCCAATACTTAGAGCCTGAGAGAGATGTCAGGTTGCATTCCTGTGGTTTTTTTTCCTTTTCCTGTGTTCACTGTGAAAGTGATTCCTGGGTGCCTGTGAAGCCTTCACCCAAAAGCAGGCTTATAATGGTGAAATTTCAGGCATGGCTGGAGGCCTAAAGACACAGATCCTTGGGGAATAGGAGCGGCTGAGTTTTAGAATGGCTCCAGGCAGGAGCTCTGTGCAGGATGTGCAGACTCAGTAAGGCACAACTCAGGGGCACCCTAACCCCCGGAGCGGTGCAGGGAGGATACCCCTCACCCCAGAGCCCCTGGGAGGCAGAATTCCCTGCTCCAGTCATATAGGAAGGATGGGGCCTTCCCAGTGCTCCCTTCAGCAAATATTATTTTAAGAGAAGAGCTAAAAAATGAAATGTCAGTGGAGCAGCCGAGGGACATAACTACCTATTCACCCACGTACCCTGATTCTAGCCCTTGTCTGTTATAACATTACCTTATATTATAAGAGTGCGTCTATCTAGAAGTCCCTTAACCTCCCGGTGTCCTGACTTGCCCATCTGTTGAATAGGAGGAAAATCCCTACCTATTTCATTTATCTTACTTGTGAAGGACAAAAGTGCACATAACCCTGAGAATCCTGGAACAGAGGGGTCAAACTGGCAGGTCACAATCAAGACCCTGCAGGCACAGATGGCTTTATTTGGCCTGCATGATATTTAAAACTCAGGACAGTCCATATTTTTAAAAATCCACAAGTCTGTCTTTTCTTGAAAAATCAGAAGAAGGATCTGGCCTTGCTGGACCCACATTCCCAAGCAATTGGCTGGAGCTGAGTAATGACTGACTCATTCAGGTCACTGGCTTGGTCCTGTGGCCATTTGTGTTCACCCCAGAGTCTGTCAGAAAGGTACCTGGACTTCTTCTAGTCCAGACCACTCCTCACCCAGGACATTCTGTGACAGCCCCATCAGATGGCTCCAGCTTTGAACATTTCTCTTGCTGTGGGAACTCCCTTTTAAGGATGCTTATTTGCAGGATTCCATTTGCTTGGAAGTTCTTTCACATATTCCAGCGGAAGGTCTGTCCTGGTAACTTCCACCCTCAGGTCCAGGTCTACTTTCCTTGCAAGCCTACCCACCCCTATTTCAGCACTTCTGGCATTTACAGCCACTGAGTTTCCTCCATGGAAACCTAAATGTGCAGTTTCTTCAGCCCTTCCCTTGAGACATAATTTCCTGATCCCTTGGTGTCCTGGCGCTTTGAACATGCTCCACTTTATCTGTGTCAAATGTGGGTTCTTCCTTCCCATTTTGTCCCAGTGAGCAGGTTGAATTAATTAGTAACTCATGTTCCTGCATGGTGGCTCTCTGGCGGGCTTCAAAGGGAGGCAGTGTCACTGAGTACTATAAGCAATACTAAATATGTTGTCAGTTTTAGTCTCAACATCCCAAATGATAAAAATAGATCTCATGGCATCAGACAGGATAATTCATCTTCTCTAAAAATCATTTCCAAAACAAAAATGAAACATCAGGGATTCCCATGTTTAAAAAATTATGTACGTCTTGGAGTGAAAGTAATTGTTAAAAAATAAGTAGCCCATACTTGGAGGCTAAGCACTTCCTATGGAAAGGAAATAAACAATATGTGAAGATTCGCCAGATCAGATCTGTTTAGGACAAAGGTTAAAACAAAGACAAAAATTCTCCTATGCCTACCATGGTTTTCTTGAAGGTCTACTTTGTGGGAGTGGGAAAAGCATTGGGTGTTCATGTCATCTCATAAATGAAATCTCTCTCCCTCTCTCTCTGTGGTGTGTGTGTGTGTGTGTGTGTGTGTGTGAGAGAGAGAGAGAGAGAGAGAGAGAGCGCGAGAGAGTGTTTGAGATCTTACAGAATTCACTTACTGTCTCTGGATCAGTTATCTGTTTTGTAAAACGTTGGGCTTGGAAAGATCACTGAGAGGTTCTCAAATTTGCATTATAATCACCTGGGCGTGTGCTTGTTAAACATGCAGATTCCCCGGCCCACCCATAGAAATGCTGAATCTGGAGGACTAAGGTGGCACCAGGAAGCCGAAGCCGTTGGCTGGGAGAGTGCCCAGGTGATTCTAGTATGTGCAGGTTTTTCAATCTGGTGGTAACAGCCCATGTCCATTCTTCCATCCATTATTTGGCATGCATTGTGTGGCAGGAGGTGTGCTAGACGCTGGAGGATAGAACAGTAAACTGGTCACACAGGCACAGCCTGAAAGGAGCTCATGCATCTGTAGGGTAGGTGAGGGGAGGCCACCAAGGACATGGATGACTGTCCTGGGATACGGTTAGGACCAAGACATCCATAAGCACAGGACACCACAGGAACCCACTCAGGCTGAGGAGGGCAGGGTGGTCAGGGAAGGCTTGCTGGGGGAGATGATGTCTCAGTAGACACCTGAAGCACGTGGAGGACCTGGCCAGGGAGGCCCAGACTGGCACATTAAGGCCTGGGGACCCAGGTAGAGCACATGTCGGGGAGTAGATGAGCTACATTGGGAGCCAAAGGCGAGCAGGTGGGAGAGCAGGGGACTACGACTACAGATGCGGTCAGAGGCCGGAGCAGCAGGGCCTGAGCAGCCATAGCAAGAAGCTGGATTTTATCCTAAAGTCTAGGGGAGCCGGGGGAGGGCTCTGGGCAGGGTAAGGACATGACCAGATGTGTTTTGGAAAGATCACTCTGGTTGCTGTGTGCAGAATACACTGCAGGGAAAAGGACACAGGAAAACAGAAGAAGAGGCTTCAATAAACAAAGACTCAGCACTAGAGGTGGCCAGTGTGGCGAACAGCACTGACTCTCGGGGAAAGCCAAGGCTTCTGTCTTCTTATTCCAGGTCCCACAGGTATGATTACCTTTTCCTTGCTGGAGAAACTTGGGGCTTACAGAACAGGAACTTCTTCCCATCTACACCCTCTCCCCCCAATTCTGTCTGGGCTGCTTGCTTCTCAGACTCAGAAAGGAAAATGGAAGCTGCCAGGTGGTTTTAACGTATTAACAAAAAGCAAGAAGGTTCTAGAAATGGCTCAGAAGAGAAACACCACTCATGCTTACCCTTTGGGAATATAAATACCACCTTAATAATAACTTACTTGTGGTTAGCACTCTACATTTTACAACACTTTGATCGCCATACCTTTTTGAAGATTCTCATTATGCCTGTGAAATGAATATTCCCATTCTAGAGAAGAGGAAACCAAGGCCCAGAGAGCTTGAGCGACTGGTACAAGGTCACAGGGAGAGCTGGAAACAGCACAGAGGCTGGAATTCATTCCACGGCTCTTCACTGCTATTGATCCCCGAGCCCATGGGACTATAATTAATTAAAATGTCTCTCCTCAGCACTGGAGACAGCGAACTGGAGAATTCAATGAGAATCTCTGCCCAGTGTGGAAGTGTTTCATCTTGAAGTCCTGGGAGGGCTTTTAAAATGAGAGAGGGACCCATGAGGTGGGGAGGGAGGAGGTGCCCCAGGCTTGTTAGAAAATGTCATCCCCACCTGAAAATGCCCACTCCACGAAGGCAGAGGCTGTGCATCTGAGCCCTCTCTGCTCTTGGGCGGTGGGAATAATCCTGGTCTCAGTCGAACAGCAGTGCCCAGGCTGGGGTGGGGAAGCGAGCTGGCAGGAGAAATAGAAGGAAGAAACCACATGGAATGATTCCCTTTCTTCTATCCCTACCCCAACATTTTTATTCAGGTCCAATCAGGGAGTTAAACTGTACAATTTATTTATAGAAAGTACAACAGTCTCTCCAAACACCAAAAAATTAATAGCTATTTTTGAGCTCTTACAATGTGCAAGGCACAAGCCCTCTCCATACAGTCTCCCAATTAATTTTTAGCATAAGTCTAGGCATCATCCTGAAGGTCCACATGGCTGTTACAAATGACAGAACCAAGATTCAACTCAGGCCTTCCTTACTGCAGGGCCTGCGCTGACCTGCTTGAGAGGGCAGGGGCCCCTCACCACACTTGTTTTGGTGACAGGGGTGTGGACAGGAAGAGGGATGCATCTGGCTCTGTGCATGTGGGAACTTTCATTGATTTTAATTCATCTGGGAGGCAAGCTGGAACTCTCTCCATCTCTTCCACTACCTGCTTTCTTGAGACGAGACAGGGACGCGGTACTAAAGAGTGAAAGAGCTCAGATAACAGCCCCACAGAGAAGAGGCAGCAGAACCTCCAATTCCCACAGCACTCAAGTGCCCCCAACCACCCTCTCACTGTCTCCCTTGCCCCTCACAACAAACCCTGTAAGGCAGGAAGGGAGATGTAAAATTCCCATTTTCCACAAGAGGAGCGTGATCTGCCAGGGGTCATGGAACACACAGATCCTGGAGCTCCATGGGCATCTCTCAGAGGGCAAACAAGGCTTTAGGCGGAAGCCACTGTAGCGCACAAAAATTGGGAAGGGTGGGAGTAGTGTCAGAGAGGTCTACCCAGACAGACGGAGAGGGTGGAAAAGAGATCTAGTGAAAGGAGGAGGAAGGAAGTGGGGGCTGCCTGACCTCAGAGGTTGAGGGATGATCTAATTTATCATCCAAGGCTTTCGATAACTGCTGGAGTGATTTTTATGGGCAAATGGCTCAACAAATCTCTAAGCACATAGGAAACAATTGAATAGGAGGTAAAAGGTAACAACGGTCTCATAATTAAAGCAGTGCTTCCCGGGGTTGGGCAGAGGGAAGCATTTCTCACACTGGAGGATAGGAGAGGAGATTTTTTTTTTCATAAGTTGACACAATCTACAAAAGTAAAAGCTGCCAGGGTCTACTCACAAGTAAAAAGCAATTGCTGAGATGTGAACATGACAATATAAAGGTTGTTGCCAGTAAGTAGGCCTTCTTGTGCAAATACGATCTTGTTATATAGTCCACCTGGAGTACAATTTAATAAATAAATAATGATGGACTAGAAGGAATTCCCAAACAACTGAGGAATGCCAGTTTCATGTTCTCTGAGAAGCTGGTAGGTTTTCAGTGAGTGAAGTCTTTCAATTGGTAAGACTTGGAGGTGCATTTTATGATTACAAATTTCTAATTTTCAAATTAATAACATTTATTTACTGAAAATTAACCAACGAGGACAATGAGGTTGTTCTGATGAACACAAATAATCTGAACTCAGGAATTGGAGACAACAGCTTGCAGCTTACATCTGCCTCAAAGTATAGTTTTCTGTTTGGTTTTAGTTGCCCAATGCTAAAAAAAATCTTTTTAATTTAATGGAGAGTTGATGCATTTGATGAATAAGTAGATACATTTTTTTAAAAAACACAGCCTGCCCTATAATCTCAGGATTATCTTCAATTAAACAGATGTTAAAAGAAAAAGCTGGTGACCTTCAACACGTAAAAATGCAGTATATAACACATAGCAGTATTTTTTAAAAATAATATTATTATTATTACAACTTTAAAAAGAGCTAACAATTTGAAACAATGTAAACACTGAAGCATCCATGTGAACTTCCAGAGACAGTTTGTAAAGTGCTGGCTGGGATGATCTCCAAGATCCTCCTGACCCTGGTCTCTGCCTCCTCCCTCACCATAACATCTTGAACAGAAAGCAGTGAAAACATCAGTGGCAGAAGCTGGCATGAAACAAACAGGTTTCCCCTCCACTTCAGAGGGGAAAGAGAGGAGAGAAGAAGAGAAGGTAACAATTACTGCCACAAACTCTACCTTTTCAAATAAATCTTTATATACCTAAAGCTAGATAAACCACCAGCTAAAAAACAGAAAGGTATGCAGATGCTCAGAGCTAAGAGGGCCCTGCCAAGTCCTCCTTCTGCCCCAGGGCTGAAGCCTTACCCCTAATAACTCAGTAGCTTCTGCTACAGAGAACACCAGATCCCCTTGAACAAGTAGTTCAAACACTTTGGAGACTGGCTAACATACCTGCAGCAGCGATGCACACAGATGGCAGATCTTCACAATGCATGCTGTGGCATGTTTATTCATTTTTAACCATGACAGTATTCTTTTGCTGTCTATCTTCAGGAGAAGGAAAATCACTGTTATATCTTAGGTCTAGAAGAACTAAAAGGCAGGGATAATTAGGAAAAAGAAGAAAAGACAGAGGTGGTGACCTCCACATCCCTGGAGCTATTCAAGCCAATACCTAGATAACACCTTTTTTGTTTTGTTTTGTTTTTTGTTTTTTGAGACGGAGTCTTGCTCTGTCGCCCAGGCTGGAGAGTGCAGTGGCGCCATCTCGGCTCACTGCAAGCTCCACCTCCCGGGTTCACGCCATTCTCCTGCCTCAGCCTCCCAAGTACTGGGACTACAGGTGCTCACCACCACACCCGGCTAATTTTTTGTATTTTTTAGTAGAGACGGGGTTTCACTGTGTTAGCTAGGATGGTCTCAATCTCTTGACTTCGTGATCCGCCCGCCTCAGCCTCCCAAAGTGCTGGGATTACAGGCGTGAGCCACTGCGCCCAGGCTAGATAACACCTTTGAAGGCAACTATAGAGAGGACTTCTCTCCAGGGTGACACGTCGTACTGAATGATTCCTAACGTTCCCTTCCAACTCAAACTCTGTTTCTAAAAATAAAGGCAACCCTTTTAAAATTAATTTTTAAGAATCACACAAGTTATACATATATGCAGTCATATCTCAGTACCAACAATAGTATAATGGAATTTACAAAGCATGTTTCCCATGGGTATTTTCTCAGTTAATCATTGCCACAGCCCTGCAACATAGCCATTACTGTTATTATCCCCATTTCAGAAGTGGGGCAGGGGCTCTGAGTTTAAGTAATTGCTCTGAGGTTAGGCAGTTGGAAAGCAGTAATTGCTGACAGCTCTAGGTTTCCCTCTGACATTTTCCTCCTCCTCTTCCCTTATCTTCTCCCCTTTTTGTCTTCTGAAAAGTACAGTTTCATAATGAGAAAATGGAGGAGAGAAACAGAATGAGCCTCCTGTACAGGTAGCTGACTGAATCCCTTCCCGTCACTTTGTACCACAAGATGATTCAGGGAAGACTTACTCATAACCTCGGTGTGTAATGAATATACTGAGTTGTGCAATAATTTTTTAAAAAATGGTTCATGCATATCTGAACCAATTTTGAAAAGAAAAAAATTAGTCCCTTTTTTAAGTTTAAAAAAGGAAGCATTTTAGTCTAAAGTGAGGAAATGAAAGGGAGGAGGTTTGGGGTTTTTTTTCTCCTTTTTCCAAATTAGGCTCTATCATTCCCACCGGTGATGAGTGCTCGCTGCTTCTGAGATCACAATGAAACATGAGGCTGAATTCCACAATGAACCGGCAGAGCAGACAAATGCCAATTCATTAAAGATGGAAAAAAGATTAATTCTAAAAGATAAGTCCCTCTGGTTGGTTATCAGGTTTGAATTTTCAATAGGAGAACCACCTGGTTTTTTATTTTGGAGGCTGATTTTTTTTTTTGTGCTTGATTTTTGGAGGCTGTTTTGGTCCTCAGAATTCAGATCAAAACCAATTTTTCTCAAAAATGTTTTACCAAAGAAGGTGTGGGTGGAAGTGGTTAGGGAGGAGTGATTCCCATCAAAAAGGCTTTCAGTATTCCAGTTGCTTGAAGAAGCCACATTTCTCAAATAACTGGAAGGAAACGAAGACTCCTAAAACCTTGCACTAGAGTTGAACAGTTTCTATAACATACCCTCTCAATCCTCTTTCTGATGGAGAACTCTGGAAGGGAGAAGTTGCTATGTCCTTCTTGCAAAAGAGACCCTTGGGGCCCAGAAAGATTTAGTAATTGGCTCTAGCATACACAATACAGGCTGTGCACATGGTTCGTGCCTGTAATCCTAACATTTTGGGAGGCCAGGACAGGAGGATCACTTGAGGCCAGGAGTCTTGAGACCAGCCTGGGCAACATAGCAAGATCCCTGTCGCTACAAAAAGTACAAAAACTAGCCAGCATGGTGGCACCTGCCTATAGTCCCAGCAACCGGGGGTGTTGAAGCAGGAAGATCACTTGAGCCCAAGAGTTTGAGGGTGCAGTGAGCTATGATCACTGCACTTCAGTCTGGGCCACACAGTAAGGGAAAAAAAAATAACCCCACGGCATAGACTTGTATCCTGAATGACTGATATCCTGTGATATCCTGATTTATATCCAAGCCAGTGTCCCTTGCCCCTCAAGAGGGAAAGCATTTCCAAAGAAAGATGTCAACTCAAGTTCAGCTTCCTGAAACCCAGCTTAGCCACTATGTGTGCCTATACAGAGAGGGGAATGGCCAGGCATCCCTCAAAGCATTGATATCCTCATGGACATAAAACAGAGAGAAACTGGGAATGGCCAGAATGTGTCATTTAAGACCTGTAGGAATGTTCGGCCTGGAGAGGTTGTTTTTCCTTTCAAATTCTTAATCCCTACAAATGAAGAGTGGTAGCTGTAGTTACCACTTACTTCTCTCATCTCAACTCTTTATAACAAACCAATGCAAAGAACTCAAGGAGAGCATAGCTGTGTTTGACTGTGAGCTGATAATAGTAGCAATAGCACCTAATGCTCATCACATGCCAGGCACTGTGCTGAGAACATTGAATAGTTTTATATGCATATTACAGATTAGGAAACTGAGGCACAGAGAGGTTAAAGTCACCTGCTCAAAGCTCTAAAGTAGAAGCGTTGAAATTTAAACCCATAGGTCTGACTCTGGAGCCTGTGATCTTTTTTTTTTTTTTTTGAGATGGAATCTCACTCTGTCGCCCAGGCTGGAGAGCAGTGGCGCGATCTCCGCTCACTGCAAGCTCCGCCTCCCGGGTTCACGCCATTCCCCTGCCTTAGCCTCCCGAGTAGCTGGGACTACAGGCACCTGTCACCACGCCTGGCTAATTTTTTGTATTTTTAGTAGAGACAGGGTTTCACCCTGTTAGCCAGGATGGTCTCAATCTCCTGACCTTGTGATCTGCCCGCCTCGGCCTCCCAAAGTGCTGGGATTACAGGCATGAGCCACCATGCCCGGCCTGGAGCCTGTGATCTTAACCACTCACTTACAAGCTGTAACTCACTCACTTACAAGCTGTGCCATCGTGCTTAAGTTACTTAATTTTTTCTAAGCCTTATGTTTGTAATCTGTGAATTAATCTCTGTTGTTAAGACAAACAGAGAAATCAGACGAAAATGTGAAATGGGGATGACAGCAACTCCACAAGGTAGTTCAAAGCATTAAATGAAGTAACGTAAGTGAAGTATTAATATTTAGCATCAGTATGGTCCCACTGCACAATTCCAAGGATGTTATTTATACACATAGATGTGCTACAAGGCAGTCCTGCCTGGCGCAGTGCCTGTCATGGTAGAAATGTTCAAATGCTATCATTATTATTCATTACCATTGTATGACAACATCAATAATCAGGGTTAAGAACCAAGGGGAAAGCTGCTCATCCATGAAGGCAGTGTCAGTTCCTTCCAAGAGCTCTCCTTTGCTACCATCTATTCTGATTTCTGCTTCCTCAGAACCCTGTCAAGCCATCTCTCATGGGACATCTTGGTTTTTATGAGCAATTTCAGAGCATGTCTTACTTCCTTCAACAGATGATGTAAACTTCTGGAGGGCAGACACTGGCCCTCCAGAAGCAAAAGGCTTTCAGGAACTATGGTGATTTAAAATGTCCATAACTTCTTCCACATTCCTCCCTCCAAGAAGTGGAGTTGAATTCTTTTTTGCACATAGGCTGAACTTCATGACTCACTTCTAATAGGATAAAATGTCCATCATGATATATAGCTTTGGAGACCAGGTCCTAGAAGGACTGTGGCTTCCTGCTTGCTCTCTCCCCGTCTCTTGGATGGTGTGCTCTGGGGAAAGTGAGCTGCCATGCTTCAGGGACACTCAAGCTTACTCATGAAGAGGTCTTGTGTTGAGGAACTGCGGTCTCCTTCCGGCTGCCAAGGGAGTGAGCCATCTTGGAAGTAGATTAACCGGCTCCGGTTGAGACTTTAGATGCCTGCAGGACTGGCCAACATCTTGATAGCGACCTCATGAGAGACACTGTACCACCACCACCCAGCTAAGCCCAAATTTCTGACCCACAGAAACTTTAAGATAACAAATGTTTGTTGTGTTACGCTACCACATTTTGTTATGCAGCACTATATAACCAAAACGGGAAATGCATGGTGAGTTTAACAGCAAGCAGACAACAGGAAAGTCACAGTTTCACAGCAGAAGGAGTAACCTGCATACACGGATGAGATTTTCTCTATTGTTAAGACAAAAGAGAAATCAGATGGAAGACCTGAGACACACTGGCTTCATGCAATCAGACTTTTGGTCAAAAATCACCAAGGGAAAAAGAGAGGGGAAAGTGTAGATGAACGTTGACTGAACAGTTCAATACTGCACTCCCTCCAGAGAGTCCATAGTGGGGGCTCCAGCTCCATCCCCTGCTCTTCCCTCCCCAGCCCCAGGGCCACCCTCCAACCACACAGCCTACCTGCAAGTTCCCCAAAGGGACCAAGCCCTTTCCTGCCCTCCTGCCTTTATACCTGAGGGGTCCTCCTCCTCCTGGCATCCCTTTCCTCATTTATTCATTTTTATTCATTTTTTAAAAAACTTTTTATTGTAAAATAATTTCAAACTAATAGGAAAGATGCAAGGCTGGTACAGAGGATCCTGTATATCCTTTATCCACATTGGCTGTTATCATTCTCCACATCTGTTTTATCACTCTCTCTCCCTCTCCCCCATCTACCTGTATCTACAATTTTTTTCTAAGCCATTTGTGAGAAAGTTGAAGACATGATAACCCTTTATTCCTAAATTCTTCAGTGTGCATTTTCTAAGAATACAGACAACAAAATCAAGAAACTTCACACTGATAAAATACTATTATCTAATCTACAGTTCATATTCAAATTTTGCCAGTTGTTCCAATAATGTCCTTTATGTCTAATTTATTTTTTTCTGGTTCAGGATCTAATCCAAGATGGTTTATTCCTTTTTTCACTCATCAAATATGTCACATGCCAGGCACTGCGTAGAGCACTGGGAATAAAATAGTTGGGGGGAAAACGGATACAGCCACTGTCCTATAACACTTACAGTTTAATAGAGAGACATGTTAATCAAATAATCACACTTATTGTAAGTCTGTATAATCACAAACTAACACATATGCTTTAATGCCTGAGTGGGCTGAGGGTTGGGGTAGAAGGGGGTCAGAAAGTTCTCTTGGAATAGGGACACCTGAGCTGCCATTAGAAGGGTGAGGCAGAATTAGCCAAGCAAAACTGTGTGTGTGTGTGTGTGTGTGTGTGTGTATGCATGTGTGTGTGCATGCAAGTGCATGTGTGCCTGTGTGCATGCACTTGTGTGCACGGTAGGTAACTGGAAGAGTGCTCCATGTAATGAGAGTGACATGTGCCAAGGCTCTGTTGCAGAAGGACACATGGCTTGTTGGAGATCAGAGTCGTTGGAGGGCAGAGGTGGGTGAGGGCACAGTGTGGGTAGGGGGCCAGGGGTGGAGTTTAGTCTTTATCCTGGAACAGGAAGCCACTTAGGCTTTCCCAGTGGCATAATTTACATTTCCAAAAGATAACTCTGACTGCTGCATGGAGAGAGGAAATGAAAATGATGCAGGTCAACCATCCCTTAGCCTCAATTCCAAAGTCCAAACAGGCTTTTTAAATAACTTTAAAAAAATAACTCATTTAGTGACAAAGCCTGACTTGAATAGACATGAGGCTATTTATAGTCTTGATTTATTCTCTTACTGTGAATACATTTTTGTGGCAGAAAAAAAAAATGTGTTTGATTATGGGGAGCACTGTAAACCCCACTAGAGCTATTACATAATAACACATGCACTTTACTAACATTCCTAAATCAGAAAGACTCTTCTGCCAGTGTTAGAGACTGACTGTTACATGACCCCAAAACTCCTATGTTGAAATCCTAACCCCCAAGGTGACGGTATTACAAGATGGGGCCTTTGGAAGGTAATTAGGTCATGAAGGTGGAGCCATCGTGAATGGGATTAGTGCCCTTGTAAATAGAGACATGAGTGCTTGCTCTCTTTCTGCTCTCTGCCACATGAGGACACAGCAGGAAAGTCACTGTCTATAAACCAGGAAGAGAGCCCTCCGCAAGAACCTGACCATGGTGGCACCCTGATCTTCGATTTCCAGCCTCCAGAACTGTGAGCAATAAATGTTTCTTGTTTAAGCCACACAGTCCATAGTATTCTGTTGCAGCAGCCCAAACTCACTGAGACAGTCAGTTATTAATTTATTGCCTCTCAGCCCCAAACCCACCTTCACTGCCTGCTATGCAAAAATGGTTCTGGGCCCTTAAACGTGTTTCCCTTGCCAGCTAACATGATGTTAACAGTGGTTAGTAGAAGATGCTGGAGAGACACTGCAGAAGGAAAGGCTTTTTTCACCCTGGTTCTGGTGTGTTCAGTAGGCAGGCAGCACGGGTGGCGTCTCTGGCACTAGCCTCCTGCAGCGTGCATGGCCTCTCCATGTCTAGCTCCTGCAGTACGCGTAGCTTCTCCATTGCCTAGCTCCTGCGGTGTGCAGCAATCACCGGCATCCAGCGACCAACAGCTTCTCCCAGCACCCATTCCCTTGGGTGGTTTTGTAGCAGAATGTCTTCCATGAGATACCTCACCATGTGTTTCTTCCTCCAGCACCCTAGCAGGCAGATTTCCTGTGAACTTTGCTGGGGTGGCACTCTAGTGACTCTCTACCACTCAGTAAGCATAGCTGTGCCCTCTCCAACAAAGTCAGGATCTCAGCTTACGGGGGCCTCTTCCTTGGGTGCTGTTAACTCAACACTGGGGGTAGGAGCTGTTCCTCTATCTGCCATTCCTATATTCTTTAGAGTGCTTTTCACTTCTTAATAGCCAATTTTCATCGCTCTAATCTCCTGTTACAGTAAATAATTCTTTATATTAAACTTCCTGTGTTCAAATCACTGTGTGGTTTCTCTGTCCTGACTGAACCTTGACTAATAATTCTAAATGCTAAAATATGCCTAATACACAGGGTTTGGGCTAAGAGATTCCAGACCTGTAATCCTAAGGGTATCTATGTACCACTTTTTAAATGCCGGGCACTATTCCAAGTGTTTTGTGTATGTGAATTCCTTTAATCCTGATAACTAACTTGTGAAGTAGGTACTATTATCAGGCTCATTTTAAAATGTAAGAAATGAGAGAGAGAAAATAAAAGATTAAGGAAATTTCTCGAAGTCACACAGCTAGTAAAGGGCAGAGCTGGGATTCAATCCTAGGCAAATCCATGGCTTTATAAGCCTGAGGTGAGTGGGAGGGGCAGGTAGAGGTGGCGGCCAGGAAGCCAGCGTGAAGGCTAACGTGAATCCTTCACTGTGCTCTCAGGCCTGTGCTCACTCCACCTATGGCATGCATCCCACTGCCCTGGAATTATCTGTCTAATGGGCCACCTGGTCCTCAAGGGCCGAGACCATGTCCTTTTCTCTTAGAATGTCAAGTGCTTAGCAGAGAACCAGCCTGGGGCATGTGCAGTGTTCAGTCAAAAACTGCTGGATAAATGACATATTGAATGAAGAACTGCAGACCTAAATGCCAGCTACACAGCAGGCTGAGCCTTCCAGGTCAGGACCTGTGCCTGGAGTGCCCTGGCCCCTCGAGAGCTGTCCTGGGAGCACCTCTGCCTTGTCTGGTCTGGTTGCAAACATCTGACAGTGGTTGACAACATGGCCTCCCGATCTCTTTCAACTATTGAACTCCAGGACCCATACGAAAGCAAATCTGGTCACCCAACTTCTCTGCCCAACACCCTTCACGCTCCTGGGAACTGAGGATGGAGTGTAGCTCATGACCTGGCCCTAACTGTGTTTTAGCCTCTCCCAGCCCCACTCCTGGGGCCAGGAATAATGAGCTTAGGAGACCCTGCACACCCTATGCTGTTTTCCCAACTCTGGACTTTTGACTGTGCTATCTCCTCTACCTGGAATCCCTTCACTACCCACCCCCTGCCCAGCCATTTCCCTGTCTGGCTAAACCATCCCACTCCCCGTAAAAGACTTAGGTCAGGATTCCCTCCTTCAGGGAGCCTTTTCTGCTTACCCGCCCTGCCCGTCCGGGTCCACTGGCTCTCCTATGTGCTCACATAGAACCCTGTACCTACAGCTACCAAGAAAGATCTCACTGTACTCTGACTTGACCTGTTTAGTATGTGGAGCCCAGAGAAGTGGTTAAGGCCCAGGACTCTGTAGGCCAGTCACAGCCCTACCAGTGACCAGCTGTGTGACCTTGAGTGAAACATTTCATCTCCCTGATGAACCTGCAACCTCCCTGCAACCAGACCAGATAAGGCAGAGGTGCTCCCAGGACAGCTCTCGAGGGGCCAGGGCACTCCAGGCACAGGACCTGACCTGGAAGGCTCAGCCTGCTGTGTAGCTGGCATTTAGGTCTGCAGTTCTTCTTCCTTCAATATGTCATTTATCCAGCAGTTTTTGAACGCATATTGCGCATGTCCCAGGCTGGTTCTGCCTTCATCCATAAAATGGGGATAATTAGAGTGAGTATGTTATTGGGTTGCTGTGAGGATCAAAGATGATAATGTATGCAAAGTGCTTAACACTGTGCCTGGCAAAAACAGTCTGCAACAGTAGCAATGGATTCCTTAAGCTCAAAGGCTGCACGTTACACATCTTGGTGGCCTCAGAACCTAGCATAGCATCTGGACCACAGAAAGGCACAGTGGATGAATGAATCTCTCCACCCCAATAGCCTCCAAACTGCTCTCCCTGCCTCCTGTGGCTCCTGCGTTGCCGTAGTTACCTTTCTGAGGCCTAGCCCTGATCAAGTCATCCTCTGCTCAAAAACTATCCATGGCTTCCTTGCCTCCTGCAGGCCAGCCTCCCTGGCCTAGCAATCAGGGACCCTGTGACCTGGCCCTCACCCACTTTTCCAGCTACTCTCTAACAGACACGTGAAGTTTCAGTGACTCTGCCTTTTGCTGTTCTTGAAAGAGGCTCCCCGCTTCCTGCCATCTGAGAGACCCCAATCCCACCATGTACACTTTGCTAAAGTTTTAACCTTCTTCAGGACCATCTTAAAAATCAGCACCTTTCAGAAGTCCTTCCTGATTACAACTAGGGTGCTGCTCCCTTCCTCTTGGCTTCCCGCAGCACTGGCTGATCTCCTCTTGCAACACTCGTCATGCTCTGCCTGATGCACTGCATCCCCGTGAACTTGTCTGCGTCCCTTTTTAGACTAGGAGCTCTCTCAAGGCAGCGGCTGTTTTTTGTATCTATCACATAGTAATCCCCCAAATCAATTTAGTGGGGACCCAGTACAAAAATAAATTGTTGAGCTCAGAACAAAAGGATAATACAGTTAAGTGAAAGGCAGTATGTACCATGTGTTTATTCACTGGGATTCAAGGCTAATGGCTCAGGTTTTTTTTAACAGGTTGATCTCTTAATAAGCAGAGTGGCTTTAGTTAAAGAATATATATGTGCAGTGTAATATGCTAATCCTCCACAGAAAGAGAGGATCTTTTCCATGAATTAAAAAGAAATGTAAGTAGCTAGAAGAGATTAAGACAATTATCCTTGCCTTTGCAAAGGTGTTTTATCTATCTGCCTACAAATATAACATACAGACACACTCATACACACACACACACAACACAATCTGATGAGAAAATGGAAAATGGTCCATGTATTAGTTCCCAAGGGCTACCATAACAAAGTACCATAAAGTGGGTGGCTTTGAACAACAGAAATTTATTGCGTCACAGTTCTGGAGGCTTGAAATTCAAAATCAAGGTACTGGCAGGGCTATCCTATCTCCAAAGCCTCTAGGGGAGATGCTTCCTTCCTCCTCTTCCAGCTTCTGGTAGCCCCAGGTGTACCCTGGCTTAGGGCAGCATCACTCCAGTCTCTGTCTACAGCTTTTCACAGCCGTCTTCCCTCTCTGTCTCTGCATCTCTTCTCCTCTTCTTATAAGGATATCAGTCAGTCACAGAGGATTAAGGGCCCACCCTATTCCAGCATGACATCATCTTGATTGGTTACATTTGCAACAAACCTATTTCCAAATTAGGTCATATTCTGAGGTGCCGTGAGTAAGGACTTTGCCGTATCTTTTTGAGAGACATGATTCAACCCATGAGCCCATTTACCCACTTACTGGGAGCTGCAGTCCTTGGGAAAGCCTGGGGCACGACCAGCAGCCCTCTTCCTTAAGACGCTCCCTCTAGACTGCAGGGATGCTCCTCACAAAACAAGTAAGCAGGGGTCCACCCTTATATTTTCCTCCTAAGAACCAGGGGGAAAATATAATCCCAGACAAGCTACTTACTTCATATTCTAAAGACTGTCTGGAGGGAGAGAACCAAATGGATCCTCATCCAGAGATACCACCAATGAAGCCACGTGGACTGAGGACAGGAGCTGCTTCTGATTAAAAGATCTCAAGAGAAACGGTGTCCTTTGACTGTTGCCTTAGGGAGCTAACACTTTTGAGGCCTTCTGATCTCAACAGGGGAGAAGGAAGTCTGTCTCTTCCCCCACTATGAGAACACAGCCCCTTAGGGTGAAAGTGTGCAATTTCCCACAACACCAAGAACAGAGTGGTGTCCAAATGAAACACGGAGGAGTGGTGAGAAGAAACATGGAGAAGTCAGAGTCCTATCTGTAGGGTATCTGGGAACACAGGTATGCATGCATTCATTCATTAATTCAACAAATATTCTTGAGCACCTGCCATGTGCCAGCACTATAAGGTACAGCAGTAAATAAGACACACAAGGTCCCTACCCTCATGGTGTTTAGTATCTACTGGAGCAGAGAAATAAACAAGTAAATAAATAAGCAAGGTGACTCCAGACAGTGCTAAGTTGCTATGTGGACATTTCACAGTTGATCAAGTCGCAGAGTGGGTAGGAAAGAGGTACTTCAGATGGTATGTTCACGGAAGCCCTCTCTGAGGAGGTGACTTTGGAGCCAAGACCTAAAAGATGAGGAGGAACCAGTCCTTCTATAATCTTGGGGAAGAGTATTACAGGCAGGACCACATGCAAAGGTCCTGCAGAAGGACCATGCTGGATGTGTAAGAAGGCTAATGCAGCTGCTGTGCTGTGACTGAGAGGAGGAGACACAGTGAGCCAGAGGGTAAGCAGGGCCAGACGAGACAGGGGTCTGTGCTGTGTTTCAGTGCAGCAGTGGAAGCCACTGAAGAGTTTTAGGAAAGAGGCAGAAACCTCTGATTTACCCTTGCAAATGTGTACTTGGGCTGTGCATAAAGAATGGACTATGATTTCAGGGTGGAGGTAGGAGAGGAGCCAGGAGGCTGTGGCAGGAATCCAGGTGAGATGTGACAGGCTGGTGGGAAGCGGGAAGAAAATAGGTGGATTTGGAATCTGTTTCAGAGATGCAGTCAGATCCAGCAGAGAATTCAGGGCCTCACTGAGTATCAAAAGCTGGAGGGATCCTTAGAACTTGTCCTCCCAATTAACACAGCTTACATAGGAGAGGACGGAAGCACTGCTGAGTCAGGGACCCAACTAGGGTCACAAAGCAACTCAAGGTGGCTCCTACCTGAGGAGTCAGGCTCCTGCCTCAAAACCCAGGGCTCTTTCATCATGAAAAGACTAGAAAGGGGTCAGCAAACCATGGCCTGGCAATCCAGCTTGCTGACTGCTTTTGCAAATAAAGCTTTATTGGAACACAGCACTCTCATTGGTTTAAGTAGTGTCTATGGCTACCCTCACACTACAAAGACAGATTGAGTAGTTGTGGCAGAGACTGTATGGCCTGTAAAAACCTGGAATATTCTCTGGACTAAAAGACCACATAAAACACAGTGGTCAAGTTTGGGAATGGAACTTTTCGAAAGAGGAGGAAGCCCAGGCTCACAAGAGAGAGCTCTGGGATCTCTTCTTCCCAGCTGGAGCCTCATCCAAGGGAGTGTCCTGCTAGGAAGCCTCCTTCAACAATACATTCCTCCACCTAGGGAAATGGCAATACATGGCACTATAACATTCACGCCACCACAGTTGTACAAATTAAGTTTTGTAGGCATTTCCAAGAGACAGACTAATTCTAACTGGAAAGATCAGGGAAGGCTTTCTGGGAAGAAAAAGATTTCAGAGGTACCTGAAAGGATGGGTAGAGGGTACTCAAGAAATTCTTAGGTCACCCCTGAGCCATGGCAGACTACCTAGGACTCTGCTGAGCTAAAGGAGGTGAGTTCCCCATCACTGGGGGTGTTCAAGTCAAAGATGGTAACCATTTGGCAGGGATAAGGTTGAGGGAGACTGGATATGATAAAAGATACAATTCCTTGAAATTGTGGATTCCACCGTGGTAGGCTTATGGCTTCTTTAGTGTCATTTCTCATCATATTTGCTAAGAGAGAGACACACATCACGGAGACTATGGGGGTTGCGGGGGGAGGTGGAAGGAGAGACAGAGAAACACACACAGACAGAGAGGGGAGAGGCCTGAGAATAGGAGACAGGTGAAAGAGTCATACACCCAAAGTGAAAGAGAGTCCATACAAGTCACAGAGGGAGGAAACTCACACCGGGGCTTCCCCTCGCCCTTAACTGCTACAGAGAACAAAAGAAAGCAAAAGCCTGACAATTAGAGTTAAAACTAATCAAATGTCCCTTTAATACCTCTGGCTTGGCACTTGGCAGCCTTCTTAACGTGCCCCATTGTTCCCTGGCAGGGCTTGGATGGCAGGAGCCCTCAGCTGCCTCTCTTGCTGCCAGGGCAGAGTGCAGAATAGCAGGCGAGGGGGGTCTAGGCTGCGAAAGGGAGAAGCAGAGAGGCACACCCCAGGCTGACTCTGCTGGGAGACCCCACCCCCACAAGCAGAGAGGCCCCACCCTAGCGGGAAAGATAGCTCACACCACACCAGTGTCTGACAACCGCCCCGAGGGAGGGGTGGCAGGAAGAGTTATGGGTGGGAAAACTGACTCTGCTCGTGTGCCAAGAAGGTATTATTCCCACTTACAGGTGAGGAAATGGAGGCCAAAAGACGTTAAAAGACTTGCCCAGAGGAGTCAATAAAACATGGTAGCTAAGAGCACAAGTTGGAGAGTCAGAAATCTGAGTTTGAGTCCCACCACTTGTTTCTTGTATAGGCCTGGGAAGTGACTTAAGTTTCCTGAGCCTCAGTTTTCCCATCTGTAAAATGACAACAGTAAGGGCACTCACTCCCTGGGATTACAGTGCTGATGAACTGAGATGGGCACAGTGCATAGCACGCAGTAAGAGCTCAATAAACTAATGATCATTGCTGTTTCTGCTGTGGAGCCAGTGCTCAAGGACAAAGCTAACTCCTGGCCACCACACCGAGCTGTGCCCCACACTCCATGCCCCACTGCCACACCAGGAGCCACCTGGAGCCTCCAAGGGAAGGTTCTTGAAATGGCGGGCAGAGGGACCCCCACTCCTGCCCCGGCAATGAACCCTACTCTCAGAGACATGAGTGGCTATGTTCAGCTGCCTCTGGGGGGACCTAAGCTGTTCTCATCCAGGTTCTCTCTTTTCTAGAAACCTCCTGGGTGCCTGTGAGGTCCCCTCAGACCAGGGAGTGGAGCATGTACCATTTCTGCTGGGAAACCTGTCTTCACTCTCATTTAATGGATCCTAACACTTCCCCAATAATAGGAAGATACATTCTGGGGTTTCCCGACATGCCAGGAAGCACAGGCAGAAAACAAGGTGGATTCTGTACCTACATCATTTCTTTTTTTTTTTTTCTTTTCCTCGAGACGGAATCTTGCTCTGTCACCCAGGCTGGAGTGCAGTGGTGCGATCTCAGCTCACTGCAACCTCCGCCTCCCAGCTTCAAATGATTCTCCTACCTCAGCCTGCTGAGGAGCTGGGATTACAGGAGTGCGCCACTACACCCGGCTAATTTTTGTATTTTTAGTAGAGACGGGGTTTTACCATGTTGGCCAGGCTGGTCTCAAACTCCTGATCTCGTCATCTGCCCATGTTGGTCTCCCAAAGTGCTGGGATTACAGGTGAGAGCCACCACGCCTGGCCTGTACCTACATCATTTCTAACAAATCTAGAGCAGCCCCTGACATGGCTAAAAACAACAACAACAACAACAACAAAACTTTATTAGACAGGGTAGACCTGAAATTCAGATACCTAGAAATGGACAGAAGCAAGGCAAATGGTTTCTTGAGCTGAGATAGAGCAAGAATCATCTAAATATAAACATAAGTGAGTCTGTCAGAGCCTAAGGTTTATATACTTACACTTCCAAGTAATTATTTTTTTTTCTCTGAAAAGTACATTAGTCTTAGAGACAGAAGGATTAGCATCAACTTATTGGCTTTGGTACTAGTCGTGTCACTTATGCTCTTTGAACCTCAGTTTTTGCATCTGTGAAGTGGGGACCGTAAGCCCTGCCCTGCCTCCACCGTGATACTGGTGGAGGCAGAACTGGGAAAAGCCTATGGGAATTTGCATATCATAAAGGAGGGCTCCCAAAGTCGAATGTCTCCTGCAGCCTGGCCAGTTGTGTGAAAGGGTGAAGTGCCCAGGTTTGAGACCACTAAGTGCAGCAGGGGTGGTGGCCAACTGGAGAGCTAGGGTCTGTCTAGAGGAGACAGCTGTTCCCACATCCAGCAAATTCTTACAAAACTTGAACCTGAACTCAGCAGCTGAACTTTGATTAAAAAACAAAAAAACAAAAACAAAAACAAAAAAAACAGAAATTAGTATAGAATTGTTTTAAAATAGGAAATATTCTCATGGTTAGGTACTGGTAACATATGAACATTTAAAAATTAAAAAACCCAACTATCTATGGGCCATCACTGTTCAAGGCACACAAAACGTATCTCTGGGCTGCATCTGGCCCACAGGCCACCAGTTTGCAACTTCCATTAAAGTATACAGGTAAGGTGATTAAAAATACATAAAGGTCAAAGAAATTAATAAAAGAAGCTCTCTGAATGAAATAGCCATTAAAGTTTATTATTAATAAAATAACCACAAATCCAAATGACAGATCCTGGCTCTCCAAGAACAGAATTACTAACTTTTCACTGAAGTTAGGTACCAAATTTAGAAACTGGTTATTTCACAAATAGGCACACACACACACATACACATTTTAACTCTCAGCAGCTGACTCTGATCAATACTCAGGAGGAAACATGCAAAAAATAACAGTTTTCAGTTGAGAACATACAATGTGCTTTAGCAGCAGGACGTAATTTTCACACACACACCCCTGCCAGATGTTTCCAACCTGTTCCCTCGAAGAAACCCCCTTCCCTCCAGGAGCCCCTGTCGGCCCCTCTGCTCAGCAGCCCGCCTCTCAGAGGAGGCTGACATTTGTAACTCACAAGGGAGACCTACACAAACACACACACACAGAACCCTGGCGAACTGGGCTCGTGAGAGGCTGCCCGAGTGCAGCATCCAGGCGGCACATGGGACTTGCTATAATCCCTGCCCTGGCACGGCTGCCTGGGTATTCAGCTGAAAGAGCTTTCTGGAGCCAACAACAAGAACCAGGCTCATGGGGGTCTCAGTGATAACCTCCCACTGAGGCCTCCGCAAGTCCCTGTGAGCAGGGGCAGACCCACAGACTCGCCCCAGACCATCCAGTCAGTGGCTGGCGCAGATACCGGAAGGAAGCATCCCAGCTGGATTGGAATCCTGTTTCCATCACTTCCTAGCTGCGTGGCCCTGGATATGTTACCTGACCTCTCTGTACCTCAATCCTCACAACTGTTATTTAATTTCATCTAATCATCACCATGACACTAGGAAGTAGTGATGACTTTGCTCATTTTAGGAGAAGGAGCAGGAAGCCCCAGAGGTCAGGCACAGAGCCAGCAAGTGGCAGAGCTGGGCCTGAGGATCAGGTCACATTGGTTCCCAACTCCACACTCTCTCCTCTGCTCTCTCCAGTACAAGGGAGAGGTTTACAGGGTCTCCACAATACTAACCCTTCCCAAGAGACCCCCTAGTTCAGCCCAACACCCACGTAGAGGCACCTACCTCATCCTTGCCCATGGCAGGAAGGCAGAGCACGCATCCTGGAAGAGCAGCAGACTGTGGGCATCAAAGGAAAATAAAGCTCTACCGCCCCAGCCAATCCTCGCAGCCCACAGGAGAGGGATTCCAAAGTGCACCTCCCATCCCTGTCCTGAACTGGAGCCTGATCTGCTTGCATCAGATACAGTGCCACTGCTAAAAGTACCACAGAGCTCCCCTGTGGGTGCTGATTGACAACTTGGGAAGCTGCAGATAAACACACTTCCCAGGAACAGAAGTTCAAGGGCGGGTCCTGAAGCACTCCTGGGGAGAATGGAGTGGGTCCCTGGGGAAAGAGAGGTCTGTCTCCTGTCAGGTGGGTGGAGAGGAGTTCCCTGTTGGACCCTCAGTAGGATTTGTTAAATATGTGATCCTTGGCCAAGCCCAAACCAGCCCCTTCATGCTCTTTGGGCATGGATCCTGGTGTCACCATCCTTAACAGGCTCCCTAGGGATTGTGAAGCACCCTGAAGTTCAAGAAGAACCATTCCTAAGGCTAAGCTTCCAGCATGCAGCCAGCAGTTACTGAGTACCAACCATATGATTCACTTACTCACTCACCCCCTCAGCCATTCAGCAAATATTTTAGGCAAACAAGAGTGACCAAGAGAGAGGTTAGTTCCTGCCTTTAGGAAGCAGACAGTCTGGACAGATTAAAAACAATTACAGCATTGCGTGACAGATTTATATACAGGTCTCCGGGCCCTGGTTGGGAAGAATGCTAACCTAGGCTGCCCTGGCAGGAGTTAGTCAGGTCTAGGGGCAAGGCTGCAGGGAAGAAGGATGTTAGAAATCTTCTAGAGGGCCTCTGATCTAAGTAGGCAGATGAGAAAATCAAGGCTCAGAGGAGCTAAGACCCTTGAGTGACCCCTGGGGGCTGGAGTAACCAAAGAACACTTCCTGGAGGCAGCAGGCTATGAGCTGAATCTAGAAGGATACAGAGGGTCTGGGTTGTCCCAGGGTGGGAGTTGAGAAGGCATCCCCAACAATTGCTTCGCATTCCGAAGTTTCAGGAAGAGGGGTACCAAGAGCAGCCTCTGCATGCACAATTTCCTTCCCACCTCCAATAATCAGAGACTGCACCCACCTGGCTTCTTCCAGTTCTTCTGAACCCTGTGCTGTTAAGCCAACCACTTATCTTCGAATTGCTCACCTTCTAGACAAAGACAATGTTATGCAGCCCTCCCTACCTCCGCCAAAGGGAAGCCACAGAGAATTGAGTCCCTGCCATAGGCGAGGCACTTCACAAAGGCAGCGGCATCACCATGTTTACCAAGCACTTGTTCTGTACCAAGCATTGTGTTTGGGGTTTTACCCACAGTGACTCACTGAACCCTCAAGAGAACTCTCTGCCACAGTTAACATTACTACCATTTTACAGACCAAGAATTCCAGGCACACAGGTCAAGCTTGCCCAAGCCTCGGGTTTTGAATCAGGCAGTGTAGCTCCAAAGCTAGAGCACTATACGCAGCCCCACATGCCTCAAACCAAGAGGAACGGAGACAGGAGGAGGCTGAGGTAGAGGTTTCTCTTCCAGCACACACCACCACCACATGACCTTATGTGCTCCACTTCAGCTACTGAAGAGGCTGTCTTAGGGCAATGGTCCCTCTCACCTGCTCAGATGTCCAGGCTTGCAGGAAGGGCTTAACGGGCAGGGGTGGAAGACAGGTCCTTTGTCCTGCTCAGATATGGAGGAAGTATGGTGGTTAAGGACTCAGCACTAGGTCAGAGTTCAAATACCAGCTCCACCACTACAGGCTGTGCATCCTTGGGCAAGCACCTGCCCCTCTTCGAGCTTCAGTTCCCTCCTTCTTTCCTACCTGGTTACAACAATATTTAACAGATGTACAGGTAAAGGACCTAGCAGAGTAAGTGCTAAATAAATGGTAACTGCTATTACTACTATTAACATTATCAACCTCATTATCAGCCATATCATCATCATTCTTTGGATCAGTATCATTTTATGCTGTGGCTTTCATCACCTGAGAAAACTGAAGACAATTTAACATCTGAAGCTCAGCATTCTCTTAAAGCCATAGGGAAGGAAAAAAATAGGCCTGCTTTTTTCTTTTCTCTCCTATCTACACTCAGCAGAGGGCAGCAAACAGGAACCATTCAAAGATAAGAGGGAGAGAAGAGAGACACATGGAGAGAAAGCTACACACGCATAAATACACACCCACCCACCACAGCAAGCAGAATTGTTTAGCTTCCTCTAGCTTCCAAAGTATGAACACTCCACCTCCTCCAGCTAAGAGGGCCAGGCAGAAAAAACGTGGAAGCTGCAGAGACAGAAGTTCTTTTTCAGCTTGAGAGAAATTTTCAATGAATTGACTTTTAGTGTGTATGGGGGCAGGGGAGACAGTTCTCGGGACGTCTGTGAGGGGAAAGGAAGGCAGCGGCAGAACGGGTAAGTAAGATTCAATAAAGACAGCTTTCAATTGCTCTTTATCTCCACCCTCCACTGTGTGTTGGCAAGCATTTGCACCCAAGCCGTCCTCAGCAACAAACTGAGGTCCACACAGCTAATCATCTCAGCCAAGGGGTGGCAGTGCTGGAATGAGAACACAGACCTCCAGACTGCAGGTTCGGTGCCCAAAAATGGGTCCAGGGTGGCAAAGGGGTTTTCTCTCCAGGACCAAATCTCATCCCCAAGGAGTGATTACTGCCTGGAACACTGTGTCAGCAGGACTCTGGAGTGGATATTTGTGGGCTTCTTCTCTAGATATCTTTCTCCTCTTCCCAAAAGCAGCACCCAGAGTCTTCTCTGGGGAACTGCTCTTCTTAGATCTGGGTAACCTGACTCCACTCCTAGCTCTAGGGTACGTTAAGTCAATCAATACAGCTTCTCCTCCTGAAATCTGCGAATGGTTCAGACAGCACATTAGATCCAAAGTAGACCGGTAAGACCTAAGATCTTGCTAGAGCTTATAGAAAAGATGTTCTCTGTCTTTTGTAGAAGCTACCAGAGGAGACAGACCCTCTCCTCTAGGATCTAGGTGTGGATCTGAGGTCTGAAAGAGCTATTACCATTTTTTGCTGCCATGGAGCCTCAAAACAGAACAAAGCCAACACACAGAGAAAGTCAGAACCAACAGAAACCAGAGGAAAGGAGACCGAGCCCTGACAATGCCACAAACCTCTAGATCACACCATACCTGAAGCCAACTACAGTCACAGGAGCCAATATATTCCCTTACTCATTTCAGCCCACATGGCTCAATTTGTTTTGTTACTTGCAACTGATAGAGAATCTGAGGTGGTTCTTAGGCTCAAGTTCTCTCTGTCTGTCAGGGATAGCAGTAATGGTGCCATGTACTTCCCAGCCTTTAATTCCTCTACTCTTGTCCCTTTGCCACCTTAAATTTTAATCCATTTTAGTTGCTTTTAAAACTATAAAATGAGGCTGGGTATGGTGGCTCACGCCTGTAATCCCAGCACTTTGGGAGGCTGAGGTGGGCAGATCACCTGAGGTCGGGAGTTCGAGACCAGCCTGACCCACACGGAAAAACCCCATCTCTACTAAAAATACAAAATTAGCCAGGCTTGGTGGCGCATGCCTATAATCCCAGCTACTTGGGAAGGCTGAGGCAGGAGAATCACTTGAACCTGGGAGGTGGAGGTTGCGATGGGCCGAGATCACGCCATTGCACTCCAGCCTGGGCAACAAGAGCAAAACTCCGTTTCAAAAAAAAACAAAAACAAAAACAAAACACTATAAAATGTTGGAAAGAAAATGTACAAAAATAGATCTACAAAAAAATAGCCAGATAGGTTCCAGCAGATAATTGGTCTCATTAAGCAGTGGCCTCCAAAATTTGGGGTGATAATCTTGGCTCCTGAAAGAAATAATGGTAGAGAAGGATCAAATATTAGTATATGGAGGGAAAAAATTTCTCATGGTGAAATAGAACAAGAACTTGGAGAATGGATTCTGATCTGCGTTCCTCCCTATGGGAACTTGTTTAATTTGTTTCCCTTTTTCTCGGCCTCAGTTTTCATACCTACAAATTGAGGAGATTGGACTAGATGACTTCTGCAGCCCCCTGCCTGCTCTGATATATTTCAATCATTCAGCAAACACATCCTGTCTTCCAAGAGCCAAATCTTGTGCTTTGTGCTAGAGGAGGATGTGTTCCTACCTTAAGACATTTCCAGCAGGGAGGCCATGATACACTTCTTGCTGCGGGAATTCAGGTGTATATGCGCTACCTCCTTTCCCCACTCCACTGCGCATGAGGAGAAAGGTTCTCTGGAGAAACAAGACTCTTATTCAAGGCCTTCCCTTACCAGTTCTGACACATATATGGGATGCAGAGGGTCAGATATATGTAAAACACGAAACCTCTGCAAACACCGTCAGGAGCATTTAGCTGCCATGGGGCTTACTTGTAGCTGCCAGGTTTGCCTCAAGGTGCTTTTGATTCAGTGAGGAGATCCTGATGCCATCTCTGTGTAAGAGCTGACTGTGGACAAGGTACAATTAGCAAGCTAGATGGTTATCTTTTAAATGGGCTTTTGCTTTTCATTCCTGATTCCGTTATCTGTTACCGTGTCACTGGAACCAACAGATCAAAGGCTGAACATCCTTAGACTACAGCCTGAGAAAAGACATTCAAATATGAACATACCCTTAAGTTGTGGCCTCATTACAAGTTAGATACAGAGGCCTGTTTAAATATACTATCACTATTCAGATGTGTTTCCAAGCATACTCACAGAACCTCAGGATGTAAGAGTTGGAAAAGCCCTAACACAGTATCTATTCCCTACATTGCTAATGAGTTTCCATATGTCGTTAACTCTACTTGAGTAGCCCTGCTGAGAAACAGTCTGAGCCCAAGTCTGGTATTAGTAATGAAAAGGTTGATTAGCAATGTCTGCCCTGGCCATGGGAGGGGAAGCATCGTTACAATATGCATTTGCCTTTTCCCTTCTGAATCTAAGCCTCACTTAGCAGATGAGGAATCCAAGGCCCAGAGAGGTTAAACCTCTTTCCTGAGGACACACAGTGAGTTTAGGGCAGGAGAAAGGACTAAAAGCCAGGTCTCTGTTCCCAGGCCTTCCTCAGCTGGACTCCTTGGTAGACAGCAAGCCAAGAATGACAGAAAGAATGTAGGGAGCCGGATTTGTTCTGGCAAATCAACAACCCTTCCCTAGTGGCATCAGATTTCACCTGGGCATGCAGACAGAGGAGTGATTAGCAAGCTAAAGGATACTAGCCCTTCTGTGGAAAATTAAGGAAATCGTTCCAAGGCTACATTTCTATACTTAACTTTCTGATGGGCAAGGCTTCTGCCACCAGGAAGACTGAAAAAAGAGAAAAAAACATTGATTTCTGGATGTTCTAAGAATAAAGTTCAGCTCTAACACAATGAGAAAGAAATCCTGATACTTGAAAATTAAAGTCACCGGTATTCCATTATTCCACCAATTTCTATTCCACATATGCTATTTATCCAGTGAAGTCATTTTTCAACAAGAGATTATGGCTCAGAAATGAGGAGAGACTGCACTGAGTTTCTAACTTGAGCTTTTAATAACCTGTCCCAAACCTGGAATATGAAACAGACTGTTGAATTAAACCAAGATGTTAAACAGATTGGGGCTTGGAATGAGAGGGACCCACAAATTAAAAGGAAGATGTCTTCAAGGCTGGCATTTCTTGCTTGGTTTTGCAGCTTCCCAAGAAGCCAACTGTCTGACCAGATGACTGCTGAAATCCTAGAAGCATTATGTGTCCTTTATAAATCAGCTATCCCACCCAGCTCCAGAGGTACTCCCAGGATGAGCTGGCATGAGTTATGTAGACTTTCATTCTAGCAGATGATAAACACTATAAATTTGAAACTCCGTTCTTTAATCCAGTGGAGAAATCAAGGAGTTAGAGGACTACTCAAGTAGTGGATATGTTACTCTCAAAGAATCTTCTTTCAAACCCATATGGAACACATTTTTCATTTGGATAAAGTCCTGTCAGACTTCCCTCCAGAGCCTCTGCAGTTATTTCTACCAGAAGGATCAACGAGATGCTCAAAGATGATTCTCAACAATTACAAGAATGACAGGCTGAGCTCAGAACTGGTCAGCCCTGTTGAAAAAGCTCTGTATGCTCAAGATGCCAGATTTCCCAGATAGCAGCCTGGCATGTTACATGTATGTTCCAGTACACTGGGATGAGGGATGGAACACCATCACTCTGAGAAGTCAGCCTCTTTCCTCAAGGCCAGCTGACATTCAAACAACGGACTGGGGGCCAAGCCCAGTGCTCTGCATCTGTGGGAGAGTGAAACAAAAAGGGGCTGTGTGGAAATTTGGCAGGGCGTTCTTGAAAGGCAGCAGATGAATGCTGAATCCTGTAGCACCTAGAAGAGCTTATCATTGGGGAAACAGCTCCATTCTGCTGCTCCCATGAAGCAAAGAGATTTTCTTTAAAGCAAGAATAATCAGTTGGTATTCCCCCCAAACCCCCAAACCCCCTTCACCACTTCTTCCTCCTCCTCTTCATGCTATTCCAGAGAAAAAGAAATGAACAAAAACTAGATCTTCCCAGATGAGCCTGTCTATCCATTTCAGTTAGGGGCTCTGAGCAGCACCCAGCTGTTGCTCCCCTCTCTCTCCCTGCCCAAAAGTCTGCCTTACTCTATCAATACCCTCTTGCACAAGTGAGTAATTTACTTTGAAAGCTCAGGCCAAACTGGCAGTTAACCTTGACCTTCTCTACCCATCTGGGTCTACAGAAATGAAAATCAGGATGTCTTTGGCATCTATTGCAAATGAAATACGAGGTCTTTCTCCAAGCAGAGGCAGAATGTCAAGCACTATTTTAGAATGGGCTACAGCTATTCTAAAGGAGAGTTTGCACTAGGGTAGGACACTCCCCCTTGACCTGGAGCTGTGTCCAGTATGGAGCCTCCACAGCTAGGGATGCTACAAGGAACTCTGGACTCAAGACAGAAAAAAAGAAGGGACCGTTGTATTCCTCATTGATTAACTGATAGTATCACAGAATGTTAGAACTGGACCAATAATCATGGTTTACAGACCAAGAAAGTAAGGCTCAGAAAAGGAGATGAAAGGTGATCAAGGACACACACAGTAAGTTAGTGGTAGAGCTGAGGTCAGAACCCTGGAACTCCTGACTCTGATGCTGGTACTGAATAGGAACAGAGGAAAGAGATTTCATGAACGGAAAATCCATACAGATACAGAATTTCAGGGAGAGAGGTCTAAGCTAGCTGTCAGGGTTTGAACCAGGGGTTTAGGAAAGAGATGGAAACCTTAGTTTCTAAACAGTAAGCTCTACCAGAAAGATCAATGAGACCCTCTGGGATGCTTTGCAGCAATTAACAGAGTTACAGGCGGAGCTCAAATTGGTCAGCTCTGTAGCAAAGAGCCCTCTGTGCTCCAGATGCCAGACTGCCTAGACAGCAGCCTGATACTGGGAAGAATAAGGAAAACCATCAATCTCAGAAAAGCCAGCCTCTTTCGTCGAGGCCAGCCAACAGTCAGTCAAGTCTGACCCTGATACACAAATTATCCACTTCTCATGGGACCAGAGAAATCCCGTAAGAAAGCCTGAAATGTTCCACTATATGAAACAGTCTAAGCAATACACTCACTAGCACCTCCTGGGAGGGTGGGAGTGATGTGACAGAGCTTCTGCTATGAGGGAGCTGCTAGTCTAAATGCGTGCACGCACACATACACACAAACATACGTGGGTAAGTTCAAAGGAGGCAGAAACCATTCCGATCCCAGTTTTGGCTGCAATAAACACTACAACTAACCAGACTAGACAAGTTCAGAAGAGATAGGGAAGGCTTCTGGTGTTCCATCCTCAGGACACTGGGCACCAATAGCCTCTGGGACATTTTGGGGGTCCCCCCACCAGAGCCCCACCTCTGGACTCCCATAAGGTCAAAGGCAGCAGGTCCCTCAAGGACCAGGAGCTTACCCCCTTCTCCACCCCCAGGGGCTTGAAGCTTTAAAGGGAGCATGATCTTTACATTCTGCAAGGAATCCACAGGATCTGAGAAAGGAAAAGGCTAGAGTTGGGGCGGGGGTGTTGAATAAATGGGGAGAGGAGGAAGGCCCGGGTGTCTCGTTGGGCAGATGAGAAATCAGGAAAAGGGCTGACCTGAGCAAAGAACACTGGGATCAGCAGGTAGGGGTTGTGGGGGGGGGGGGGTGGGAGGAGGGAAGCAGAGAGGACCTGGACACCAAATAGAAGAACCAGAATCTTCATTCCTATTGGCACAAGGCAGGAGTCATCCTGGGATACAGGGATGCAGATAGGATCCTTCAAAAGAGATCCGCTGGAAGACGTCAAGGAATACCAGACGGGGACAGAAAGGAAGGTGGTAACATGTGGTGAGAAATAGCGTCCTGAGTGCTAGTTCGGACTCAGTCTCTGACTGGCGTGGGACCCTGGACAAGTCCCGACAGGACTTAATTTTCCCATCCGGAAAATGGGAAGAGCTGAAGAGTCTCGGAGCTGACTCTGAGGAGGCAGACAGCAGAAGGTGGAGGAAGGAACCACAGGCTAAAAGTGAATTCGGGAAGGGGGTGTTCCCGGCCTGTAGCAACGGGGGGACTCACCTGTCCCGCCGCCGGCGCCACCGCCGCCCCCGATCCCCCAGGGGTGCCGTCGGGCTGCCGCTCGCGGTACAGCGCCCAAAGCCCCACGTTGGGCAGGAGGACCAGGGCCGCCAGCACCAGCGCCACCGCCTGCAGGAGCCGCTTCTCCTTCCGCCTCATCGGGGCCGGTCAGCCCCGCCGCGCCCCGCCGGCCCCGCCGCGCCGCCCCCAGCTCCGCGCGTCCGCCCGTCCGCCCGGCGGCGGCAGCAGCTCAGCCAGCAGAAGCGGCTGCGGCGCCGGCCCCGCTCCAACTCCGCGGCACTTCCGCCGCTCGCCGGCCGGGGAGCTGGGCGCCGCCACCACGCCGCCGCCACGAGGGGGTCGTCGCCGCCGCCACCGCCCCCGGGCCCCGCCGAGCCGCCCGCCCCGCGCCGCCTGCCCCCGCGTCGACCGCCGAGTCTCTGCGCTGCAGGCTCGGCCCTCTCACGGAGCGTCTCGGCCCGCCCGGGCGCTGCAGGATGCCGGGCCGGAGCGCTTCCCCCCTCTCGAGCCGCGATGGTCCGTCCCACTCCTCGGCGGCTCCCCCGCCCTCTGGAGCTTTGCGAAAGTCCCGGAGTTGGCGAGTTGGGCGCTAACTGGTGCGGGCTGGGCACCGCTGGGTGGGGTGCATGTCCGCTCGCCCGGGTACCCTGCCGCCCCGCCCGGCAACCTCCGCCCGGGACTGCAGCCGAACCTTTGCTGCCTCCCTGGGGATATGCAAATAGTGCTGGGGCCCCGCCGGGCGTTCTGAGCCTGGAGCCCCCGGGGCTGTCACTTCCAGCCCACCTAGGCTCGGCCCCCAGGACCTGCGGACCTACTTTGACCCCGGCGACTCGGTGTTCCCGGCCATGAAACGGGGCCACAGCCGTGCTGCACGCTCACTGTTCCGCGGGCGGGCCCTGGTTTTCTTCCTCTAGGGGGGCCCTGGCGTTAGGTGTGAACGCCCTCTGCAAACTGTAGGGAGCTGTGCCCGGCCGCCGCCCGTCTGTAGATCCTGCAAACCGGCGGGTGGGTAAGTGACGGTAGCCTCTCTGCAGCACCTTTCCTCACGCAAGTCCAACCCCCTTGGAGTTAGAATGCCCTGCATTCTCACGCGTGCTTTTGGATCCTAAGCGCACTGAGCCCTTCCCGGAAAGCTCTCAGCAAACCGTTGGCGAGCGCCACTATGTGCCAAACACTGTGCCAGGCTCTGGGATGAAATGAAAACAGACCTGAGCCCTGACGTCTGGGAGCTGAAACATGAAACACGTAATTTCACTAGACCAGGCAATGTGTCTGTAACTGTGGCGAGGGCTTTGACAGAGGAGTCGGGCTTCTGGGCGATGCGGAGGGCCGTGGAGCCGGACTCCGACGGTGATGCCAGCCAGCGGCTCCTCCTCGGGGCGCTCGACGCTGGTCACTTAGCTGCCTCCTCCCTGATGCGGTGGAACGGAGCACCCCCTTGGCTACCTTACTCTCTGCCACCCCCACATTCGTCCTCTTGATTCTCTGCTTCTCTAGCTCAGCCGCTGACCTTCGTGCCTAGCTGCCACTAGTCCTTGACCAGCGTTCTGGCAACTCTTGCCTCCAAGTTCTTCCAGCTCCAGGCTGAGCGATGGGGATTCAGTTTTCTGACATCACAGCTCAGTTCTTGATTTCTGCAGCAAAACCTTCAAGGCTTCCATCACCTCGGCTCTAGAGTCCATCATGCTCCTCTCCTATGACCTGCTAGGGCTGATCAAACGTTCTGTCTCCTGCCGTGCCCTGCCCTGCCCTGCCCTGAGCTTCGCTTAGCCTGTTGCAGGCTTTGTGTTTTCCTTCTTGTGCTGTTGACCACGCAGCTCCTTCTACCCATAAAACCCCCTTCTCTAGGTCGGTGGAAATCTTGTTCATCCTTCCGTGTCTAGTTAAACTGCCACCTCCTCCACGAAGCCTTCTAAAACTCCTCCTCAGGGAACTGTTTTCTTTCTTTAGATTTCCATCACAATAATGCTTACCTTTTATTGAGTGCTTACTCTATGTCAGGCAGCCCTTGAGATGCATTACCTCTTTAAATGCTCACAGTTACCCTGTGAGGTACATGCTTTTCTTATACCCATTGGCGAATGAGAGTCAGATTTAAAAATGCATGTAATCCCAGCACTTTGGGAGGCCAAGGCGGGCAGATCACGAGGTCAAGAGATCGAGACCATCCTGGCCAACATGGCGAAACCCTGTCTCTACTAAAAATACAAAAATTAGCTGGGCGTGGTGGCGGGCACCTGTAATCCCAGCTACTTGGGAGGCTGAGTCAGGAGAATCGCTTGAACCCAGGAAGCAGAGGTTGCAGTGAGCCGAGATCGTGCCACTGCACTCCAGCCTGGCAACAGAGCGAGACTCTATCTCAAAAAAATAAATAAATAAATAAATTAATTAATTAATTAAATAAATAAAAGAATGTGGCAGCCAGAATGATCTTGTTTTATCCAAGGTTAGATTGTATCGCCCCTCTGCTCAAATCCCTGTAGTGGCTTCCCACCTCTCATTAGGTTCCTAAGAAAGTACAGGACCCTACAAGCCCATATGTGATCAGCTCTCACTCCTTACTGTCCTTATTGTGCCCCAGTGACATTGGCTTCCTTGTTGTTCCTCAGAGCATCCCTCAGGCAGGCACAGTCCTGCCTCAGTACCTTTGCACCTGTTGTTACCTCTGCCTAGAATGGCCATTTTTCTATTTCTAGCTCCTAACTCTATGTCTTTTTTAAACACATTTTTTTGTGATAAACGTTTGTAAAACTGATCATTTGAACTATTTTAAAGTGTACAATTCAGCGGCATTATGTAAATGCACATTGTTCTGCAGCCATCACGGCTATCTATCTCCAGAACTGGTCATCAACCCAACTGAAACTCTGTACCCATTAAACACTAACTCCCTATTACCCTCTCCCCACAACTGCTGGCAACTACCCACCATTCTACTTTATCCTTTTTGAATTTGACTATTCTAGGTACCTCATGTAAGTGGAATCATATCATATTAGTTCTTTTGTTTCCAGTTTATTTCACTCATAATATTTTTTAGATTCACCCATGTTGTAACATGTATCTGAGTTTCATTCCTTTTTTTTTTTTTTTTTTGACAGTGTCTTATTATGTTGCCCAGGCAGGTGTGCAGTGGTGCAGTCACTGGTGCAGTCATAGGATTATAGCTGGTTGTAGCCTCAAACTCCTGGGCTCAAGCCACCCTCCCACCTCAGCCTCCTAAGTAGCTAGAACTACAGGCCCATGCCACCACACCCAGCTGATTTTTTAAAAATCTTTTGTGGAGACCGGGTCTAGCTATGTTTCCCAGGCTGGTCTCAAACTCCTGGCCTCAAATGATCCTCCCACCTTGGCCTCCCAAAGTGCTGGTATTACAGGTGTGAGCCACTACGCTCAGCCAAATTCCATTCCTGTTTTCAAGATTGAATACTATTCCATTGTATGTATGCCACATTTTGTTTATTCATTCATCAGTAGATGGACATTTGGGTTCTTTCTACCTTTTGGCTACTGTGAATAATGTTGCTATGAATAGCCCTATGTCTTCTATACTGCAGTGGATACACAGTATTTATGTAATTAAATAATGTTGCAAAAAACTTTTAGGTGCCACTATAGCACTGAGCACAGTGCTGGTAACAGAGCAGCTAGAATGTTCTTTTTACACACACAAGGCTAACTCTGCTGCTGGGACTTGCCTATGGCTTCTCTTCATGTTAGAATATGTCTATGAAGCCAGGCATGGTGGCATGTGTCTGTAGTCCTGTCTACTCTGGAGGCTGAGGTGAGAGGATTGAGCCCAGGAGTTCAGGCTGCAGTGAGCTATGATCACAGAATTGCACTCCAGCCTGGGTAACAAAGCAAGACCAAGTCTCTCAAAACAAATAAACAGAAAACAACCTACAATCTATGAGAATCCTTACCACAGCCCATAAGGCCTTACATTATTTGACCCAACTTCTAATTTTTGCCTTCTTTCCTTCTCTTCTAGTTACACTGGTCTTGCTATGTTCCTCAAATGTATACCAAATTGATGATTCCCTCAGGGCCTTTGCAAATTTACTGTGCCCTTGTCTAGAAATCTCTTCCTCTACCCCTCTGCATGGTTCTCTCTCCGCCTTCTCTCAGGAACCAGATCAGGGGTCCTGCCTCAGAGAGAGCTTCCCTGACCAGCTGATCTAAGATATCAACTAGCACCACCACCATCTCCATTTGCTTGATTTTTCTCCAAAGCAGGTATCATTTTTGGTCTCCCTGTCTAGAATGTGAGTTCCAAACAGACAGGAACTTTGTATTTGCCTTCTATGGTGTTCCGTGCCTCTGTCAGCACATAAAGTCACGTACTGTTCAACAACATTTCAGTCAACAATGAACTGTATATACCAATGGTGTTCCCATAAGACTATAATACTCTATTTTTACTATACCTTTTCTATGTTTAGATATGCTGAAATACACAAATACCATTGTGTTACAATTGCCTACAGTATTCAGTACAGAAACATGCTGTACAGGTTTGTAACCTAGGAGCAATAGGCTATACCGTGTCGCCTAGATGTGTATTAGGCTATCCTATCAAAGTTTGTGCAAGTATGCTTTATGATGTTCTCTATGAGAAATCACCTATTGACACATTTCACAGAACGTATCCCCATCACTAAGCCATGCACAATTGTATTTCCCTTCATTGTGAATCAGAAAACTGGTGCTCCTTCCAGGCAGAAGAACTTACAGAAAGGATCCCCCCTCTCCTTGTGCTAAAGCAGCCAGAACAGAGCCAAGGTGTGTGGATTTCAACTCATATTCCCACCCAGCCACACAAACTAAGCTGTGGCCTTTCCTGGGTCTGGCACACAGTAGGTGTTCAATAAGCCCCTGTTGAGTGAAGTACTGTATAGCAGTGAAGATCAAGTACAGGAGGGAAGATACTCAGCATCTCTCTCCTTCCCATCCCCTCTTCTAGCTCCTTAGAAGATTCTGCACAAAATTGGATTTGAGCTTTTTCTCATGTCACTTGTTGATCAAAGCTGCATGCCAGCCCAGTCTGGCCCCAATGAGGACTCTAGCCCAAGAACCCAGCTTTAATCCAGGGACTCTTTGATCACTTTGTACAATATGGGATGCACCAGGCAGGGGGTGGGCTTCTGGGGCTTTATTCCGCTCGCTGAGACAATACCATTTGAGACATGGGCAGTCTGTTAGCTCTGGCTGGTTTCCTGGGAGAACTGATCTGGTCATTGACTGAAATTGAACAAAAAATGTTACTTTCAGACTGAGCCCTCTAGGCCTATTGTGGGCGTTAAATAAGATAATGTGCATAAAGGGCTTACCGTGCAGACCCTGGTCGAATGTAAGCACTAGTAGCTGGGTGAAATAAAAGCTCAACAACACAGGAGCGTTGAGAGGGATGAACAGAATTTCAGCTGTCAGGCAAAACCTTCTGCTCTGGCCTGTGCCTCTCTGCTCTCATCTCCTGTTACTCTCCTCATTCGCTCCAAAGCAGCCACACTCTCCTTCTTCCTGGTCCTTGAAGGCCCTCTGCCCATGCCAGCCCCAAGGCCTTTGCATTAGCTCTTGTCTCTGCCAGCTGTTTCCCCAGATCTTCCTCCACTGTTAGCTCCCTTTCATCCTTCAGGTCCCAGACTACATATCACCTCTTTACAGAGACCTTCCTTAACTACCCAGGCACTCTCTCCCATACTTTACATCCTGCCATGTTTCCTTCACAGTGCATACATATCCCTCTTTGCCATAGTCTCATTTATGTGTTTATTTACTTGTTTATTATTGGGCTTTCCCAAATAGAATATCAGCTGCATGGGGCAAGGGCCCTGTCTGCTCATTGCCTGCTATATTCCTCCATCCTGGAACATTTGTGCCTGACACGCAGAAAGGGCTTAAAACATACATTTGATGAATGAGAAGCTCCTCTCTTTCCCCATATTCCCATCTTTACTTTTTTTGTTTTGTTTTTTAAATGAGCTGCGTATTCTCTTGCTCACTCTTCGGTTTCTTATCTTGTCATCAGTAACAACAGGTCTTTCAGTATCCCCCCAGAATATACTTCAGCAAGAAGGGTCAACCAGAGGAGAGGTGACAGGCGCAGGCCTTCAATCTCCCTGATGAGGATATGAAAAGCGTTCCTACTCGATGTCCTCACCTTGGCTTTTTTAGGGTCCCTTGTTACTGACCCCATTTGTCAAGAACTATACCCTCAGGCTCGTCTGGACCAGCCCTGAGCTGAGAAGATGTAAAAGTAGAATGGGTCAGCAAGTCAAGAGATCTGCAGACCAACAGGTCTGCATGTCAGTCTAACTCTCTTTCACCTTGGCCAAGTCCCTTAGCTACTCAATTTCCTCATCTGAAAAATGAGAATAATTATGACTCTATAATGATATAATTTCCAGGTTGATATGAGAGAGGTCTGCTTGACTGCAAGCAAAACCCAGAATGCTATAAGTGTTGGACTTCTGTGTCTCCTGCAAATTTAAAGCCTTCTTGCTTCTTCTTTCCTTGGGCATCATCAAGCTCAAATGATACATTCTCAGAGAAGCCTGACCAACCTCCCTAAACAGAGTAAGCTCCCCAGCTATGGAACCTCTTAGCAATGCCTTTCCTTAACAGTCACAATGTTTACAGTTGCTGGGTCATTGTTTGATATCTGTCTCCCGCACTGGACTGTAAGTCCCATGAGGACAGAGACAGACCGTGTTTGGTTTTGGTATTGTTTGTTTTTAGTAGGCTTTACTTTTTAGAGCAGTTTTAGATTCATTGCCAAATTAAGTAGAAGGTACAGAGATTTCCTGTATACTCCAGTCCCAACACATGCATAGCTTCCTGAATTATCAGCATCCCCCACCAGAGTATTATATGTATTACAATTGATGAACTTGCATTAACATTATCATTGTCACTCAAAATCCATAGTTTACATTAGGATACACTCTTGGTATTATACCTCCTATGGGTTTGGACAAATGTATAATGACATATCCACTATTATAGTATCATACGGAGTAGTTTTGTTACTGGTGGACGGTATCCAGGTTTTTGGTGTTTTGAACAAAGAATTGGACAAAACGCACAAAGCAAAGAAAGAATGAAGCAAGAAAACAGATTTGTTTAAAACAAAAGCACACTCCACAGGGTGGGAGGGGGCCCGAACAAGCAGCTCAAGGGCTTGGTTACAGAGTTTTCTGGGGTTTAAATACCCTTTAGAGGTTTCCCATTGGTTACTTGGTGTATACCCTATGTAAATGAAGAAGCTGAAGTGAAGTTACGAAGTTATTTACTTGGTGTACATCCTATGCAAATGAAGAGGATGTTTCCTGTCATAGCAGAAGTAGAGTTACAAAGTTATTTACTTGGTCTTAGAAAGTTGGGCTTTTTCAGTTTGATTTAGTTCTACGAAGTCCTTAGGTTCCCTGCCTCCAGGCCTTATTCTCCTGCCTCAGTTTTACTGCCCTAAAAATCCTCTGTGTCCATTTATTCATCCTTCCTACCCTAACCCAGCAACCACTGATCTTTTTACTGTCTGCATAGTTTTGCCTTTTCTAGAACGTCATATAGTTGGAATTACACAGTATGGAGTAGCCTTTTCAGATTGGCCTCTCTCACTTAGCAATATGCATTCAAGGTCCTTCCGTGTGTCCTTTTGTGGCTTGATAGCTCATTTCTTTTTAGTGCTGAATAATATTCCATTGCCTGGATGTAACACAGTTTGTCCGTTCACCTACTGAAGGACATATTGGTTCTTCCAAGTTTTGGTAATTATGAATAAAGGTGCTACAAACATCAATGTGCAGGTTTTTGTGTAGACATAAATTTTTGACTCCTTTGGGTAAATACTAAGGAATTCAATTACTGGATCATATGGTAAGGGTTTTTCTAGTTTTTCAAGAAACTGGAAAACTGGCTTCTAAAGTGACTATACCGTTTTTCATTCCCACCAGCAATGAATGACAGTTTCCATTGTTCCACATCCTTGCCAGCTCTTGGTGCTGTTAGTGTTATGGGTTTTGGCCGTTCTAACAGGTGTGTAGAGGTATCTCACTGTTTTAATTTGCATTTCCCTTGGCCACATGTTAGGACTTCATGAGGCTGTGTCACAGGCACGTCCCTAACCTTAGCAAAATAAACTTCCTAAATTGATTGAGACTTGTCTCAGATACTTTTTGGTTTATACAAGCAAGCACATTAAAAAGATACTCCACATCACCGGGTGCAGTGACTCACACCTGTAATTTCAGCACTTTGGGAGGCCAAGACGGGCGGATCACAAGGTCAGGAGTTCAAGACCAGCCTGACCAACATGGTGAAACCCCATCCCTACTGAAGATACAAAAATTAGCCAGGCGTGGTGGCATGCACCTGTAATCCCAGCTACTCAGGAGGCTAAGGCAGGAGCATCGCTTGAACCCAGGAGGCAGAGATTGCAGTGAGCCGAGATCATGGAACTGCACTCCAGCCTGGGTGACAGAGTGAGACTCCGTCTGAGAAAAAAAAAAAAATATTCCACATCATATTTCATCAGGGAAATGCTATCTGTGTGGGAGTAGAATGGGAGGCAGGTTTTCCCTAAGCAGTTCCCAGCTTGACTTTTCCCTTTGGCTTTGTGGTTTTGGGGTCCCAAAGTCTGTTTTCCTTTCACACTTGCCATGTGTGTTTTCATTCCCTGGCATATCCCCAATACCTAGCACAGTACCTACCCCAAAATAGGCGCTCAACAAACATCTGAGAAATAAATGAATCGATCAGTCAATTAATTAATAATCCTACACCCACCTCTTTAAAATCTGTATTCAGAAAACTCATTAACACTAGTCTCAATGACCCAAATTTCTATCTGCGCCAGGTTGGTCATTTAACAAGGCTCAAACTTATAATACAGAGGAAGAGAAAAAAATTCCTGGAGCTGAAATTTCCCCACCTGTACCTGGTCAGCCTCAATCAGCCTAGACTTTGCTTCTAGCTTCCTGTGTGATCTCAGACAGGTCACTCAAATTCTCTGAGCTTCAGGTTTATCATGTGTGGGTTTGTGAGTGTAATGGCAGCAGGAAGGAGAGATGTCTAGATAAACACAGAACATGGTTGTATTAAATAAAGCAGTTGAACCGGATGCTCTTTAAGGTCTTTTTTAATTTCAAAATTCTGTGACTAAATCCTGCAAGGTAGGATGGGAAAAGTGGGGGCAGACATGGAACACCACTTGGGATTCAATCCAGTTTCTGCATCTAGTGGCACTTCAACTCCTATTTTGAATGCAAAGAAAGGGTTTGCAGGATGCCTATGTAGGGGTGAAGGGAATTTCTCCCTCCCCTTCTGAAAGTTTGAGTCTTTAAGTCTCCAAAATAAACTGGTAATAGACAAACTAACAGGAGAAAAGACCTACACATTTATTAATGTGCCATTTGCATGGGAGCCACACAAAATATGAAACTCAAAGAAGGGCCAGATGGTTGAAGCTTAAATACCCTCATCATAAGAAAGAATAAAGTGGGGGATGTAGGCAATTTTAGAAGAAGAGTAAATGATTTTTAAGGGAGATGAATGAGCCTGGAGAACAGACAATAACCTGGGACAAAGTTCCTCAGAGGTGGTGACAAGTTATGAAAAGGCGGGGGGCAGAATTGCACTGTGAACAAAGGTTGTCTTATTATGCAGATAAAGTCTCTCAGGTAACAACCCTCAGAAGAGTAGTTGAAAGAACAGGTGAAAAGTCTGTCTGTGTGTGGTATCTGGGCTTGGAGACTTTTAGTTTCCTCTCCTGCAGAAGGAGCTCCTCCTCTCTGGTTAACATAGATTTCAGAGAAGGAGTCTAAGACATTAATTCCTCTACTTCTGAAGCTTATTTCTGAGGGCTGTCAGTCTCCTTAGTTCAAAGGAGTCAGCATGCAAAAGTGCCATATTTTGGGGTGTCCTTTTCTGAGCCCCAACACCTATTTGAAATGACCTCTAGATGGGAACTGCCTGTCTCCCTTTCTCTTTTTCTCCCAGACCCTACTTTGTCATTTCCACAATGAGATGCCAATTAAATCAATCCTGTCAACTATAAAGGAACACCACTGAATCAAGACAGTAGATATCAAAAGTACCTCAAGTAGGATACACTTTGAAAGAGCAAACAGAGAAGGCCACAAATCTCAAACAAAGAATAAATATACTATGTCATTGGGTGGACCCATCTCAAACAGAGCATTAGCCAGTAGGGTCAGATACAAATATCAGGTGTATAGGGAGCCATCCTCCTCCTGGCACTGCCATGAAAGTATCAGGGCTTGGTAAACGAGAGTGCTTTCTGTTTAATTACTTTTCATTTTTGTACAAAAGAAAAAAAAGGTATACAAAACACAGAGAGGTGGTGGGGCACAGGACCAAAGGGGGCTTCCTAGGAGTTTGAGACTCTTGGAAGAACGGCTGCAGTCTGTGGGCACCTCTGTAAAGTAAGAGGATTGGATACTCTATAACCCGGTAGTCTGAACCTTAGCTACACATTAGAATCACCTGTGGACCATTAAAAGCTCTGGATGCTTAACCTGCATCCCAGACCAATTAAGTCAGAATCTCTGGGAGTCAGACTCAGCCATCCCTACATGATTCCAATTTGTAGCCAAGTTTGAGAGAACCACTGCTCCAACATGGCTCTCAGGGCTCTAAAATCCTGCTAAGGTTTCTTTTTGTCCAAGCGGTAGGTCCTCTATTGTTCCACTAGGTGGCACCTTCCAGCAAACTTCAGTGGGTCCAGAGAAGTCGCTTCTAGGTCTAACTGCAAGGAATGAATTCATGAAGCAGGGCTTGGTGGTCTTTGCTGCCAACGAGGGGTCTGCACTCTTGACAAGAAGGCTGAACTTGTTTAACAACTTGCTGGTGAGTGCTGGAGCCACAGATGGTTGATTCATCCCTGTTTAAAAAGGTGAGGCTGGGCTGGACGCAGTGGCTTACGCCTGTAATCCCAGCTACTTGGGAGGCTGAGATAGGAGAATTGCTTGAATCTGGGAGGCGCAGGTTGTGGTGAACTGAGATCGCGCCACAACACTCCAACCTGGGCGACAGAGCGAGACTCTGTCACAATAAACAAACAAAATAAAAAGGTGAAGCTTGAAGAGAGATGTCTCTATCTCTTATGACTGGGTTCACCTCTTCACGGATGCACTCTGGTCTCTTCCCCCACCCCCACCCATCTCTCCAGCAGGATTGATAAACTCCTCTCAAAAGTTCTCAAGGAGCCCCATTATGTGCAGTAGTGTTCTTTTTATCTGGATAGTTAACAACACCCTGATTTTCTTTGAAGATTCACCCTTCTGCATCTCAGAACTTAGCCAATCAGAGCAGTAACCCCCTTCAGCTGCAGTGATTGGTCCAGGGACGGAATCTGAACAATCGAGGTTCAATTCCGTGGCTTTTGTATAGAGGCTATCAAGAAAGTAGTGGCTTCTTCCAGCGGATTGTTGCGAGCTGGATGTGAGCCCCACCGTGAGGCGTGTATTGGACCTCTTGACTCGGCTCCTCCGCACCTTCTCCCCACCCCAGGGAGGCGGTGTAGACTACATCAGTGGGCTTCCTTGCTCTATGTTTTCCTGTTGGGTTTAGCCCTTGAGGAGCCAGGGCAGGATTTCAGAGGGAGGGAGAAGAGCCAGGTCAGAGCATTTCTTTCCCCCGCCATTCCCTTGCTGCAACTTTGCCGCAGGCTGTCTGTGTCCTCCACAAAAGTCCATGGCTCCCATCGCGCAGGCTTCTTGAAACAGTCCTCCCTTTCTAGATTCCAATAACTGCCCCTTTCCTCACCCTTCAGGGCTAGGGCTGGACATCACACGCTGTTTCTGGCCCCATGGTACTGCCCCGTCCCTCATGGTTACACTATACCCTGCCCCATTTTCCTCCTATTAAACTCTCTTCCAATGTTCCAGTGTGAGAGTGCCATTCGTTTCCTGCAGACCCTAACTCAATCAAGGGAAAAGCTTCTTGAGAACCTGAAAACAGTCCCAACACAGGGGAAAGTGGAGCTGAGAGATCAACCAGTTACCCAAGCCAACCCCTGATGTCATCCATGCCTCCGGGTCAACTCCCCTCCCACATTCAAACAATTACCTAATAATGCTGGTTTTATTGCCTAATAAATTTTAAATGTATCCCTTCCCCTCTAGGCCTATTATATGAGACATATTTCAGGTGCCTGTAAGATGAATCCTTGAGCAGAAACCTGCTACTTATAATGACTCCGTTTTCTACTTTGTAGACAGCCTCCACCCTCATTTCTGGGCTGGTCCTTGACCTATGACTTTCCTGAACTGTCCTAAGGCAAGTTCAAAAGGATGAGCTGAGCCATTCAGATTCTATCTCAGAAATTGGAATCCAGTGACACAGAGGGAAGAAGGCAGCTGGTGGTGGCCTCTGAAGGTGGCAGTTCAGGTAGCACAAGGGTGGAGATTACTCTTGGGCCACACTGAAGGAGAAGATATGGGAAGGCAGAAACCAGGAGTAACAGAGGAAGTGCTTCAGTCAAAAGAAGCCAGTGCAGCCCAAGTATGGGAGGCAGGGATGCTGAGAGAGAAAACTGAAAGAGAATCACCTTGCCTCCTGGTTTTCCAGTTCCAGTTCTGGTTTCTGGGATGCCTGACTAGACTGAAGCCCCTGCCTTGGAGTTTACGCCTTCCCTGACGTTATGAGTGACTCTGTCACTTACGACCAAAGGAGCCCTGGCCTTGATACTTGATACTCTTGACTCAAAGTCCAAGTTGTAGCCATTACCATCTCTCGCTTGAATTGTTGTATCTCTCACTCCTAACTCCTCTGCCATTTCTGTCCTGCATTCCCTAACATTCATCCTCTCCACTGGAGTGACCATTCTGGGATGCCAACTTGCCATGTTGCTTCCCTCTGGAGGTTTATTGTCCTCACAGTAAAGTCCGAGTTGCTGGCCTTACACTTTATACAAAACTGCTAGTCGCTCATTACCTTAATAATGCTATTTCTCACCCCCATGCCTTTGCTCATGCTGTTTCCTCCTCCAGGAATACCCTTCACATCCTCTTGTACTGATGAATTCTTACTCAGCTTCAATGCCATCTCCTCTTCCATCACTTCTTCACTTTCCCATCCAGTTTGACTAAGAACTCCTTCCTCTTTTTTTCTCATACTACTGTGTATATTCCTATTTTAGCATTATATACTAATAAAGATGAGGGTGATGATGTTGGCTAACATTTATGGACCTCTTATTACATACCAAGTGCTAACTAGCACCTTACAGATGTCTTCTCTTTTAATCCTCATTGAAACCCCATGAAGTAGTTCTTTTATTATTCCTACTTCTCAAAAGAGAAAACTGAAGCAAAGATGTCAGGTGACTTGCCCAAAATCACACAGATAGAATGTGGTTGACTCAGGTCTATTGTTCCTTTCTTTTTTTAAAAAACTAACAGTTTAATTGAGATATAATTCACATGTCATACAATTAATTTACGCATTTAAAGTGTACAAGTCAATGTCTTAATATATTCACAGCTGCGTGCAACCATCAACATAATCAATTTTAGAACATTTTTATCACCACAGAAGAAACTCATACCCATTGATTACTCATTGTTTTAATGCTGCTCTTAGCAGCTGGTGTGGTGCCTAGCACATAGTATCTGTTCGACCAGCACTTGTTGAAGAATGGATAGCTACCATATCTTAGAAGACAGGGAAAGGTGCAAGAGAGAGGCTCTTGAGGCAACGCGTCTGTCATTTCAACATCAATTAAGAGATTTGCCTGATTCTTTTGTTTATTTATTTTATACTATTTTCCTTTCTTTCTTCTTTTTTTTGCTCAGTCACCAGGATGATGACAAGTGACAGTACAGTGGTGTGAACAAGGTTCACTGCAGCCTTGACCTCCTGGGCTCAAGTGATCCCCCTGTCTCAGCCTGTGTAGCTGGGGCTACAGGTGCACGCCACCATGCCTAGCAAATTTTTTGATTTTTTTGTAGAGACAGGGTCTCACTTTGTTGTCCAGGTCATCTCGAACTCCTGGGCTCAAGCAATCCACCTGCCTCAGACTCCTAAAGTGCTGAGATTACAGGTGTGAGCCATTACATCTGGCCCTATTTTTCCTTAGTAACAGCCCCCACTTACTGGTGGAGGTGTGTTGTAGATATAGGAGTCTGCTCTTACCATTTGCTCAGGGTTTTTTTACATCTCTGTGGCCCCAGGGAATTTCTCATCCTCACATTTGAGTTCTGGGATATTGCTGGTGATAATCTAGGTGCTGGGTATTTGATTTTGATTTTCAGTGGGAGAGAGTAAAGCCAGATTGCTTCTACTCCACCATTTTGGTGACATCACTCTCTACCACTGATTAAGTATTTTTTATGTGTGAAACCTTACAGTGTGTGATCTGTATATATTATTAGCTTATTAAGCAACAAAACCTGGAGATAGATATTATTGTATCCATAACACAAATGAGGAAACCAAATGTATTAGTTCATTTATGTTACCATAACAGAATACCGGAGACTGGGTATCTGTGAAGAAAATAGGTTTACTTTGGCTCAGGGTTCTGCAGGCTGTACAGGAAGTGTGGTGCTGGCATTCATTCCTAGTGAGGCCTCAGAAAGCTTTCAAACGTGGTAGAAGGGAAGGGGAGCTGGTGTGTCACTTGGCAAGAGAGGGAGCAAGAGAGAGAGGAAGGAGGAGCCAGGCTCTTTAAACAGCCAGCTCTCTTGTGAACTCCTAACCATGGGGAGGGCACCAATCCATTCATGAGAGATCTGCCCCCACTAGGCACACCTCCAGCATTGGAGGCCATATTTTTCTTTTTCTTTTTCTTTTCTTTTTCTTTTTTTTTTTGAGACAGAGTCTCGCTCTGTCACCAGGCTGGAGTGCAGTGGTGCGATCTCTGTTCACTGCAATCTCCTCATCCCGGGTTCAAGAGATTCTCCTGCCTCGGCCTCCTGAGTAGCTGGGACTACAGGCACCTGCCACCATGCCCGGCTAATTTTTTGTATTTTTAGTAGAGATGGGGTTTCACCATGTTGGCCAAGATGTTCTCAATCTCCTGACCTCGTGATCTGCCTGCCTCTGCCTCCCAAAGTGCTGGGATTACAAGTGTGAGCCACTGTGCCCAGCCTGGAGGCCATGTTTCAACATGAGATTTTGAGGAGACACACATTCAAACCATATCCCCAAGACTCAGGGATTTCATTTGTCTAAAGTCAAACAACTAGTAATCAGCATCATCCTAATATTAAGTAAACAACTACTACCTTTAATAGAAGATTTAACCATGCTTAGATACTATGCTAAGTTCTTTATGAACATCACCTCATTGACTCATTTATGCATTCAACAGATATTTATTGAGTACCTACCACAAGCCAGGCATTGTAACAGATGTTAGGGATTGGGTGGTGAGCAAGCAGATGTTCACCCAGGATTCACAGTCTAGTGGTGGAAAAGGCATTGTAGAAATGAGCACATGAATAACAACTACATTAGATGGGAGGAAGAAGAAAAGACCTGTTGGCTGTTAGGGGAAGATCTGGTATTAGAAGCCACTACTCCTTGAATCCAGGTCCAACATTTTCTGCAAAGTTATACTAGCGTGATTCCTCTAGGATGTTTTCCTAGTGGGACATTGGGTTTGCCAATGGCTCTCTGAGCTGCTTGTCCCTGTAGGAAGTTCCTGCCACCTACTGAATGCATGTTCATATACACACATACACTCAGTGGGAGCTACACTGCCCATGCCCTCATCTGCACAGCTTGCCTAGGGAAAAACCAATGCTGTGGGCTTTGCAAATGTCTTATCCTCAGCTGGGGGATTTGCGTTTGAAAAACACTTCTCTGTATATGGGGCTGGATCTTGCTTTTATTACATAAATGATCCTGGAGATCACTTCATATAAATACATAGAGATCATTCCCATTCTCTTTTTCAGCTGCAAGTACTCCACAGTGTGAATGAATCAGGTTCAGTCTCCTATGGATGGACATTTGGAGTTGTTTTCAATCTCTGGCTATTAAAATAACATAATAATGAATAATCTTGTGTGCAGCTTGTTCTGTAGTGTGGAGGTGAATCTTCAGGAGAGATTCCTAGAAGTGGAAGTTGCTGGATTAAGGGATAAACACATCTTCAATTGTAAAGCTATCCTTTTGCACTCCTACAAGCAGTGTAGGAGAGTGCCTGGTTCTTCACAGCCTAGGCCCACACAATATTTTTTAAAGCATGCATTTTATATAAAAATTCACACTCCTGGTTTCTCTTAAAAATTGCAAGATCTATAAAAATTACACACACACACACACACACACACACACACACACACACACACACTGCAAGATCTGGCAACACTAGGCCTGTTTTCCTGCATGGCAATAACAAGCTAGGGCTGAGTGGTCGCCATAGCTCTGTGGGTCTTAGACGTTTCAACTGATCCAATTCAGCCCCTTCATCATGAAGATGAGAAAGGTCTACAGATTCATAGAGGCAGCTGAGTGGAAGTTAACTCCCAGTCTCTTGCATCAAGTGACCTCCAGAGTAAGTACAAAAGGGATGGGTAGCAAGGGAGGGTAAGTGTATAAAAGCACTGACAATTCAGCATTAAAATTGAAATTGTTTTTAGCATTTACTGAGCTCAGTAAATACATTGCACCACACTGTAGTTAGTTAAAGTGTGACTAATCCACATAGAGCAGAGTAACAAATTGGTTTCTATTTCTTCTGAGCAACCATAAAGAGGGCTAATGCCATAGCAGGAGGATCTGGGTTATGTATTCATTCATTCCCTCATTCATCAAACATGAACTGTGTGCCAGCCCCTGATCTAGGCACTGGGAATTTAAAGACAAACAAGCACTCGAACACAGGGATCTAAACACACAAGTATGGAAAAAACTTGATATAATGCAATAAGGGTTTTATTGTAGGAATGTACTACAGCCTGCTATGAAAGCCCAGAGAAAGGAACTTCTAATTCTGCTAAAGGGCACATGGAAAAGCTCACAAGGGAGGTGATGTTTGGGAGGATCCTAAATGATGCATAGGTGTTTGCTAAGAAAAAAAAGGGACATGGGAGAGACTTTCTTGAAGATAAACAATGTTCAAAGACAGAACGTGACAGAAAACCAGCTTAAAAAAGATTTGGGCATAAAAAAGAGGAAAAGGATGACAGAAATTTGCTGTCTTACTTAATTGAAAAGTCCAGGGACTTCGCAAGTGCTGTGAACTTCATGTGTTTAAAGGATGCCATCAAACCACAATCTCTCTCTCTCTCTCTGTCTCTCTCTCTCTCTCTCTCTCTCTGTCTTTCTCTCTCAACTCTTCTTCTTACTCATGATTTTTGCCCTCAGGCAGGCCACTCTCTCCAGATGACAGGCACCTGCCAGCAGCTCTAGGTTTACATTATCCCGACAGCTAGCAATGCCAGGGGAAATTTCTCTTTCTCAATAGCTTCACTAAAAATCTCATTCCGAGTTTCACTGGCTAGGTCTGGGTCACTTGCTTACCCCCAGAATAAGGAGTGAACTCTCACCTAAGTCTTCGAGTTCTGAGAGTAGGGCAGAATGAGTCTCAAAGGAAAATTAGAGTCCTGTGTTCAGAGGAAGGATGGATGGGTGCTGGGTAGGCAAAATCATCAGATCTGGAAACAGTGGTGGATTGAGAGTACATCTGTCTCATTAGTGATGGAAGAGTCTCTTCATTTATGAAGGAGGAAGTTGAGTCTCAGAAAAGCAAAGTGACTTATCTATAGTCACACAGCCTGACAGCAGCAGCGTCCGGGAGGAGTCCTAGTTCCCTGAATCTGAATCCCAGGACCTTCGTGCAGTGAGCATTCCCTTATCTGAGGAGGCAAAGGTGCCTTGGAGAGGGATGTGGGTGCTTCCAGGAACCCCTGGAATCACTTGCTCTGTGGCAGATCCATCAGCCTGCAGGCCCAGATGCAACACCATCTACCCCAGACATGTGCCTGATATTTGGCCTAGGCCTCATAATAGCATTGCAACAGGTTCCTGGGCCCAGGGACTGAATGACTCAAGGGCACCAAGGCCTACTTAAGGCAGTTAAGAGTGGGTGACAAGACAAACGGAAAGTAAGGAAGCAAAGTGGGGTGGTGGGAAACTGAGGCTGAAGATGGGGCAAGGAAGGGGGAGGAGCTTTGAATGGGGCGGGAAAAGAGCTGCTCAGGCCAGAAGAGTTCAGTCAATGTCCTGTTTTCTATAGTAGTCACCCAATTTGTATGTGTATTTTAAAAATTCTTTTTTGGCAATGTGATATATGCCTAAGGTTATATAATTAAACAATGAAGAAAGCTTATAATAAAAAGCATCTGCCTTCCACCTCCTGCACCCTCGCGTATCCTGTTCCCCAGAAACCACTGATTTTCCACGGTTCTGCTTTTAGCCTTGGCTAATATTTATGGAGCACTTGTCATGTGCCAATCTCTTTGTGTACATCATTTCTTTAAGTGCTCCCCATAGCTCTATGAGGTAGGTATCATTATTATGCCCATTTTACAAATATGAAAACTAAGGAGAAGTAGGTGATGTGTTCAAAGTCACATGGCTGGTGAACAACAGAAATGGGATTTCAGCCAGGGTGTCTGACTCCAGCCACCGGAGTGTTCTTTATCATCACACTCTGGTGGTTCCTGTCAAAGCTTTATTACCTCTGTTTCTTGATTTATCGGCTAGATATTATCTATTGACTTCTTAGTATGATTGATGAGGACTTAGCTCACTTAAACCCCACCTTCTGTGCACCAATTTTAACTAGATGTGTCACAATATTTAGTTCTGTTGGATGCACTTAAATCTCAATTTCTAGTTCCTACTCTACACACATTTGTTGATTGGTTGTGTAGGGTCACCTGAAAGGTGGTAGGCCATCCCAATTTTTTTTTATATCCATCCCTATTCATTGTAGTCTCCACCTCTGTGCCAGGCACACAGCAGTTGCTTGATAAATATCTGTGCAATGGAACAAATGCAAAAAATCTTAACAGCGCCAAAGGTAGGAAATGACCAGGAAATCTCAGGCAGGCGAAGGGCATGGTAATTGCAGCCTGCAATGTCAGCCTGACTTCTTCAGAGATACAGCCTCCTGCTGAGGAGGGAACACTGAGCTATAAAATGAGAATTGAAGGAGAATCACTTCAGAGCAGCTGTCAGGAAGCACTTCCCCCAGAGGATGTGCTGAATGACCTCGCTGCAAGGTTGTCTTGGCTTGCACACCTGGGCTTGTTCCACCAGCCTGCAGGGAAGCCACCAGGGAACAACTCCAGGCAGGCCTCTGGCCATCTCCCCATTGTGGGAAACTTGGGCATCCTATTAGCACCACTTCCAAAGTGGGCTTTTTGAAAGGGGTGTCTGGTGCTGCTAACTTCTCCCATGGGCTCGGGAACCCTACCTGCCTAGGAAGAGTCCATTTGATGATGAAGGCCACCTCTTCTGCCGTAGGCTCTTTGTGCATGCTGTGCCTCTGCTTGTAGCACCCTCCTCCCTTTTAGCTCCCACCCTTCTGGCTAATTCTTATTCAGCCTTTACACCTTGAGTCAGGTGCCACTGCCTAAGGGAAGACTTCCAGAACCTCCAGACTAGGCCACATTCCTTATTATGTTCTGTAAGTATTTTCTGTTTCTTACACTTAGCACAGTTGTAACTTTACAATTATTAGAGTCAATACTTGTAGAAAATTGGCCTTGCCCACTAGACTGGAACCCCCATGAGGGCAGGGAGTATATCTGATTTTCTTTACCACTGTATCTCCAGCACCTAGCACAGCACCCAGCACAACACCCAGCACATAGTAGGTGCTCAGTAAACATTGCTTGAATGAATGAAGGAGTTCATCAAGCCCCTTTAATCAAATCGTTCATTTGTGTGAGTGTTAACCTCCTTGAAACCCAGTATATCTTTTGCATCTAAAAAGGAGGGGATGATGCTTTCTATCCTTGACCTCTCCAGTCAAGGTCGTGATTTACCTTGTGAAAATGTAGCGACTAGCCTCCCTGATGACACACACAGACTCCTGGGGCACCCCCAACCCCACCACTGCCACACACACATTCTTTCCTTCCTCTCCTCTTCTTGCCCTCCTCTGACAATGTCACCTAGCCCTGGCTCTTCACCTTTGACCTCAGTGACACTAAGCCTTGGCTGAAGCTGAATGACCAGGGAAGCTTTTTAAACGGCTGCTCGAGTTTCTGATTCCAGAGTCCTGATAGGGGCCCAGACAAGTGTTTCCCTAAAAAATTCCTTAGGTGGTTCTGATGTGTGGCCCACTCTCTGAATTGATCTCAAAGATGTTTACTTCCCTCCAGCCACCTTCCCTGCTCCAGTCCTACCTCCCACCTCTTTTCCCCTGAGGAAAGCAGCCTCCGCCCTGTCTCTCAGGACTCCAGGCTTGGGCTCCCCAATCTATTCACCTTGAAGTTGTCTAACAGATGGATCTTTCTGGGATGAAACCCTCATCATGTCACTCTTCTGCTTAAAACCTTCTCCTGCCTTCAGGAGAAAGCCCAGGTCCCTGGAGAACCTCGCAAAGCTCCGGCTTACTTCTCCAGGCCCATCCCACCGCAGTTGTTCCTCAGCCACCTCGTTCACACTCTGCCTCTCACATGGGAGCCATAGTCAGGGCCTGCCTGAGCTGGGCCATGTTCTTTCCTTCTTCTGGGCCTCAGCACACTGCTCCTTGTCCAGTGTTAAAGATTTATTGTTAAAATAAAATAGTAAGGAAGACTTTACTCAGGGCTATTGCAATAGAGGTGTTGGAAAAGGTGAGAGAGATTGGACTCAACTCCCAATACAACGAAAATGGCAGGGGATGTGCAGGCAAGGAGCAGAGTAAGAGCTCAGTGGATGGGAAATCACTAAGAGGAGACATTGGGGTAGGGGGATTCTTGCTAAACTGGCCTAATGAGATTCTTGCTAAAGGGAGATCAGAGGCTTAAACATCGAGGGTGGGGGATGAGGAATTTAATCAGATCTCAAGGATGAGGAATGACTTAGTGGATTCTTTGCCAAGACTGGGCTGGGCAGACCAAAGACAAGATGGGGGCCCAGGTCAAGGTCTAGTCAAGAAGAGGGCTCAGAGGAGTCTGACTAAAGTTTGTCAAGGATAGAGACTTTGTCACCAGGAACACTTCACTGGGCTGCCTCTAGGAAGTCATCTGAGACTCCTCCACCCACAGCACCCTTCACCTGTAGATGTTAGCGCTCATCACATCCCAGTGTAGTGATCTGTTTACTTGCCTGCTCCTCTGCTTGACGATGAGCAACTTGAGGCCAGAGACTGTATCGTGAGTCCCCAAGGCCCAATGCAGTGTTTGGCTCTCAGTGTTGAATGAGCACATATTGATGAGCATGACTCTCGTGGAATTGCTACTCTGCTCTGCAACAATCAGTAACTGCATTGCCTGTATCAGTGGTTCTTGGAGTTCACCATGATCAGAGTCATCGGAAGGGCTTGTTAAACATCAATGCCTGGGTCTTACCTCCAGAGTCTCTGATTCAATAGGTCAGACTGCAGCCCAAGAATTTGCATGTCTAACAACAGGTGATGCTGATGCTGCTGGGCTTAGACTGCACTTTATTTACTTACTTATTTTTATTTGCTTATTTAGTTTTGAGACGGAGTTTCACTCTTGTTGCCCAGGCTGAAGTGCAACGGCACAATCTTGGCTCACCGCAAACTCTGCCTCCCAGGTTCAAGTGATTCTCCTGCCTCAGCCTCCTGAGTAGCTGGGATTACAGGCATGCACCACCAAGCCCATCTAATTTTGTATTTTTAGTAGAGACAGGGTTTCTTCATGCTGGTCAGGCTGGTCTCGAACTCCTGACCTCAGGCCATCTGCCTGCCTCAGCCTCCTAAAGTGCTGGGATTACAGGCATGAGCCACTGCGCCTGGCCCTAGACTGCACTTTAATAATCACTGACCTGTAGGATTATAGCTGATATCATCCCCAAGTTATATGCATCATCATATATTTTTAAATTTAAAGGTTATAAGATTTAATAGGCAAATTTCAGGTGGGATGGTGAAGTAGATATGATCTCATGATCTAGGTCACCTCCTTCCCTGCCTAAAGTATATGATTCTCCCTCTCATTTGCAGGCAAGAGTAACAGCTCAAGACTGTATTTCCTTTCCCTGTGCTTCATTCGCTATGGGAGGGGCTGCCTCCCAGTGCCCGCTGCCAGGCCTGGTGCCAGGCTGAGACCAAGGCCCCAAGTGGCTGAGTGGCATTCTGATGCAGGTGGCTGGAGGACTTGCAACATCCTGAGTCCTCTCCCCTCTCAGCCCCCATGATTAGCAGTTGGTGCAAATGGATTCAGAGGGCAGAGATAGCCAGACAGTGACCATGGCTGAAGCAGACAGGCCAAGACAGAGCTTTCCAAAAATGACTCAGCCCAGCCCAAAGGGGGCCAAGATTCAGCTGTTTGCAGAGCATGTGGACAAAGCTGGGATGTGCAGGCTACGGTATTCACATGTGTGCATGTGAGGCCTTCAGGCTGTGGGGCAGAGTCAGGGTTGGAAAGAGAAGGGGACAGTGCCAGGAGCCAGGGCTGCGGGCCAGTTCTCCCTACATTTGCCACATTCTAGGGAGGAGTGCCTTCAAATTTTAATTTGAACTTGACCCTTCCAGGCCATGATGAAAGAATATTTGTCAAGATAGGAAGATAGGTATTATTTACAGTGTGATACCTTAATTCAAACAGGTGATATGTGGGCCTCTATTTATACTCTTGCTCAGGCCCTGCAAATGTTTGGGGTGGGCCTGTGAGAGTGACCAAGGGAGGTGAACAGCCTAGACAAGCAAGACTGCTTCTTGAGGGCCTACGCTGCTCTTTGGGACGAGAACTACCAAGTGGAAGCCCCAGGTACCCTGTTTCCCCGGGGACTGGCTATACTCCTCAGGAGCACCTGGTAGGATCTCTTCTTGGATGTGAGGGTGAAAACTGGTCCCAATGTCAAATGAAAACAACTTTGCACCTGCTCATTTGGAACAAAGGAAGAGGCCTGGACCTTAGGAGGTTTAGATTTGGGGTTCCCAGTGCAAAAGGAAAATGAAATCTTGAGACCCCAAACTCACAATGCCAAAGGAAAAAGTTAAGTTTGGAAACTGAATCACATTAAAAAAACAAACAAACAAACCGAAAACCCTGCTTTTCCTTTTGTTCCTAAACAGGTAGCTGCAAGATAGAAGGCCACATTTCTCGCCAGGTGGCCTTCCTCACCCCAACAATGTAAATTAACAGCATATCTTAAGGCATATGGGACAAGACAAGACTACAGATCATCCCAGATGTGTTTTCTTGGGCCCGTCACATCAGCTCTGTAAACCTGTTTCCTTGTTAAATGGGGATGATTGTAGTGCTTACACATAGAGGGATTATGCCAAACCCTTTGTACTGTGTTTACACAGGTGGGTTCTTAGTAAGTGATAGCTGTTATTTGTGATTTCCTGGTAGTTTATTTCTATTTAATGTGGCTTCTTCCCTAATCAGCCCCATCCTTGGTAGAGTTTGACAAGTTGGAGAACTTAGTCCTCTGGATCCCTGGTCTTCTCTTTTAACATTCCTGCCCTGCTTGTGGACACCTTTTCAATTCATTGTGGGGGCCCACAACCCCTACAGATCTTAGAGATTAGGCATCCTGCATTGATATGCAGATTCCTGAACCCTGCATCAGAGATTCTGCCTCACCAGGATGGGATCAGGCCCAGGAATCTGCATTTTAATGAGTTCCCCAGGTGATTCTCATACAAGCAACAACTCTTGGAGAAATATTGTGGCTGAGAAAGTAGGTTGGCAGGCAGAACCAAGAGCACTGGCTGAGAGGCAGACTCCTGTTCAACCTAATCCAATTTTCTTTCTTTCTTTCCTTCCTTCCTTCCTTCCTTTCTTTCCTCTTTCTTTCCTTCCTTCCTTCCTTCTTTCCTTCCTTCCTTCCTTTCTTTCCTCTTTCTCTCTTTCTCCTTCCTTCCTTCCTTCCTTCCTTCCTTCCTTCCTTCCTTCCTTCCTTCCTTCCTTCCTTCCTTCTTTCCTTCTTTCTTTCTTTTTTTTTTTCTTCAAAATCTCACTCTGTCGCCCAGGCTGGAGAGCAGTGGAACAATCTCAGCTCACTGCAACCTCTGCCAGCCGGGTTCAAGCTATTCTCCTGCCTCAGCCTCCCAAATAGCTGGGATTAGAGGTGCCTGCCACCGCGCCTGGCTAATTTTTGTAGTTTTAGTAGAGATGGGGTTACACATCTTGGTCAGGCTGGTCTTGAACTCCTGACCTCGTGGTCCACCCGCCACGGCCTCCCAAAGTGCTGGGATTATAGGCGTGAGCCACCGCGCCAAGCCTCTAATAGAATTTTCTAAGAGTCAAAGCTGCATAAGAATGAATTAAGCTGCCCTAAAAAGTAGTGAGCCCCCTGTCAAGGAAGGTGTGCAAGCAAATGCCAGGTAAATATCTGACAGAACTAGGAGAGAAACTTTAGTTCAGGAGTTAAATTTTATGACCTTGAAAATTTCTATGATTCCATCTTCTTTTTCCTTTATCTCTCAGGAAACGCTTTGTCTCTTCAGAGATTTTTGGTTCAAGTCTCATGTTTGAGAAAATGCAATAAACACTTTTGTGTCCTAGGACAGAAAGCTGGTGACAAAGAAGAGCATTTCAAGCTGCCCCATCTAATTGTGTCAACAGAGGGGTTTCCCCCCGCCCCGGCCTCTGGGGAAGAGTCCTGCCTCCAGCCTTCTGTGCACCCCTCCCCATTCCTTCCCCACGCCCGCATAAATAATTTTTAAAAAGAGTTGGAAGCAAAGGAGGCTGTAGAGTCAGCTTGAGACTGCTCAAGAGGGGACTTGGAGCAGGCGCGTCTCGCAGTAACTGTGCCTATCGTCGCGTGTAATCGCTGCCATGTGTCTCTGTCAAGAACTTGAGCAGCCTTCAGCAAGGTCCCTGGAAACTCCCCTGTCAGGACCCTCTGGGCGGGAGACAAATGGGTAAGTTAGGACAGTGATAAATCCTGCTGTCCTTCTGTAGTCAGATCCCCTGCAGCAAAGCAGCTCAGCAGGGCACAGGAGGTAAGCAAACCTCAGGTGTGAGACTAGGTTGTGTGGGTGCTTTGCAAGTACATCTGTCTCTGAAAGCGGGTCCTGGCCAACAATTTGGTTGAGTAGATGGGTTGATATGCCAGTTGTTAAGGATCTGAGAAAGTAGTTGGAGGGAGCGGAAAGGGTTGTTTTTTTTTTTTAACCTGCTAACTTCCCCACCAATCAACAGTGAGGGCCCAGCCTTCTCTGGCCCTAGGCTGGCATCTTCCAGATCTGAACCTGGATGGATTTCTTTTCCCCTGTGTTATAAAAGCCAGGAGAAAGCATCCCACTCCACAGCCAGCCCCAGAGCTATCCTTGGAGACCCAACTCCTCTGAGCCTAAACTGAACATTTCCTCCTTGGACCAACCCCCATCCTCATTTAAGGGCATTGAATCTATCTCTTTAGGCACCTGCCATTTTTGCTCTTCAAATGACACTTTTAAGAATGGTGGCCATCTGTTGAGCACCTCCCATGAGCCAGACACAGTGCTAAGAACACCACATGCGTAACCTCAAATGTTCATAAGCATAAAATTACTAGTTCCATTTTACAGATGACAAAAATGAGGCACAGGGTGGTTAAGTGACTTGCCCAGGTCTGTGTGACCTAAAATCCATAACTGGGTTGGAGGGGAGAATAACGCAATGAATATAGACACTGGATCAGACCCCCTGGTAATGAATCAAGGCTTTGGCTCTTACTAGTTGTCAAAAGGGATGCTATAACTTTTCTAAGCCTTAGCTTTTCTCTTTATAAAATAGAGATAATAATAGCTGGGAGTGTGGCTCACACTTGTAATCCCAGCACTTTGAGAGGTTGAGGAGGGTGGATCACTTGAGGTCAGGAGTTTGAGACCAGCCTGGCCAACATGGTGAAATCCTGTCTCTACTAAAAATACAAAAATTAGCCGTGTGTGGTGGCATGTGACTGTAATCCCAGCTCTTCGGGAGGTTGAGGCAGGAGAATCACTAGAACCTGGGAGGCAGAGGTTGCAGACAGCAGAGATTGCACCACTGCATTCCAGCCTGGGCAACAGAAAGAGGCTCCGGCTCAAAAAAAAAAAAAAAAAAAAAAAAAAAAAAAAGATGGAGGGCGGGGATAATAATAATACCTATTTTAAAATTTGTAGTAGGCAAAATAATGGTCCCGCAAATATGTCTACATCCTAATCTTTGGAATCTTTGAATATGTTACCTTACGTGATCAAATGTAAGCATGAATGTAAAGGTGCTTTGCATGTCAATAATAACAATAATAGTAATAATAATTATTACAATTATATGCCAGACACTGTTCTAAAGAGAATCATTGAGAATGTGACAGAATCCGCCAAATGTCACCCTCCCATCCAAAAGACCCCTCCTAGCCAAATTTCCTGTGGAAGATGTTCTCTCAACCATTCCTTTCCTCTTCCCTGGACCAGAGATGAAATAACTCACAGGCAGCTCTCCAGATGAGAGGAAAATGAAGAAGGTAGTGCTTATTACAACATAAAAAGGACCAGGCTCTGTTTACTCAGATTGGGAAACAGATTCTAGGAACAATGTGTCTGCTCCAATGTAATTATCCTGTAAGTGGTCGGCATTTTACTCAGCTCCAAAACTCATGAAGAGGCTTCAAAGAAGTACCCTGGGGACTGTTTTATCAAAAGGGACTTAAGAAGGGGTAAAGTTTTGAGATCAAACTAAGCTCTTAATTGAATCAGCAAAAACTGAAAAAATTTTGAAAGGGAGTTTTGTGCAACAGCAGGAAAACATTTTGGATATGCAGACTGAAAAGAAAAGAGAGAAACAGATCCAGATACCTGGCAGAATATCTCTGCACTGTTGGCTAGTGTTAGTGAGAGGAGAAAGAAATGAAGTTACCGGAATCATAAACCCCTAGCTTGGAAGAAACATGAAGCTTCCATCTGTTTCATCCTTTTCACTTAATTCACTTACATTTAATTCAACATATCCATTCATTCATTTTTCAATAAATACAGACCAAGCACCTGCTAAGTGCTGCTGTGTTACGTGGTGGGGACGCAATGGAGAACACAACACAGTCCTTCCTTCCAGGAGCTTAGGGTGCTCCAGCTCCCACATACCCATTTTAGCAGGAAGTCTCTAATCCTACCATCTCCCCACCCCCATGCTCCACTTACTTTTCCACAAAATCTCACGGGGCTTAGCAGGAGAGCCAGTGCTTATACTCCAGCCTATTTGCCTTTAGAACCAGATGAGTTTGGGATTCAGAAGGCCAGACCCTGGTCCTGTTTCTGCCTCCTAGTCTCAACATGATCTTGGAAAAGAAAATTCTATTCATATGTGGAGGAAACTGAGCTCAGGGAAGGCTTTCCTCCTCTTGCTCCCCCAACCCCCATGTTGTGTTCAAATCTTGGCTCCCCTACCCACAAGCTGTGTGCTCATAAGCAAGTTGCTTAACCACTCTGTTCCTCTGTTTCATCATGTGTAAAATAGGATGTTGGAAGTCTTTGTTAAAATAAATGTATGTGAAATGGTTAGAATAGAGTCAAGTATATAATAAACATTTAATAGACATTAACCATTATTATTAGAGCACTGTGGACCTGTGGATCATTTTTTTCATAGTATTGATCACTGTTTGATATTACATATTTTAGTGATTATTAGATTTAATCTGCCTCCCCTCATTAGACTATAAACTCTGTAAGGGCTGTTTTACCTAGTCTCAACAGCTACTTCAGTGATAGGCACATAATAGGAGCTCAATAAATATTTGTTTAATGGGTTAATGAATGAATGAATTTCTTCCCCAACCCATCTCAGATTGCAGAGGAAAGAAGAATCTGAAGGGCTGCCAGAGCATCTGTTCCCGGAGGTTTTTTCAAACAAGTTCCAACAGCTGTTTGTGCTAGAAGCCACCATAAAAAGCATTCTTAAAAGCAAGAGGGAAAGAACAGCAGTAACGAAGAGATCTATGACCCAGCTGGGATCCTGGATCTATGGCTGCAGCAAGGCTCAGGGGAGGGAAGCGGGAGTGCAGGAAGGTAGATGCAGGGGCTGAAGAGAGGCAGACAGAGGCATAATTTTGAACCAGAGACAGAGAGATGCTCAGTGAGAAAGATGCCCAGAGAGGCAGAGACAGGCACTGAGAGGCACTCTGTGGTTGACAGAGACAAAGATGGAGTGGGAGAAGGAAAGGAGGGCAGACAAGTGTTTGAACTGGCAGCTAATTCCCCAAATCCTTGAGGGGTTTTGAGAGATAGAGAGTAATGCAGGCTTCAGCCTTGCCTGGTTGATTTATGACCAGCGAGAGTTGAGCCACAGTTGAGCTAAGCACATTAGGCGGCTGTGTGGCCTGGAACTTCTTGCAGTCATGCCTGGGACTTCCCTGGAGCAGATCGCAGGATAGAGAGGCTGTCTGCTCTAATGGGATGTGAACAGTTCTCAGAATCAGGGAAATCATAACATGGAGGACTTATACGTTTGTAATTACCCTCCGTTCTAATTGGGAGCCACACAAGAAGTTTTGATGGGAAAGACTGACCCTGTTGGCTGGGCTTCCTTCCACCCTTCCTTTTCTCCTTCTTCCCTCCTTTCTTCCCTCCTCCCTACTTTTTTCCCTCCTCTCTCTCTTCCTTCTTTCCTCCCTCCCTCCTCCCTTCCTTCCTTCTTTCCTTTCTCATTTATTAAGCATTTGGAATGTACAAGGCAACCAGGGATGTGGTGATTAGAGAAGACATGATTCTTAAGTTTTAAAGGGCTCTCAGTGGCACAGCATAAAGAGGAGAAAAGCAGGCAGCAGAATAATAGGTACAGTGTGATACCATTTATATAAACTACTTTTGTTATTTTTATTTGTTCATGATACATGTATTTAATGGATACTTATAAGTATAAAAACAGATTAGGCAGAAATTATCAAAATTTATATCTGAGGTTCCTGGGGGATGAGGTGAGGAGGAAATGAAACCTGGAATGGGAATCAGGGGATTTCATCTTCAGATGAGTGACATATTGCTTATTTTATTAAAAAAAAAGAAATCTGACAATTTTTTTTGGTTATTTTTACACGGCGGATACATGGTAATTTGGCATATACTATTCTTTTAAAGTTTCTCAGAATCCAAAAAAAAAAAAAAAGCTCAAGAAATTGAAACATTGACTGTAATTCACTGAGACAAGTCACTTTTATAGATATATTCTGCATGAATTTCAGAAGGTGGAAGCAGCAAGGATGATCAGAAGGTGGAACTTAATCCTTCTCTCTCTCGTACCCCAATCCATCTATTCCCCAGTCCATATTTTCAGGAACACATTCCCCAGGATTGATCAAAGAAGCTACTACATACTAAGTCAAATAAAATATGATGCTCATCTTCTAGCTACTACATGCTAAGTCAAATAAAATATGACTCTTACCTTCTAGAGACCTCCAAGAGTCAGGAACTTGGGTTGTTAAGGCAGGAAGGGGCTGAGAATTGGGAGCCAAAGTGAGTAGACTCCTCTGAGCATCTCTGGAAAGGAGGCACTGGCCATCCATGGTCTCTGTCTCCTTAGACACCTTAATTTGTAGGCAGGTGGTATAATGAAAAGAGCACAGGCTTTGGAGTCTGTCAAATCTGGGATAGGGGCTCCATAGTAGCTATGTGACCTTGGGCAAATTACTAAGTCACTGTGTACTTCAGTTTCCTCATCTGTAAAATGAGGACAATAATATTTCCCAAGGTTGCTGCGATGTTTAAATGACCCAGTAGAAATCAAATGACAACAAAGCCCAGCATAGTGTCCAGCAAACAATAGAGCAGCATGGGTTAGTCTCTTCCTTCCCAGGAGTAGGATTTCCTCAGTGGGACATCTGAAATATGGCTCCATCAGTCACACGCAGTAAAAGGCCAGAGTCACCAGGACTTCTTTGTCTTAAAAATCTTCCCCCATGGAGAAAGCAGCAATTTAAGTGGCAAAGATGGTGTAGACCTTGGGCCTAAACAAGTCCCATGCCTAGGAGGAGGCAGGAGTGTCAGGATCACAGAACAACAGAGCTGGAAGAGACATCACCAAACCTCACTGCACATCACCTGGAAAAAATTACTCAGATTCTCTCTCTCTCTCTCTTTTAATTCTTTTTTTCGAGACAGTGTCTCACTCTGTCACCCAGGCTGGAGTGCTGTGGTGAGATCTCTGCTCACTGCAACCTTCGCCTCCTAGGTTCAAGCAATTCTTCTGTCTCAGCCTCCCAAGTAGCTGGGACTACAGGTGTGCGCCACCATGCCCAGCTAGTTTTTTATGTATGTTTAGTAGAGACAGGGTTTCACCATGTTGGTCAGGCTGGTCTCAAACTCTTGACCTCAAGTGATCTGCCCACCTCAGCCTCCCAAAGTGCTGGGATTACAGGCATCAGCCACTGAGCCTGGCCAAATCACTCAGATTCTTAAGCCTCAGATTAGAATGGCCAAGACTGGGGTGCAGAAATCTTTTCTTCTGTGAAAACTCCCCTTAAAATACAAATTAAAAGAATGACATATCATTTTTCATCCATAATATGGCAAACAAAAATTTGAGAACATCAAACATTGTTGGAAAAATGTGTGCTCTTAACCACTGCTGGCGGGTGCAGCCGCTTTGGAGAGCAATTAAAATTGTCCAAACCCTATTGTCTGGGATCCATGTCAGAGACTTTGTACAAAGAGGCCTGCCTGAGGATCCTTGTTGAAGGACTGTTTGAAATAATGGAAAGTTGAGAACAAACGAAAGCAGAGAGGAATGTCTGGATAAACCAGGCTATACCTGTATCTCGCAATACTATCCAGCTAAAAATAATTAGGTGAACCTCTAAATACTGACTTAGAAACAGCTCCAAGAAATATCGTGTTCTAAAAAGGAAATTGCAACATCTTACATACAACATGACTTTTATGGAAAAAGAATAACAAACAGGTAGTACTCTATATATTCCGTGGGTACATCATATCCATAAATGTACAGAAAAAGATCTGTAAAGATACACACTAATCTGTTAACTGGAAGGACAGAGAGATAGTGGAAAAGGATAGTTTCGCTTTATATATAATGTCTTAACTTTTTACCAGGAGAGCATATTTATTTGCTACTTATGCAAAAATTATTGAAACAGCTTTATTGAAGTATGATTGACACATACAATATCTTGTGCACATTTAAAGCATACAATTTGACACATGAACACAGCTGTGAAACTATCACTATAATCAAAATAATAAAGATATTTATCAGTTACACCCAGAAGTTTGCTTATGTGATAAAATTCTGTCCAATGACATGTAAGTGCAATTCTGTGGAGAGACTTCTAGAAAAGGCTTCCTTTCTGTTACAAAGAGACACACAGGAAGAAAAAAACTCTTCTTTTGCTGGAGATTTTTTTTCCCTGAGTGATGCCTGGAATAGTGTGAGCCAGCTTATGACTCAGGGGAAAACAGAGTCAACTTGGGAGCAAAACCAACACACATAAGGATGGTGGAGGGAGAAAGTGGAAAGAACCTGGGTCCCTGATAATATTGCTGAGCCACTGAATTAATTAACCTTGGAGGTACCAGGTACCCTCCTTTGGAACTTCTGGTTAAAGAAATGGAATAAAATGTCTATATTGTTTAAACGCATTTGAGTTGGGTTTTCTGTTACTTACTTATAGCTAAAAGCAACCAAAGAGATGTGTTTTGAGAATTAAGGGAGAGCTGGTATCCTGGCTTTGGAAAGGAAGAAAGTCAGAGGTTAAGCAGAGGTTTGAGGAAATCAGAGATGACCACTAGAGGAACAAACATGCTCAAATAGGATGTGACATGGGAGAGCCAGGAGGGACTGCTAAAACATTTAAGTATTCCTCCTGGGTACCCATGACATCACTTGGGGGGTTGTGCAGTGGACTTTCTGAACTCAAGGGAGAAGGCAGCTTGAATTGTTGTTATTTGGGCATTGAAGAAAAGTGAGATCCTTGATGATTAAGGAGGTGGAGGCACCTGGGTGCCCCCTGAACACCCTGATTCCCAGTTTCCCCATATGTAACATGGGTATAATAGTTCCTTCCATGTCCACATACAGGGTTATTGTGAGAATGGACTATGAGCTGAGATAAGGTAGAAAGAGCTGCAAAAATCAAACACACAACACAAAGCCTCATCCCTACCATTTGTCTTCTACCCCTGTCAGAGCAAGTCTATTGAACTAAGTCCTCTGGGTGTCTCTAAGGAGCTAATACGTACAATTCAGAAGGCTTATCTACAAGAAAGCCAGAACATTTTTGGAAAGACAGATTCTTCCTTAGAACTGTTAGTGACAAGTCAGTGAAATTTCTTTCCATGTCTGGGTATGTGTATAAGTGCCCATGTGGGTAGAAATATAACCACTTATGTGTGGATGATTGCAGGATGCATCTGTGTGTGTCTGTGTCTGCATGTGTAGGGAGAGCAGGGTGTGGCTAAAGAATAATCAGAGCCAGGAGCACTTGAGGGCTAATCTCGATTCTGTCACTTCCCAGCTTTGTGACCTTGAGGAAATTCTTCAACATCTCTGAATCTCAGGTTCTCTACCTGGAAAATGTGGCTGCCATGACTTACAAGGAGACCATGATCTTGAACACTGAATTTGCAAGTTATCTGGCAAGCCATAAGGAAAATATACCTGAAATGTGTATGAATGAAGCTGCATTTGTAGTGTGTGTTTGAATGTGTGTGTGTGAGGGGGATATATATAAATAATATATGTGTAGGAGGTGGATATGTGGGTGTGTATGTTTATATGCATGGGTGTTATGTCTGATCATGGGTTAGTAAATGTGTGAGAGAAAGGGAGACAGGAGGAACAGAGGGAGGGCAGGCAGGAAGGAAGAAAGGAAGAGTAAGGAATTAGTAAGAAAGGAAAGGCTGAAGGAAGGAAATTGGGAAGGAAAAAAGGAAACAGGGGACTGAGACACGTGAGCCCAGATCTTGCTGTTCTCTCTGGAGGCCTCTGCCAACTACAGGAATGCAGACTGGAATTGGTTCAGACACCTCAGGAACTCTTCCTGGAGCCAGTCCATCTGCTGGCTCCTCTGTCCCAGAATCACCTCTTGACACTTTTCAGGAGGCTGGGATGGAAGAGGGATGTGTTCAGAGCATCAGGGTGCATTTCCTTGGCCCTCCAGTGGCTAAGGGGCTGCTCAGTCTCCAGGTGCTTTGCCTCATCTGCACCTGACCACTTGGGCCACCCATGAAGCCAGGCTCACCTCTGCTTGCTCCCTACGATTTTCACAGCAGCAGCCTCCTGCTGCCTCCCCGCATTGGTCCCTCCCATTCCTCTAGGTCACCCTGTACACTGCCACCAGGCTTGCACTCATAAGATGTAGGGTGCCCCCCGACCCCCTGCATGGCCAGCTGCCTCCCTCTCACATTCTGCCTATAGGGGGCGCTATAGGGGAAGGCGCTTAGAGGAGGGTGAAAGGAAAGAAAGCTTTATCCTATTTGTCTGTACCTGTCAGCTCCAACACAACAAAGTAGTTTGTTTCATAGTAGAAGTTGGTTCCTATTTGTAGTTTCCCCGACACTCAGAAACAATCTCATGGTGCCCCTTTAGAGACACCAATACCTGTCAGCCGGGCTGCACCCCCTTCTCAGAAACGCCTGACCCAGCTCCAAGTTTTGAAGTTTTAGTCATTTTGACCTCTTTCCTCTGCCCCGCTCCCTCAGCTGCTTCCTGCAATTACTACCTCTATGAACTCATTTTGCCTTTTTAGTTCTTTAATACCTAATAATTTTATATTTTATTTTATTTATTTTATTTTATTTTATTTTATTTTGAGACAGAGTTTTACTCTTGTTGCCCAGGCTGGAGTGCAATGGCGCGATCTTGGCTCACTGCAACCTCTGCCTCCTGGGTTCAAGCAATTCTCCTGCATCAGCCTCCCGAGTAGCTGGGATTACAGGCGCGTGCCACCAGACCCGACTAATTTTTGTATTTTTTAATAGAGACAGGGTTTCACCGTGTTGGCCAGGCTGGTGTTGAACTCCTGACCTCAGGTGATCCACCCACCTCGGCCTCCCAAAGTGCTGGGATTACAGGCGTGAGCCACCATGCCCGGCAATACCTAATAATTTTACATTAAATTCCTCCTGTTGAAATAGCTTGTGTGATGGTTTCTAGCTCATGAGTGAACCTGTCTCATATAATTTCCTTCTTTTTCTTTATACTTTTATCACCTAAGGATGCATCCCTAAACACTAAAATATTGCTTTACTAATATTAAACTTCACCTAAACGAAACCATACAGTACTCTTTGGCGTCCAACTTCTTTCATTCAAAATGTTTGTTGCATGTATTGTAGTATATCTATTTCTATTGCTGTGTGATTTTCCATTGTACAGATGTACCCCAATATATCAAGAGATTCTTCTCTTGATAGACATTTGAGTTGTTTCCAGTTTCTAGCTAATATAAATAATAAATACTGCAATGAACATTCTTATACATTTTTATTGATACCACCATGCACACATTTTTACTGGGCATGTAAGTAGGAAAGGAATTGCTAGGTCACAGGGAACGTGGACAAAAGTTTTCCAAAGTGGTGGTACCAATTCAAACTCTCATCAGCAAAACATGGTAGTTTCTATTACTCCACATTCTCACTAACTCTTCATATTGTAAGTCTTTTTTAAGATTAGCCATTCTGGTGGGTACACAGTGGCATCACACATACACCATTGTACATGTGTGATACAATGTACAACCTTTACAACCTTTTGCAATAGTAGATAGTGGTACTGCATTATTATTTTAATTTGCATTCCCTGATGACAAACGAGGTTGAGAACCTCCTCTTTTGTGAAGTTCCAGTTCAAATCTCTCCTCTGCTTTCCTACTGAGTTGTCTTTTAGTTATTGATTTGTAATCATTCTTTACATATTCAGAATATGGCCAGTTATAATTTTTATACATATCTTCTTCCACTCTATGGCTTGCCTTTTCACTTTCTTATATGATGAACAGTTTTAAAATTCTAGTGTAGTCAGAATTGTACTTTTTTCCTGTCATGATCAGTGTTTTTTTGTGTGTATTGTTTAAAAAAATTTCTCTTACATAGAAAGTACTTCTATGTTATTTTTTTAAAGCACTATTGTTTTGCCTTTCAGATTTACATCTGTGATCCCCCAATACTAATTTTTTGTATGAGTGATTGATCAATGGATTCTCATGGATTCTTTTCTGTAACCTGATATCAAATGCAAATAATGATAATTTTATTTTTTTGCTTTCCAATCCTTCTGCCTTTAATTTTTTTTCTTATCATATTGGCCAAGATTTTCAGTATAAAGTTGAATGGAAGTAGGAATAGCAAGTATTTCTGTCACATTCCACATCTCAAAAGAAACTCAGCATTTCACCGTTAAGTAGGATGTTTGCTCTAATATACTTTTCTAGATACTTTTTATCAAATCAAGAAAATTTTCTTTTATTTCTGGTTTCCAAGAGTTTTATGTTGTGACTAGATAATAAATTTTATCATATGCATTTTCTGTATCTATTGAGGTTATAATTGGATTTTTCTCCTTTATTCAACTAACATAGTGAACTATACTAATTTTTAAGCTTTATACTAACCTGGCATCCAGGAATAAACCCAATTTAACTAAGATACATATCCTAATTACATATTCCTAGAATAATTTTTGCAATATTTTGGTTAGGGTTTTTGCATTTATGTTCATGAGCGAGACTGCTTGTAATTTTCCTTTCTTATATTATCCTTGTCAGGGTTTGGTATCAAGATTATAGCTTATTTTATAAAGTGAGTTGAGAAGTATTTCATCTTTTTCTATTCTCTGTAAGAGTTTGTATAATACATTTGGTAGAATTTGCCTGTACATCATCTGGACCTAGAATTTTCTTTAAGGAAGAGTTTTAATTATGAATTATGAATAGTTCTACTGGAGTTTTCCATTTCTTCTTGTGTCTGTTTTGGTAAGTTGTGTTTTACTAGAAATATATTCACTTAACCTAATTTATTTGAAATTCATTGGTGTAAAATAGTTAATACTATGATTTTATTATATTTTAAATTCTAATTAAAATTATATGTTTATGTAGGGTATCTCTCTTTTTGTTGGTTATTTGTTTCTACTCTCTTTTTCTTCTTTGGTAACTCTTTCCAGCCATTTATCAATGTTATCAGTCTTTTCAAATGACCTACTTTTGGCTTTATTGATTCAGTCTATTGTATGATTGTTTTCTATATTATTAAATTCTGTTCTTATTTTTATTGTTTTTTCTAATTTATTTGGGATCAATTTGTTGTTTATTTTTCTATTATTTTGAGATAAATACTTTTCCAGCCTTTCTTCTTTTCTAATATGTGTATTTGAGACTATATATTTCTCTCTAAGCATATTTTAAACTGTATCCCAATGTTTAGATATGTCATATTTCAATTAACATTCAATCTAAAATAGTTTCTAACCCCCATTGTGATTGATACTTGAATCTATGAAATATTTAGAAGTATATTTCTTATTTTCAAAGTAAGAATTTTTTAAATTTATTACCCTTTTTTCTGATGAATTGAGACTTTTATATTAAGAAAAAAACCCTCTTTATCTCTATACTGCTTTTTGGCTTAAAGCCTACTTGCTATTAAGATAACTGCATCAGCTTTTTAAAAATTAATATTTGCATGGTATATTTTAATTATTATTTTCTTTTATTCTCAACCTTTTGTATTCTTAAGTTTTAGCTATGTCTCTTATAAACCATGTCTTTGTTGTTGCTTTTTAAAAATTCAGGCTGACAATCTTTGTTTTAATTGAAGCATTTAATTTATATCTAATATCTAAATTTATGTCTATATGTAAATTTATATACATTTATTCCTGACACAGCAAGAAACTCAGAATGTGTTAACTCCATTCATCTCTTTCCAACTTATATGCCATACTGTCCTGTATTTTAATTCTATACATACATATTTTTTGTTTTGTTTTATTTTGTTTGAGATGGGGTCTAGCTGTGTCACCCAGGCTGGATGCACCATATAATTTAAATACCACTAGAATGCTTACAATTCATCCATTTAAAGGGTACAATTCAATGATTTTTAGTATATTCACAGGTGTGCAACTATCGCCACAGTCAATTTTAGAACATCATGATCTCTTCAGAAAGATATCTCATACTCATTAGCTACCATCCTCTATCTCCCAACCCCAGCCCTAGTCTATGAAACCATTTATCTACTGTCTCTACAGATTTCCCTGTTCATTTCACTTTCATATGAATGGAAGCCTCATTATCTTTTTTTTTTTTCTTTTTCAGATGGAGTCTCGCTCTGTTGCCCAGGCTGGAGTGCAGTGGCATGATCTTGGCTCACTGCAACCTCCACCTCCCGGATTCTTCTGCCTCAGCCTCCCGAGTAGCTAGGACTACAAGTGCGCATCACCACACTCGGCTAATTTTTGTATGTTTAGTAGAGACGGGGTTTCAGCATATTGGCCAAGCTGATCTCAAACTCCTGACTTCAAGTGATCTGCCCGCCTTAGCCTCCCAAAGTGTGGGATTACAGGTGTGAGCCACTGTGCCTGGCCCTCATTATCTTTATATAGTAATTAATCACTTTGATTTAGCCACACATTTACCATTTTCATTCCTTCTGACTTCTCTTACCCTCTCTGTGGGATGGTTTCCTTCTACCTGGGAAAACACCAGTTACTATTTCCTTTAGTGTAGGTCTGCTGGTGATAACTTCTCTTAGACAAAATTCAGTGTGTACAAAATGTCTTTATTTTATATTCATTTTTGAAGGATTTTTTGCTAGCTTCAGCATTTTATTTTAGCAGACATTTTCTTTCATGATTTAAAAGACATCAATTCATTGTTTTCTGTCTTCCATTATTTCTCTTGAGAAGTCAGTTGCTAGTCTAATTTTTGTTCCTTTGAAGGTAATGGGTCATTTTTTGGCCGGGCACGGTGGCTCATGCCTGTAATCCCAGCACTTTGGGAGGCTGAGGCGGGTGGAACACCTGAGGTCAGGAGTTTGAGAACAGCCTGACCAACATGGAGAAACCCCATATCTACTAAAAATACAAAATTAGCCAGGCGTGGTGGCACACACCTGTAATCCCAGCTACTCAGGAGGCTGAGGCAGGAGAATCACTTGAACCCTGGAGGTGGAGGTTGTGGTAAGCCGAGATTCTGCCATTGCACTCCAGCCTGGGCAACAAGAGTGAAACTCTGTTTCAAAAAAAAAAAAGGAAAGAAAGAAAGAAATGGGTCATTTTTCTTGGGTTGCTTTTAAGGCAAAATCTCTAATTTGGGCTACTGTTAGAGCAGGGCTGGTTTGCTTCTGGTTTACCTATATTTCTGTAATATAGCTATTTCAAGTTCCACCCAGAAATGAGAGGTCCTAGACTTCAATTTTTGTCTTCTCAGCCTTGAGAGACTATCATAAGAGGGCTTCTCAGCCTCTCAGCTGCCTCATTTGGGACAAAATTCTAAACTCACATGTATAAATCTGTTCCAGCCCCCAGTCCTGTTCCAGTGATTCTTTACTACTTTTGTTAGCCCTTTGATACACTCAGTGAGATTTTAAAAAAAAATTGTCCAGCTTTTCTTATTGTTCTCAACTAGAAGTTTGCTCTGGATTCCTCAGTTCAGTATTGCTGATTATATCATATCACTTCATTTTTTACAGTTTGTTTTTCATTTTCGTAGACACAGGGGCTTGCTCTGTCACTCAGGGTGGAATGCAGTGGCACAATCATAGCTCACTGCAGACTCACACTCCTAGACTCAACCAATCCTCCCGCTTTAGCCTTCCAAGTAGCTAGGACTATAGGCATGCACCACTACACCCAGCTTATCACTTCATTTTATTTTCTTCATGGCTTTTACTGATATCTGAAATATTCTTGTTTATTCATTTGTCTGTTTTTTTTTAAATAGTCCTAGTAGGCTGTAAACCCTACAAGATCAGAGACCTTCCCTTGCTATCTGTTGGGACCCCAGGCTGCAGCCATGACCAGGCACAAATTAGGCCTCTCTCTTCAATGTCTTATACCACATTCTTCTTGCCATCTCTCTTTCTTGCCCTCACTTGTCTTCTAGCCCTTGTTATTTCCCTGTCCTCTCACTACAGGGTCTTTGCAAATGCTGTTGCTTCTATCTGGGAAGTCTTTTCCTTCCTACTTCGCTTAGTTAACTCCTCAGCTCAAGCACAACTTCTCAGGAAATCCATCTCTAACCGTCTTTCCTTGGTCAGTTGCCACCATTATATGGTTCCATAGTACTATATACATATCATTTATTGCACCTTCTACAGTTTAGACATTATTCACATTTTAAAAATAATTTTATTGTAAACGCCATGAAGAAAACTTGTCTGTTTTTCTCACTACATTGTTAGCACTTAGAACAGTGCCTAGTTCTCAGACATTTCCTGCATGAATGAATGTGGCAGTCCTTACACATTTATTCTTGTATTATCCTTATTTTATGTATTATCCTTATTTTATCCTTATTTTATGGGTGAGAACATGGGTGAATTAGAGAGTTTTAAGTTAGATGTCAGCCATACAGCGACATGTAAGTATCCTTTCTCTGTGTTTTGTGGGACTTTAATAAAGCAAGATTTTTAGGCTTAAGGCCCAGTTTCTTCATCTATAAAACAAGAATGGCAATCCAATCCATTCTCATTGGATTATCCTTAGAATCAAGTTAATTTTTGTGCATAAGAGCCTAGCACATTGCACATGGTAAATGGCCATAAAACTGTAACAGTTAATTTTGTCATTGCTGTTATTATTGTTATAAATAGTTCATGTTCCCATTGGAGACCTTCTTTCTGCAGCCCGGCTATTGGGAGAAAAGACCAAAAGTCATCTGGATCCAGAGCCTTTAGTAGTGAATTTTAGCAGTGGTGGGAGTGATGATCAGCCAGAGACATAATCAGAGGCAGGTGAGGAATTGAGGACTAGGAAGAGAGAGAAACCAAAGAGCAGAATGCCGGTGACAAAGGAGGCCCAGACTGCTCTGTCTTCCTAGTGTCAGCTGCAAATGCTCTCTAAGAAAGTCCTCTCACCCTTTCCCCAGGGACCTCCAATGTGCTTTCAGCAGGTTCCATGAGGTAGCCAGCTAGTTCTCAAGACCTGATTACATTCAATTTACTTGAATTTTTATCAGAGTGCCAGTCAGCAGTGTTCTAGATAAGCTGCCCCAAATCAAACAGAGGCCAGTAAGGTCCTGCCTTAAGCTCTTGTCTTACTCGCTATCAGTGACTCCCAGGGGACCTTGGAAAATCCAATAATCTCACAGAGCTGTTCCTGAGCCTATAGAGTCCTGGCCCTGTCAAAGCACAGTGAAAACTAGCCAAAGCAGCCTGAGATCAGCCATAGCTTTAGCAGGAAAAGTAGATGTATTCTCTGCTTTTTATTCTTGAAAGTTTCTGTTGCTGTTCAGAGGATAAAAGCAGCAGTAAATGCTTAGGCAGAGCTGCGCCTTATGGCAATTTGCTCTGAGCAGTTGTCCTGAGCAGGCCCAAAAGCCAAGACAGTGTAGCCAAGGGTCCAAGTGCGGTTTGTAACTGAGGGCTGTGTCATCCCAAGCCTGGCCCATGGGGTCAATGGCATCCTCTGCATCTTTGGAATGATTATGGGTCTGTACAGCAGGGATTGCTCCCTTGCCTGGAGTACAGCACTGCATTTGTCAGGTAAAGGAAATGGTTTATCAATAACAATAACAATTTACACTCAGCAAACTGTTATTTAACCACACGTCGATTTCATTAAGGCTGGATGACAATAATCATCATAATAACAGTGTGTGCTTTCCACTTGCCTTCCTAATAGTGAAAGGTTTTAGAGCCCAGTCCTCACTTAGTGGGCTGACATTGAATTTTGAGACATAAGCTTGTGACCAGGAGGAAGAAAGGAAAAAGTGTTGGGCAAATGTTGGATTCAAAGAACTTATTGTTGTTACTCTGATCAATTAATTGATTCATTTATTTGCCAAATATCTTTGAATACCTACCATGTGCCATGTACAGTAGGCCTCTGTCCCTCTGTATCCACAGGTTTTGCATCCACGAATTCAACCAGTCGCTGATCAAAACTATTTAAAAAATAATACAAGAATAAAAAAGAATTCAAATACCAAAATACAGTATAACTATTTACATAGCATCTACATTGTATTAGATATTATGTGTAATGTAGAGATGATTTAAAGTATTTGGGAGGATATGCATAAGTTATAAGTAAATACCTTTCTTTCTTTCCTTCCTTCCTTCCTTCTTTCTCTTTCTTTCTTTCTTTCTTTCTTTCTTTCTTTCTTTCTTTCTTTCTTTCTTTCTTTCCTGTCCTTTCCCTTCCTTCCCTCCTTCCTTCCTTCCTTTCTTTCTTTCTTTCTTTCTTTCTTTCTTTCTTTCTTCCTTTCTTTCTTTCTTTCTTTCTTTCTTTCTTTCTTTCTTTCTTTCTTTCTTTCTCTCTCTCTCTCTCTCTCTCTCTCTCTCTTTCTTTCTTTTTCTTTCTTTCTCTCTGTTGGTTTTTTTTTTCAAACGGAGTCTCACTCTGTCACCCAGGCTGGAGTGCAGTGGAGCGATCTCGGCTCACTGCAACCTCTGTCTCCTGGGTTCAAGCAATTCCCCTGCCTCAGCCTCCCGAGTAGCTGGGATTACAGGTGCTCACCACCATGCCTGGCTAATTTTTGAATTTTTAGTAGAGATGGGGTTTCATTTTGTTGGCCAGGCTGGTCTCGAACTCCTGACCTCAGGTGATCCACTCAACTTGGCCTCCCAAAGTGCTGGGATTATAGGCGTGAGCCACTGCATCCAGCTTTTCTTCCTTCCTTCCTTCCTTCCTTCCTTCCTTCCTTCCTTCCTTCCTTCCTTCCTTTCTTCCTCCTTCCTTCCTCCTTTCCTTTCCTTTCCTTTTTTTCTTTTTTTTGAGACAGGATCTTACTCTGTCACCTAAGCTGGAATACAGTGGTGCCATCAAATGGCTCACTGCCATCTCGTACTCCTGGGCTCAGGCAATCCTCCCACCTCAGCCTCCCAAGTAGCTGGGATTGTAGGTGTGCACCACCATGCCCAGCTAATGTTATTATAATTATTTATTATAATTATTATTGTATGTAAAGTCAGGGTCTCCCTATGTTGCCCAGGCTGGTCTTGAACTCTTGGGCTCAAGTGATCCTCCTGCCTTGGCCTCCCAAAGTGCTGGGATTACAGGCATGAGCCACTGTGCTTGCTGACTATGCGTAAGGGACTTGCACATCTGTAGATTTTGGTATTTGCGGGGGTCCTGGAAACAATCCCCTGCAGATACCAAGGGATAGCTGTACTGTGCCAGATGGCAAGGATACAGTAGTTGAATGAAGTAGGCTCAGTGTATGTGTTATCTATTGCCACATAACAATAAAACCACAAACTTAGAAGCTTAAAATAACATACATTTATGATCTCAGTTTCTTTAGATCAGGAGTCTGGGTACAGATTAACTGGGATCTCTCCAAGGCTACAATCAAAGTGTCAGCTAAGGATGGGTTCTTATCAAAAGATTTGACTGCGGAGGATCTAACTCCAAGTTCATGTAGTTGTTAGCAGGGTTTGGGTTTTGCAGGCTATGAGGCTAAGAGCCTCAGAGCCTCAATTTCTAGCTAGTTGTGGCTGGAGGCCACTCTCAGTTTCTTGACATGTGGTCCTCCCCAACATAGCCACTTGCTTCATCAAAGCTAGCAAGGGAAGGAGCCTAGCAAGACAGACATTGCAATCTTACATAATATCATCATAGAACTGGCCTCCCATCACCTTTGCCATATTGCATAGATTAGAAGCAAGTCACAGTCCCCTGCCACACTCTAGGGATGGGAAGATTACATATGGATGTGAGTACTAGGTCTACTATACCAGTCTCTACTGTCACTCAGTTTACAGGGAAGATAGCCATAAAATATAATTACTATGAAGTGTGATTCCGGCTATAAGAAGGGAAGAACTTAGGTAATGTCTCCCTCACTCAGTGTAATGAGGGATATTTAAGCAAGAACTTTGAGGAACTGCTCAAATAAATTGTGGGGTAAGTGTACATGGGAGTTGGGGGTAAGTGGGAAGTAGTGGGAGTGTATGATGCACAGAGGGTTCCAGGAAGAGGAGTTCTCAACTCATAAAATGTTAGAGCAATGGCCAGGCACAGTGGCTCACGCCTGTAATCCCAGCATTTTGGGAGGCCAAGGCAGGCAGATTGCTTGAGCTCATGAGTTCTAGACCAGCCTGGGGAATGTGGTGAAATCCCCATCTCTACAAAAAAATACAAAAATTAGCCAGGCATGTTAGTGCACACCTGTAGTCCCAGCTACTTTGGAGGCTGAGGTGGCAGGATGGCTTGAATCCAGGAGGCAGAGGTTGCAGTAAGCCGAGATTGTGCCACTGCACTCCGGGCTGGGTTATAGAGCCAGACTTTGTCTCAGAAACAAACAAACAAGCAAACAAACAAAAAACTGTTAGAGCAAAGGAGACGTAGTGATTATCTAGTCTCCTGGTTCTCAGTCTGGACACAACTCAGAATCACCTGAAGAGCTTTATAAACCACTCATGAGCAGGTCCACCCTAGAGACTATGAAGAATTGGTCTCAGGTGGGTCCAGACACTGGCATTTCTTACAGCTCTCCAGATGATTTTAATGTGTGGTCATGGTGGAGAACTACTGTTCTGGTCTAAATTATTTGATTTTATATGTAAGGAATTTGAAGTTCAGAAAGGAAACAGGCTGGGCGCTGTGGCTCATGCCTGTAATCCTAGCACTTTGGGAGGCTGAGACAGGCAGATCACTTGAGGTAAGGAGTTCAAAACCAGCCTGGCCAATATGGTGAAACCCCGTCTTTACTAAAAATACAAAAAAATTAGCTGGGCATGGTGGTGGGTGTCTGTAATCCCACTACTTGGGAGGCTGAGGCAGGAGATTCGCTTGAACCTGGGAGGCAGAGGTTGCAGTGAAGCTGAGATCGTTCCACTGCACTCTAGCCTGGACGGCAGAGTGAGACTCCATCTCAAAAAAAAAAAAAAAAAAAAAAAGAAAGAAAGAAAAGAAAGGAAACAGATTTGCCCAGGGATACGCAGCTCCTATTTGACAAAACCAGGGTGGGGATGTCACTGAGCTGGGAGGTATAGGAGATCTGCTCCTGCTACCAGCAGGTTTCTGTCCCTTTCTCTCTCTAGGACTCAATGTCTCTATCTGTAAAAGGATATGAGACAGACAGTCTCAGAGCCCCTTCTAATACTGGCAATTCTCTGATTCTATTTGGTTAAGTACCAGCTCCATACTAGCAGCTGACCTGAAACTGGCACCCAGCTGTCTCCACTCTGGGATGTGTCACTGGAAACCTAGAGTCAGTAATGTTGGGGACCATGGCCAAGGCCCTTCTTTGAGTGAGGCTGCCTGATAGATTTGATGTTCCTGAACATGCCCTTTTACTAAAGATAATTTTGTCTACTGAAGCATGTGAGAAGTTCACCCAGCAGGAATCTGCTCTGGCTGGGTTTAATCTATGATGTGCTTATTAGGATTAGGGTTTTAATTAAAATTGACATTTCAAAGACTACCTATGAAGAGGCCCTGTTTTAATGAAAAGCAATTCATAATGGCAAAGGTAATCTTCTCATGTGACTAGGCAGGTGACTGTGGAATTCAATTCTCTTCTCCCCTGGCTACATTCACCCATTACCTGCTGGTGTTCGTGGACCCTTCTGTGCCGAATCATCAGCAAGGCAGGGGACAGTGCCGTGGGGGCAGAGACAGTATTATTCTGGCCTCCTGGGGACCAGAACTCCCCTCCAGCTCTGGACAAATGTGTTGAGTTTCCTCACATGTAGAATAAACTGCTCTATTACCTACTTAAAAAAAAACAAAACTTGCCGAGCACTTATTCTGACTTATAACTCTTAGTCTTTCTCCTTGTGGGATTCACACAACTGGGGGTGGGGCGGGTGGCATGGAGCAGAGGCAAGAAAATCAATGTCCAGCAGGCCCTATCTCAGTGCCTGGCACATAGGAAACTCTTTTGATATTTATTGTATCCAGACGCTGTGGGAGCCCAGAGGAGGTAGCTTGAAATCACATAGGGATGGGGGAGGTAGATAAGCCATGCCTCCCAAAAGTACAGTCATTAATTAATTCTCCACATATTTATTGAGCACTGATTATATGTCAGGAGATGGGGATAGAGGGGTGAACAAGGCATTGATAGTGACCTCGTCTTTACAGAGCCTACCTTCTCATGGGAATAATACTTATAGTAATGGTAATTGTAGTAACAATGGCTTCTATTTAAAAAGCACTTCCTCACTAACAACCTTATCATATAGGTACTTTTAATATTTTCCCCTTTTACAGATGAGGAACTGGAAGCTCATGGAAGAGTTAAGGACCTTGCCCAAAGCTGCCCAGCTAGGAGACGACAGAGCTGGGGATACCCGCCCTGCACTGGGTGAATCAGAGCCTGAACCATGAACCACTTTACTATTCTGGTTTAGGACTGCAGTCACGCATAAGTGGTGGAGGGGTTAACCCATTGTGAGAACAAATATGTGTAAGTGTGTACCCGGGCATGTGCATGTGTGTGTGAGAGATGGTGAGAGAGGGAGAGAAAGTGCACTGAACAGCCACAGTGCTGTTCCTAACCAAGTCCTCCATACAGCCCAAGAACATGCCCTCTCCTCACTCCATGCTGTACTTGGTGATGCGGAGGGACCAGTCTTTTAAGACATCTGAAGGGTTAGCTGGGTGTTGTGGTGTGCATCTGTAATCCCAGCTCCTTGGGAAGCTGAGGCACAAGAATCACTTGAACCTGGAAGGTGGAGGTTGCAGTGAGCTGAGATCGCACCACTGCACCCCAGTCTGGGTGACACAGTGAGACCCTGTCTCAAAAAAAAAAAAAAAAAAAAAAGACATTTGAAGGGAAAGATGCCGCCTGCCCTTATTTGAGGGATGGCAAAAATTAATGGCAGCATATTAAGGTGAAATCTAAAAATAGAGAGGGATTCAGCTCATCAAGAAGCCCAAATGGGTCAGGCTGGGTGGCTCACGCCTGTAATCCCAGCACTTTGAGAGGCCAAGGCAGGCGTATCGCTTGAATCTAGGAGTTTGAGACCAGCCTTGGGAACATGGAGAAACCCTGTCTGTACAAAAAATACAAAAATTAGCTGGGTTCCTAGGCGTGCACCTGTTAACCTAGCTACTTGGAAGGTTGAGGTGGGAGGATCGTTTGAACCCAGAAGGTTGAGGCTGCGTGAACCATGACTGTGCCACTGCACTCCAGCCTGGTTAACAGAGTGAGACTTTGTCTCAAAAAAAGAATCCCAAAAGGCCTGGTATCCTTCCTCAGCCCTCAGTGACTTTGCCTGGGAATGAGGCAGAGTCAGGTTGGGGTGTGTCCTGGAGGAGGCCATGGTGCATGGACCAGAATCACATTCATAAGTGACAAGGTCAGGACTGAAACTAAAGTCCTGCTCTTCACAACTCCAGATTCAGAGTTCTGTCCCATTATTCCAGGTTGACATGGCCCCAGGGGAGGTGACCTCTCATCAGAAATATTAGAGAGCACCCATGCATGGCATGTGGGCTGAGCCACATATAAAATGTTTTTTTCCCTAAAATTAATGAGATAATTAATTGACTGAACATTTATTATTTATCAGACACCCTGCCAAGTATTTTTAAGACATTACTCATCCAGGTGGCAAACCCGTACCAGACATTGGATTTACAGCAGAAAAAAAGACAGGCAAGGCCTCACCTCACAGCCATGCTTATTATGTTCCTTATTTTACAGATGAGGAAACTGAGGCCCCAAGGGGATAAGGAACCTCCCAAAGTCACAGAGGTAGTAAGTGGCAGAGCTGAGATCGGAGCCCCAGTCTGCCTTCCCCGTCTCAGTATTCGGCCTCTCCTTGCAGTCCCCAGAATTTACTCAGCGAATAGTCTGGTTTGGTTCTTTGTTCCGAAAGCCAGGCTCCCTCGAAGTGCTTTTCCATATTCCCATGACCCAGCCAAACGTTACTTCCTTGCTACCACTTAGTCCGAGGGCAGACTTTCCAGATCTTTTCCTCCTGCCTGTATATCTTTCCATCTCACTCAGGCTGCTGTGAAAAACCATCCTTACCACCACCCCACAGCACTTGTTTCTTCTGTTGAAATACTCTTCCGTTTCCTTTTCCAACTTCAGAATGTCTAGTCATCCTTTGAGACCCAGTTCAACTTCCCCCTCCCCTGGGAAGCCTTCCCTGATTATCTGAAGTAGAGAGACTGTCCTTGGTGCTACCCCAACACCCACCCCCACTGGAGCACTTCTCATGGGTGTCTTGGCATATTCATGTGCGTGTCTGTCTCGCCCATTTGCCTGTAGGTTCTTTGAGGACAAGGACCACCCATGCAGCCCTAATTGCTGTTGTGTCCATAGTTCCTGGCACACACTATGTGTTCAGTAAATGCTCGTGGAATGAATGCATGAGGAGAGCACAGCCTCTCTGTCTTCTGGTCTACAGCCCGGCTACAGACCTCCCATGGTCCAGCTCTGTTCTCACTCTTTATCCTATCTGCTGACTGTGAGCTTAGGCCTTAGATGCTTCATTAACTAATAATAATGAGTCACTGTACCAGCCTCGGGAGCATTGTAAATGATACAGTGTCAGGAGAAGGCTGTGGGATGTGGAATTTCAATGAGGCTGGAGTGGTTCTTGAAACAGAGAAAATGTCACGTGCAATCTTTTTCTCTGTGATGGCTCCCATATGCCAGGCTTCAAACACGAACTTAGAGCTCTTCCATTATTCCATTCCAGTTCTAATTCTAGGCTGATGGTAGGGATTGCAAATTAGCACCACATGCCAGGTGTGGTAGGCTGAATAACAGTCTCTGAAAATATATCTATGTCCTAATCCCTGGAAGCTGTGAATGTCACCATATGTGGCAAAAGGGACTTTGCAGAGTGATTAAGTTAAGGATCTTGAGATGTGGAGGTTATCCTGGATTATCTGCATGGGTCCTAAGTGTACATCATAAGATCCTTACAAGAGGCAGAGGGAGATTAGACGACAGAAGAGGAGAAGATGATAGGATGATGGGAACAGAGATTGGAATGATGTGCTTTGAAGAGGGAGGACGGAGCCATAAGCCAGGAAATATAGTAGGCCACCAGAAGCTGAAAAAGGCAAGAAAAGAGATTCTCTCTTTAGGGCTTCCAGAAGGAACCAGCCCTGCCACCATCTTGAATTTAGCCAAATGATACTGATTTCAGACTTCTAACCTGCAGAAGAGTTAAAAGAATACATTCGTATTTTAAACAGCAAGTGTACGGTAATTTGTTACAGCAGTGACAGGAAACTAATACATCAGGCAGGCTACTACTCCCTGTCTTGGAGAACCTAATAGAATGCTTTATTCTTTTGTGGCTGTAGCCTCAGACTTATTCCTAATATAATGCTTCTGGCAGTCACTAACAACTGATCAGAGTTGGGAAGGGCAGATGAAACCCATTTGCTATCCGTGAACAGGTCCAAATATTGCCTTCAGTGGATAGGAAAATGGAAGCCTAGAGGGTGAAGCCCAGAGCCCATTAGTGGCAGGACTGTCTTTTGCAGGCAAGATGATTTTCCCTATGTCAGCCCCTCAAAAGCCCAGGTTGGTAGAGAAGTATCAATGGTGACACAGCATTCTGGCTTGGATTCAGCACCCCTGCAGGAATCCTTTCTTTTTCCCTGAAGCCAGGGCTGCTTAAAGAAATGATCCTTCTGGGGCTTTTGTCTGGCTTCACTTACTGTCATCTCCTGGAAGGCCAGGCTCCACTGCACAAACTGGGTGAGATCCCCAGAGTCTCATGACAGGCTTTGCCAAGAACTGGCCTGTCAGGGCAGATTTAGTCACCAAAGCTCTGGATGGAGATTCCAGCCACCCCGCTAATGAAGTACCAGGGGAATCTTTCTGCTTTGCTCTAATCTCTCCCTCAGGAAAACTGAGCTTGTGAAGTGAGTCTTTAGGAAAGCTGAGAAAACTGTCATCTGAGAGGTAGATTCTGGGACATTAACCTCCCCAGCAGGTGGTAAGGTTACAACCTCACATAAAACAATCACTCCTTCACTCAGATTTATTAGGCAAGTGCTCTCTAGGGGCTCAGCCTCTGGCTGAGCAGGTCATCTTCTGCTCAAAGGCCCTCAGAGGCTCACCTCTGCTTGCCAACATTTTGCTCACAGGGACATTCCCAGCTCTGTTTCATTGGGCTGCACCCTTCCTTTCTGGCCTTATTTTCCACTATTTGTCCTCTAGTATTAACGCTACAGTCAAACTCACAGTTCTCTAAGGGGGAAATGGCTTGCCCATTAGTAACAGGGCTGAGGTCAGACTGAGAAGGCCCAAGACCTGGCCATGCTTTCTATTTTTCTTCCAACACACAACCAGGCAGGAGACAGGACACTAGTCACATACAAAATTCCCAAATTCAAGTTGTAGTCTTGATTTTTATGATTATAAAATCCCATCAAACAAATCTTATTATTTGGCTTTGTAGGTACTATGGGCTAAATACAGAGAAAAGGTTTTGCATGTTGAGTTGAGAAATCTGGGTTTTGTTCCTGTCCCTGCCCTAAGAAGACTGTGTGACCTTGGGTAGTCAGTCCCTTCATCCACCCCAATCCACTTCAGTTCTGTGCAATCAATGGGCTGGACTACATGATCTTTAAGTTCCCTCCAGGAGACATTTCTATGTTTCCCCAACAGCCTGGACATGAACCCTACAAACTAGTAAGGAAGAATTCTCAGGGTGGGTGGTAACTGGGCAGGCCTGGTGAGGAATGGCCAAATCCAGGAGTTTGGCTCAGCAGAAAGAAGGGATTGTTAGCAGTGTTGCACACAGGACTGGAAAGAAAAAGTGGAATTGTGAGTCTTGGCAGAGTGAGAAGTCAGCTAACAGTGAACTTAAGCCATTCACTCCCAAGATATTCAGGAGCCCCACTCCGTGCCACTGAACTGGGTGTGGGGGATACAGCAGTGGGTGAAATGGAAAAGGTTCCTGATCTCAAACAGGCACTTCGGGTCAAGTGGGAGAAGGCAGGTATTTAAACAGGCAATCACCATACAGAGTGATGGGGCTGGGAGAGGAGATGGACAGAGCCACAGGAATAGTAGAAGGGACCCTGTCATGCTGCAGGAGGGGCCAGAGAAGGTCATCTGGAGGAATCCACCCTTAACCTGAGATATTTAGTCATTTGTGAATGAATAAGACAGAAAGGGTGTTCCAGGCAAAGGTTCAGTCTAGGCAGAAAATGACCTCCAAATCTTGGAGCTCAGAGACTAGCTAGAGTGATGGACAGAGGAAGACTGCAAGTGAGGGCTGGGCCTGGAATACAGGCAGCTGCTTTGTAGCCAGAGGCAGAGATGGAGCTAGGATAATGGGCAGCCATCTGCCTGGCCCTTTAAGGCTTACCAGTATTGATGTAAATATGGGCTGGACTCTGCAGCCTGAGCAGAGGGCAGGGGTTTGAGATCCTCAAGGTATAAGACTGAGGCTGTAGGAGTTGAAGAGCTGAAGGTTGAGTGAGGGCAACAAGGCTAACAATAGAGGAAAGAGAGAAGCAGCTGGCTTCCAGTGAGGGAAGGGAATGAACCCTCGTTGGAAACTTCCTCTGAAGCTTGGGGCTTAGCCTCAGTTTTTTCATCTCTAAAATGTGGCTTGCCCACAGGACTATGGTAAGAATCAAATAAGATCATGTATATTTAATACTTAGCAAGAAGCCTGACACACAGTGGGTTAATAGATCATAGCTATCTTTATTACTATTACATGTACATTCATTCAACAAATATTTATTGGGTGCCCTCTATGTGCCCGGCACTATTCTAGGTGTTGGGATACATCAGTTAACAAAACAGACAAAAATCCTTGTTCTTGTGGAGTTTACATTCCAGTGAACCCTCATTTCATACTCATAACCCTATGAAGAGGGTCTTCTTACCCCTATTTCATAGGTGAGGACTGGACATGGACAGGCTAAGGAACTGGTCCAAGGTGATAAAGCTAGCAAGCAGCAGAGGTAGGATTGGAACCCAAGTCCATGTGGCAGCACACCCAAGGCTCCTTCCACTACCTAACCTTACCTCTATCTAAAAGACAACACAGAAATAGCAATTGCTTGAACAGTATCAATTATATATTTTCAACCCAATTTTCTGGGATGGTTCTGACTTTAAACCCTCTGTCTCCTCTTTCCTGGAAGACACAGGTATCCATCAGGCCAGGGTTTGGAGAGGGAAGATGTGATTGCTTTACCCGTTGAGCCTACAGAAGAGGCCAATGTGAGCTGGAGTAGTGGGCAAGGTTTCCTGGAGGAGGCTAGACCTTTGGCAACAGGGAAGGGAAAGAGCCAGTGAGGGACTGAGCATGAGTTAAACAAGAATCCAGACTGCGGGAATGCACAGTGTGTGGCATTCTGTGTAGGAATGACATAAATATGTGCATGAATTGATTGTGTCAACAAATATTTACTGAACACCTAATGTGCCAGATACTGTACTAGGTGCTGAGGAATCACAGCATAGGTATACTGGGTTCCTGCCCTCACGAAGCTTACAGTGTGAGGGGGAGGAAGGGAAGAGAGGGAGAGTAAGGTGAAGGATAGGATTGAGAGCCATTGTTGGGGCGGCACATGCAGATAAGGGCATTTATCCCAACAGAGACCCATTTCCTTCCTTCTTGCTCCCCCAGGTTTGCCTCTTGGTTCTGTTCCTCCTACTCATGCTTCTGCAAACCAGCAGGGAAGCACAGACTTCTGGAAGCTGCTGATGGGCTCAGGGAGCCCCGCATGTCAGAGTGGAGGCCTCATTGAGAGCAAGGCCCCTCACTTATCCTTTGGGTGATGTTCCCTTTTGGTGTGGGTCTTTTATCTACTAGCTCAGTGCAGACAATTGATGCTAATCCAATCTTCTGGGACCAAATGAAACAGCCTGCATTTAAAGGGCTGGAGCTCTCTTTTCTGATTACCAAGCGACCTACATAATCACTCTCACCCCAGCCTGCCTGGGAGGGCACTGACGTTGACAAAGCCCAACCAAGCACTCTCTCTGCTGGGAACTGGCTACAATTTCTCCTGAGCTTGCCAAGCAGTGAGGAGACTGGGGCAGTGGGAACCTGGCCAAGGATTCCAGAGGCCTGGTTCTCGCCCCAGATCTGCAATGAACTCCCTATGTGACCCTGGGAATGTCTATTCCCATTACTACCATCCCACGATCCTCCAAGCCTCAGTTCCCCCCATGCTTTTTCTTTTTCTTTCTTTCTTTTCTTTTCTTTTCTTTTTTTTTTTTTTTTTTGAGATGGAGTCTCGCCCTGTCACTCAGGCTGGGGTGCAATGGCATGATCTTGGCTCACTGCAACCTCCACCTCCCCGGTTCAAGCGATTCTCCTGCCTCAGCCTCCCAAGTAGCTGGAATTACAGGTGTGCACCACCATGCCCGGCTAATTTTTTGTATCTTTAGTAGAGATGGGTTTTCACAATGTTGGCCAGGCTGGTCTCGAACTCCTGACCTTGTGATCCACCCACCTCGGCCTCCCAAAGTGCTGGAATTACAGGCGTGAGCCACCGTGTCCGGCCTAGCTTTTTTTTTTTTTTTTTTTTTGGAGACAGAGTCTTACTCTGTCTTCCAGGCTGGAGTGCAGTGGCACTCATCATAACTTCGAACTCCTGGGCTTAAGCAATCCTCCGCCTCGGCCTCCCAGGTAGCTAGGTCTATAGGCCTGCCCCACCATGCCCAGCTAACTAAAAAAAAAAAAAAAAAAAAATTTTTGTAGAGATGTTGTCTTGCTATGTTGCCTATGTGGGTATCAAACTCCTGGCCTAAAGCAATCCTGCTGCTTTGGCCTCCCAAAGCACTAGGATTATAGGTATGAGCCACTGTGCCTGGCCAGTTTCCCCATTTGCAACATAAGGAGGTTGAACCAGACCATCTCAAAGGTCCTTTCCTGCTCCAAGATTCTAGGTCATTCAATGACCCAGCTCATACTTACTATCACAGCCTGAAAAAGTCTCCAAGACAACTCCAGAACCCATATGATGGGTATGAAAACTTATCATGATGGTTAATAGCATAGGGATGTGTGTGTATGTGTGTGTGTGTATTTGAACATTCCCAAGGCATATTGAATTTAAAAGTCAACTTACAGGATGGTTTCTGTGGTGTCATACCACATACATGTGTTACATACATACTTTCACATATGCACATGCCTAGAATTTTCACATATCTCTGGAAGGATACATAAGAGCCTGGCAACCTTGGAGGAAGGGAACTGGGTGTCCAGGAAGGAGATTTAAATTCCACTGTACCTTTTTGTACTTTGTGATTTTTTTAAACCATGTGTGCTGCTTTAAAAATTAATAAATGATCTTAAAAATAGAGCACAGACTTTGCCATCAATTCATTTATTCACTTAAATATTTATTGAGCATCAATTATGTAGCAGGTACTGATATAGGAAATGCTAAATAAGATAACCTCTGCCCTTAGGAAGCCTACATTCTAGATAATAACAACCAAATGAATACATGAATAAATATGTAGTATAATATCAGATAGGGATAAGGGGCATGAAATACATATGACAGACTTGAATGCGAAGCCTGGCTTTGCCACTTAGAAATTGTTTGACCTTGAGTAGGTTTCTTCACCTTTTCGATCCTTAATTTTTTTCCTCTCTCAAATGGGGTTAATAATAAGTCTACCTCACGGGTAGTTATAAGAATTAAATGAAACGAGTAACAGGACTTGGGATGTAATATGTGCTTAATAAGTGTTAGTTATTGTTGTGTTTAAGATTACTAGGGGAGAAGTCTGGAGGAGAATGGACATGGCCATGAGCTTTATAGGGACTTGAAGGAGGTGGGGATGGGCAGACATGTAGGAAACAGAGCAAGGAGGGTGGATCTAGGAAGAGGTGAACAAACTGGGCTGGTTGAAGGGAGCAGGTGGTGATACATAAGAAGAGGAGGGGTGTGAGGGACCCAGCCTGGGAAAGAGAGGTGGGTTTGGAGCCTTAACAAGCACACAGCCTCAGGCAGCTGCCCCAGAATGCCTGGTCTAGTCAGAAAATGTGGGGTGCAGGTTAGTGAGGTGGGAAGCCCACTCATCCCATCTTTAGAGCCCAGGGACAGAGTCATCTAAGTATCTTGGCAGGTCTGGATGTCTGATTAAAACAAAACATCCAAGTGTTAAAGATAACAATTATTCTAATAATTGTTAATAGCCTCTGAGTAAAGTCTGCCTGTCTTTAATGTTATTATATACTAATAATATAATATATAATTATAATTATATTACAATATATAATAGCTTATTAAAGACAGGCAGACTTTATTTAAAGGGTACTACAATGGGGTTTTGCAGTAGAAGAGAAAGATCTGGCTCAACTCCGAATACAACAAAGAGTGCGGCGGGGTCAGTGAATGAAAATTTATTAAGAGGAAACATCAGGGCTAAGGGTAGACTCTGGCTAAACCAACCTAACAGGATTCTTACTGAAGGCAGGCCAGAGTTACCAGACATCATCTGGGGATGGTAGAGGGTGAGGAAGCTGATCAGATATCAATCAAATATTGAGGGTGGTGGATTCTGATTAAACTGGTTTAGCAGGATTCTTGCTAAAATTGGACAATGCAGAGGCAAACACGGAAGCCCAGAAGTCAGGGCCTAGTTGAGAAGACAGTCCAGAGGAACCCAAGTATAGTTCGGTCAAGGAAGAATCTTTGCCACAAGTATCTTCATGTTATGCTTATAGGCTGCTGGCAGGATCCATTCAAATCTTTACCCCATCCTCTATGGTGACGCCAGACTCCTCACTATTAGAGTCACTCCCTGTGTGCAGGGCAGTTGACAATGCCTGGGTGACACTATGTCAGAAGGTCTTCGCTAAGAATCTAGATGCAACCTAGGAACATAAAGGGAGGGTTTTCCCCAGGTGTTCCCAAGCCTGGCCGGGCTTCAGACTCACTGAAGGAGCTGGTTACAGCATAGACTCCTGGCCTCAGTTATTGAGAGCTTGCTCAGTAACATAGGTTGGGGACACACTAATGTCTCCTTGGAGGCCACACTGCCATGCCTAAGTAAATGATATGTGCTTCTGAGGCATATGGGCTTGGGAGTATTTCCTTCTCACTCAGCCAGATTTTGCTATGGGCCAGAGTCAAACTACGAGATCTATCTGTGATAGATAGAAACAACACGGTCACTTACTCAGTGATTTAAAGCTTGTTGGGTATATGTGCATTTATGTGTGTGCATGCGTGCCTGCGTGTTTATGCATGTGCATGCATGTGCCTATGTATATTTGTGTGTGTGCGATATGGAGTAAGAACAAGGGCAAAGGAAAGGAGCACAGGCCTGGTGGGGAGAGACAGCCAGAGAAGTGAAGTGTTTGCATCTCAAGAGAAAATGAAATTCAAAGAGAAAATTATTGCCCTGGGGGACTCTGTGAATCTCACCTGCATTCAGTGAATCTCAGTGAATTTCATTCAGGGAAGCTTTTTATGTAAATCCACACAAACAAATTCTGGGCCCTGTTTGGCGTCCTGGGAGAGTTGACTCCATTTCAGGAGCTGTGGGGGGAGATGAACCTAGCAGGAGGTCCCTCCTGAAACCCAAAGATAAGAGGCCAGCCATGGTCCACAGGGCTCATTTGACGCTTCCTGGTGATAGCTTCTTAGGCGAAAAAAAAAAAAAAATCCATGACTTTCTGACACAAACCCAAAATGTCAAAGTTTTTTCAAATTATTTTTGAGCAGCAAGATCCCGTTTTGCCCAAAGGAAGATTTAAATGGAGCCCTGAGATAGAAAAGAGAAAAAAAAGCAAGTTGCTCCAGTCCACGGATGAAAATGGGGACAGGGTCACTCTGCCCCATTCACTCATATGATGCCCATCTCCCTTCACTCATACAACAGAGGGAGCAGCACAGATTAAAAACCTTGCGCTCCTTTATCTTCCCCACTTTATAATGGACAACCTTCCCAGGCTCCTGCTGCAGTACCTACCTGGTAGTCCTTTGCACTCATCTGGGGCCACTTGGGGCTCAGTGCTGCCCTTGGCTGAAGGACCAGTTCTTCCTGGGAAAAAAAAGGAAGCTTAGAGGCCATGGCCAGCGATGACTTGCTGATTCCTGGTTGTATGCCTTTGCCTCACTGCCAAGGACATAAACTTTGAAGTCAGAGGTTTGAATCCTTGCTCTGTCACTTAAAGCTGTGTGATCTTGGGCAAGTCACTTAACCTCTCTGAATCTCTGAATCTTCCATAAAATGGACATCGTTCTCACATCTCAGGTTTGTGTGAAGAGTAAAGGGGTTACTAAATGGAAGGAGTAGCAAAGGCACATGCCTAAGTGCCCCAGGAAAGTTATAGAGATGAGTGATTGCTAAGTGGTGGCAAGCAAGGGAGCACAACCTTGAAGAAGAAGCCACCGCTCGGTACTAGCCGGTTGTTCCTGGTGGGAAGGCAGGTTCAGCAAATGCCATTTTCCCAAATTTCCAAAAAAACCCAAAAAAACCCCCAAAAAACCAAAAACCAAAAAACAAAAACACCACCCACAAATTCAGAGTTGTATATAAAACTAACTTTTAGACCTTGACAACTAATTTCCAGTTTGTAACCCAAACAAAATACACATGGAGGGCCAGGGGCTTGTAACCACAGGTGCCGAGTGACAATCGCTGGCACCTAGGAGTACATGAGCATGCTTCCTCTACCTTCTCCCCTTGTCACTATGTCCTGTCTGCCTGTTGAGCTCTGAGTTTTCCTTCTGGGAGGATGAAGAGATCTCTGTAAGTATGCCCAGCTGAGCCTGGGTCTCCAGCCACAGGTGCCCTGACCTCCCCCACGCTCTGGTGTGTTTCCTTTTGGACAATTCCAGGTGGGGTGAAGGCAGCTCAGCAGCTTCAGGGTGTGTGGGGGACCGGTAAGCTGCTTCAAAAGTGCTGTCTCCACTTCCTGCCTCTTAAATTCAAAGCCAGCCTCTGAAGGAGTGAAGGGTCTTTGCTTCGGGCACCTGAACCATGTTGTAGCAGGATTAATCATCCTCTCGGAAAGGTACTCTCTGGGCCTCCAGTGGTGTCCTTGGAAGATACGTGTCTGGAGTTGGTTCAGCTGCCTTTCACATCCCTGTGCTGGGGTGTGTGTGTGTGTGTGTGCGCGCGCGCGTGTGTGTGTGTGTGTGTTAGCAAGGCTCGGGTAGGGACACAAGGAGATTGGTCTTTATTTTTTTCCTTCCTTCCTTTCTGTCCTCCTTCTCCTCTTTTTCTTCCTAACAAAAGTCTTTTGTAGAAATGACGTATACTCATATATACTCTTTTTCCTAACCATAGGCTTTTGTAGAAATGATATATACTCACTGAAAAAAATTTCACTCAGAAATTTTAAACAAAGTAAGAAAAAAGCAAAAACAAAACGCAACAGAAAACATCGCTTCCCAGAAAAATTACTGACAACTCGGTATCTTCCCAGATGTCTCTTTATATATAGATAAACTGATACAGAAATGAGTATTTAATTTTACATAGTTGGGCTCATAAAATATCTGTGCAGTTGTGCAATATGCTGTTTCTGCTCAAAATGCACGTTGGCAGTTTATTCAGATCTGCACAGTGGCTGTGGTTGCAGAATCTTTCAGGGATGTGGCATAGATTTATTTATCAGGTCCCCTGTTGTGAAGATGCACACACTTGCTCTCTCAGTCCCCAGAGCTTCTCTAAACTCAGAACACATCACCTCCCATGCATGGACATTGGCACAGCTTCCTAACTGGCCTTCTGGCCTCCAGGCCTCCCTGAAAATCCGTGTTCCACACTGTGGCCAGAGCTAGCTGTTAACCATGCCCATCAGGTCATGCCACTCCTCTGCCTAAAACCCTAGAATCTATTCCCATCGCTCTTAAAACAAAACCCAAACCCTTAACCATAGCCTAACATGACTAACAGTTTCATGATCTGGGCCTCCCTACCTGGCTTCCTCTGACCTTTTCTCCTGCCAGTCCAAGATCATCCATTCCCGCCTCAGAACCTCTGTGCTCACAGCTCTGCTGGCAGCCTTTCCCCTGGACCTTTGCTAACTGGCTTTTTTGCCACTCAGGTCTCAGCGCTCAGGGCTCCTTCCTCACTCAATCAATGCTGATCCTCTTCTCCTTGCCAGTCGTTGTGCCATTACTCTGTTTTAAAATTTTCTTTAAAACGGTTATTTCTATGTGAAATTATCTTATTGATTTGTTTCCATGTTTATTGGAAACAAAAAGTTTGTTTAACTTTGATTACTATTGATAATTTATTTTTCCTGGTTATAGTCTCCTTTTTTGTTAGATCGCATGTTTAATAACTTTTAATCATAAGATACATATCGTGGATGTTACGTTGTTCAGATTCTGGAATTTGATGTCTTCCTTTAACGAGTTTGAGTTTTTTGGGGGTCGGGGTGGGGAACAGGCAGTTAATTTGCTAGCATATCAAAAGCCTCATCCTTTAAAGTCTTGTGTGTGTGTTTTTTTAAGCGTTGTAAAGATGTGTCTAAATTAGTTCTTTCTCTGGAACTAGAATAGCCCTATACTCTAAGCTGTGGCTTTTCTAGAATCTCAGTTGAATGAATGCTTAGGGTGTTAGCAGATCTCTCCATTCTGGACAATCAGAACTCATATGTCACCCAGAACTGTGACTTTGGAATCTGCATTCAGCTTTCAGTTCCTTTGTAGCTGTTCTCTGCCAGCCTTTGCAGAATCTAGTCCTGTGCATTTATTTTTTACATTTGGCTAAAGACCTAAGGGGACCCCCATCTACCAATGCAGATTTCAGAGCTCTTTCTATGCGCAAGTCCTTCGTGTCTGGTACCCAGACCTGCAATTCCAACTGGCTTAGCAGCCTTGAACTCTAATCTGTGCCTGCTCATCTCTGCAGAACTTCTATGCTCTGCTTGAAGTTCACCTCTCTGCGTTGTGTGGTCTGGAGCGGTGCCTTCTAGTAGAAAGCCAGGGCAACTATTTTAAATGTTGCACAACTGCAACATTTAAAAATAGTTACTTTAATATTTCTTAATTGGGGAAGGGCTGGTCCAAACCCAGTTATTATAGCACGGTTTGAAGCAGAAGTTGTATTTTTTATTTTTAGGAATTGCTTTTTATAATTTAAGTTTGTAATTGTATTAAATATTTACACGATTCCAAGTCAAATCTACCAAACAAGATTATCCACAGAAATCTAGCTTGTAATTCTGTACCTTCTACTCTATTCTCTTTATCTCTTTATATTTAGCGACTTAAAATAATGGTGATGGTTTATTTTTTATTCTTTCTTTTTAATATAAGCAGGTGTGTGTGTCTGTGTATGTTTCATATTCACCCTTTACTTACACAGTAGTACACTCTAAATACTTTCCTCTAGCTTGCATTTTTTAAATGTAACTATGTATTCTGATGATCACTCCACACTAGTATAAAGAGATAGTGCTCATTCCTCCTTTACAGTTTTACAGTCCTCAATTGTAAGAATGTCTAACTTGTCCTGTTTTGCTCAGGATTTCCCGGTTTTAGCATTGAAAGTTCTGGACAAACCAAGCAGGTTGGTTACCCAGTATGAGTATATTATAGTTTGTTCGATTAGTCTTTCTTGGATAGAGATTTAGATTGTTTCCAATCTTTTAATACCACAAATAGTTCTTCAGCGAATAGCCTTGTGCATACATCTCTTCATATTTTACCAGTGTATTTTTTTGTTGTATTTTTTAAAAATAGGATTGCTGGTTCAAAGGTAAATGCGTATGTAATTTTTCCAGATATTGTCAAATTCTTCTCCATAGGGATTGCATAATTTTGCATTTATACCAGCAGATCTCGAGAGACTGTTTCTTCAGAGATTTACCAGCAGAGAATTTGTCCAACTTTTATCTTTTTCCAATTGAATAAGTGTGAAGTTATACCCCCAGATATAGTTTTAAAATGTACACTTTTCTTATTATGAGCAAGTTTGAGTATATTTCATAAGGTTAAGAGCCACTTGCACTTCTTTCTTTGTGGACTGTTGGTACAATTCTGCAGCCTATTTTTATATAGGCTTATTGAACTTTTTCCTCTCCAATTTTAGAAGCTCTTTATATATTAGATATATGAATTCTTTCGCTGTGACATAAGCTGTAAATATTATCCCCAGTTGGTCATTTATCTTTACCCTTTGCTTGTAACATCTTTTGCTATACAAAAATTTTTTGAATGAAATCAATTTATATTTTCTCTTACTGCTTATAGATTTTGAATACAGTTAGTAATGATTTCTCCATTCCCAGGCTATAGAGGAAGCCAACTATGCTTTCTTCCAGTACTTGTATGGTTTCATATTCTTACACTTACATTTCTGATCCATTTGGGATTTATCTTGGTGAATGACATGAGGAATGAATCCAATTTTAGCTTTTTTTATATGACTATATGACTCTCTAATTATCTCAATATCTAAAAGTCTATTACTTTCCCACTGATTTGAGCTGTTGCCTTTATAATATTTTACATTTGCATATGCAATTGGGTCTTTTTCTGACTTTCCTATTCTGTTTCATTTCACTTATAGAGGCTTTATAGCATGCTTTAGTATCTGTTAGGGTAAGCCTTCCTCTTTGTTCTTCCTTTTTGATTTTCCCCACTATTCTGATTTGTTGTTCTTCCCAATGAACTTTATAATCAATTTTTTCAGCTGCGGGAAAAAGGAAAACCTGATGGTATTTTTATTAGGATTGCCTAGAGTTTATAAATTAACTTAGGGACAATTATCATTTTTATGATGTGAATGCTTTCTATCTAAGAACACAGTATCAGATGACATTTTTTATGACCTCACCAGATTAGGGAGTTGATGAAATGCTCTGTTAATCATGCAGCCAAGGACCACTGAGTTTTACAACTCCTCCTGAACCCATGCCTATGCCACCTCCTCCAGGTAGCCTGCTTTGTTTTCTAGGGAAATGATCTCTCCAGTCTCACATTCACAATTTTGACCATAGGTTCTATCTGTATATATGTGTACTCTATTTTCTCTTCTGGGCTAAGAGTTCTCTGGGAACTGGGTATGTATTGTAAATCACTATAATACTAATAAATGCTAAGTTAAGAGTAGGGTCTCTGAGCTGGGCTCTTCATATCTGTTATCTCACAGCCTTTCCCAGTTATCTCACAGCCAAAGCTAGCCCGTGTGCTTGGTCAACCTGGAAATTTTAAACATTCCAGTTTAGTTGCCAGCATTTAAAAATTCTGAGATTTGACCCCAAAATATAAATGTTCAGATTCTTTAACAGGAAAAGAAGTTGGCCGGGCACAGTGGCTCATGCCTGTAATAGCACTTTGGGAGGCTGAGGTAGGTGGATTGCTTGAGCTTAGGAATTCAAGACCAGCCGGGGAAACATGGCAAAACCCTGTCTCTACAAAAAATACAAAAACTAGGTGTGTGTGGTCGTGCACACCTATATTCCTAGCTACTCAGGAGGCTGAGGTGGGAGGATCAACTGAGCCTGGGAGGTCGAGGCTGCGGTGAGCTGTGAGTACGCCACTGCACTCCATCCAGCCTGGGTGATAGGGAGACCCTGTCTCAAAAGAAAAAAAAAAAAGAAAGAAAAAAATTAAAAGAAGTTCTGGCCATGCTGGGCCACATTTCTACAAGGCACCAACAACTAGTTGGATATGAGTACAAGCTTAGCTCAGAGATACTGTGGGTTCACTTCCAGACCACTGCAATAAAGCAAATATTTCAATAAAGTGAGTCACACTTATTGTTGGTTCCAAATAAAAAAGTTATATTTATACTATGTTATATAAAAAGTTATGTTTACGCTATACTGTAGTTTTTTAAATGTCCAATAGTACTATGTCTAAAAAAAGTACATCTCTTAATTAAATACTTTATTGCTTAAAAAAAGATCATCTGAGCCCTCAGTGAGTTGTAATCTTTATTATTATTATTATTATACTTTAAGTTCTGGGATACATGTGCAGAACGTGCAGGTTTGTTACATAGGTATACACGTAACATGGTCGTTTGCTGCACCCATGAACCCATCATCTACATTAGGTATTTCTCCTAATGTTATCCCTCCTCTTGCCCCCTACCCCACCGACAGGCCCTGGTGTGTGATGTTCCCCTCCCTCTGTCCATGTGTTCTCATTGTTCAGCTGCCACTTATGAGAACATGTGATGTGTGGTTTTCTGTTCCTGTGTTAGTTTGCTGAGAATGATAGTTTCCAGCTTCATCCATGTCCCTGCAAAGGACATGAACTCATTCTTCTTTATGGCTGCATAGTATTTCAAGGCATATATGTGCCACATTTTTTTTTAATCCAGTCTATCATTGATGGGCATTTGGGTTGGTTCCAAGTCTTTGCTATTGTAAATAGTGCTGCAGTAAACATACATGTTCATGTGTCTTTATAGTAGAATGATTTATAATCCTTTGGGTATATACCCAGTAACGGGATTGCTGGGTCAAATGTATTTCTAGTTCTAGATCCTTGAGGAATAGCCACACTCTCTTCCACAATGATTGAACTAATTTACGTTCCCACCAACAGTGTAAAAGTGTCCCTATTTTTCCGCATCCTCTTCAGCATCTGTTGTTTCCTGACTTTTTAATGATTGACATTCTAACTGGAGTGAGATGGTATCTTATAGCGGTTTTTTTTTTTTTTGAGACAGAGTCTCACTCTGTGCCAGGCTGGAGTGCAGTGGCACAATTTCCGCTCACTGCAACCTCCACCTCCCGGGTTCAAGTGATTCTCTTGCCTCAGCCTCCCATGTAGCTGGGACTACAGGAGCCTACCACCATGCCCAGCTAATTTTTGTATTTTTAGTAGAGACAGGGTTTCACCATGTTGGCCAGGATGGTCTCGATCTTTTGACCCCGTGATCCGCCTGCCTCAGCCTCCCAAAGTGCTGGGATTACAGGCGTGAGACACTGCGCCCGACCATCTTATTGTGGTTTTGATTTGCATTTCCCTAATGACCAGTGATGGTGAGCTTTTTTTCATATGTTTGTTGGCTGCATAACTGTCTTCTTTTGAGAAGTGTCTGTTCATATCCTTTGCCCACTTTTTGATGGGGTTGTTTGTTGTTGTTTTGTAAATTTGTTTAAGTTCCTTGTAGATTCTGGATATTAGACCTTCGTCAGATGGATAGATTGCAAACATTTTCTCCCTTTCTGTAGGTTGCCTGTTCACTCCGATGATGGTTTCCTTTGCTGTGCAGAAGCTCTTTAGTTTAATTAGATCCCGTTTGTCAATTTTGGCTTTTGTTGCCATTGCTTTTGGTGTTTTAGTCATGAAGTCTTTGCCCATGCCTGGGTCCTGAATGGTACTGCCTAGGTTTTCTTCTAGAATTTTTATGGTTTTAGGTCTTACATTTAAGTCTTTAATCCATCTTAAGTTAATTTTTGTATAAGGTGTAAGGAAGGGGTCCAGTTTCAGTGTTCTGCATATGGCTAGACAGTTTTCCCAACACCATTTATTAAATAGGGAATTCTTTTCCCGTTGCTTGCTTTTGTCAGGTTTGTCAAAGATCAGATGGTTGTAGATGTGTGGTGTTATTTCTGAGGCCTCTGTTCTGTTCCATTGGTCTATATATCTGTTTTGGTACCAGTACCATGCTGTTTTGGTTGCTGTAGCCTTGTACTATAGTTTGAAGTCAGGTAGCATGATACCTCCAGCTTTCTTCTTTTTGCTTAGGATTGTCTTGGCTATACAGGCTCTTTTTTGGTTCCATATGAAATTTAAAGTAGTTTTTTCTAATTCTGTGAAGAAAGTCAGTGGTAGCTTGATGGGAATAGCATTGAATCTACAAATTACCCTGGGCAGTATGGCCATTTTCACAATATTGACTCTTCCTATCCATGAGCATGGAATGTTTTTCCATTTGTTTGTGGCCTCTCTTATTTCCTTGAGCAGTGGTTGTAGTTCTCCTTGAAGAGGTCTTTCACATCCCTTGTAAGTTGTATTTCAAGGTATTTTATTCTCTTTGTAGCAATTGTGAATCATGAGTTCACTCATGATTTGGCTCTCTGTTTGTCTATTATTGATGTATAGGAATGCTTGTGGTTTTTGCACATTGAGTTTGTATCTTGAGACTTTGCTGAAGTTGCTTGTCAGCTTAAGGAGTTTTGGGGCTGAGATGATGGGGTTTTCTAAATATACAACCACGTCATCTGCAAATAGAGACAATTTGACTCCCTCTCTTCCTATTTGAATACCCTTTATTTCTTTCTCTTGCCTGATTGCCCTGGCCAGAACTTCCAATACTATGTTGAATAGGAGTGGTGAGAGAGGGCATCCTTGTCTTGTGCCAGTTTTAAAAGGGAATGCTTCCAGCTTTTGCCAATTTAGTATGATATTGGCTGTGGCTTTGTCATAAATAGCTCTTATTATTTTGAGATATATTCCATCAATATCTAGTTTATTGAGTGTTTTTACCATTAAGGGGTGTTGAATTTTATCAAAGGCCTTTTCTGCATCTATTGAGATAATCATGTGGTTTTTGTCATTGGTTCTGTTTATGTGATGGATTACGTTTATTGATTTGTATATGTTGAACCAGCCTTGCATCCTAGGGATGAAGCTGACTTTATTATGGTGGAAAAGCTTTTTGATGTGCTGCAGGATACAGTTTGCCAGCATATATATATATATTTTTTTTTTGAGATGGAGTCTCACTCTGTCACCCAGGCTGGAGTGTAGTGGCACGGTCTCGGCTCACTGCAACCTCCGCCTCCTGGGTTCACACCATTCCCCTGCCTCAGCCTCCCAAGTAGCTGGGACTACAGGCACCCGCCACCATGCCCGGCTAATTTTGTTTTTGTATTTTTAGTAGAGATGGGGTTTTACTGCGTTAGCCAGGATGGTCTCAATCTCCTGACCTCGTGATCCGCCCACCTCGGCCTCCCAAAGTGCTGGGATTAAAGGCGTGAGCCAACATGCCCGGCCTTGCCAGTATTTTATTGAGGATTTTCGCATTGACGTACATCAGGGATATTAGCCTGAAATTTGTGTGTGTGTGTGTGTGTGTGTGTGTGTGTGTGTGTGTGTGTGTGTGTGTGTCTGCCAGGTTTTGGTATCAGGAATGCTGGCCTCATAGGCCTCATAAAATGAGTTAGGGAGGAGTCTTTCTTTTTCTATTGTTTGGAATAGTTTCAGAAGGAATGGTACCAGCTTCTCTTTGTACCTCTAGTAGAATTTGGCTGTGAATCCATCTGGTCCTGGGCTTTTTTTGGTTGGTAGGCTATTAATTACTGCCTCAATTTCAAAAGTTATCATTGGTCTATTCAGGGATTCGACTTCTTCCTGGTTTAGTCTTGGGAGGGTATATATGTACAGGAATTTATCCATTTCTTCTAGATTTTCTAGTTTTTTTGCGTAGAGGTATTTGTAGGATTTTCTGATGGTAGTTTGTATTTCTGTGGGATCAGTGTGAGATCTCCTTTATCATTTTTTATTGTGTCTATTTGATTCTTCTCTCTTTTCTTCTTTATTAGTCTGGCTAGCAGTCTATCTATTTTGTTAACCTTTTCAAAAAACCAGCTACTGAATTCATTGATTTTTTGAAGGGTTTTTCGTGTCTCTATCTCCTTCAGTTCTGCTCTGATTTTAGTTTTTTCTTGCCTTCTGCTAGCTTTTGAATTTGTTTGCTCTTGCTTTTCTAATTCTTTTAATTGTGATGTTAGGGTGTCGATTTTAGATCTTTCCCGCTTTCTCCATGGGCATTTAGTGCTATAAATTTCCCTCTAAACACTGCTTTAGCTGTGTCCCAGAGATTCTGGTACATTGTGTCTTTCTTCTCATTGGTTTCAAATAACTTATTTATTTCTGCCTTTATTTTGTTATTTACCCATTAGTCATTTAGGAGCAAGTTGTTAAGTTTCCATGTAGTTGTGCAGTTTTGAGTGAGTTCCTTAATCCTGAGTTCTAATTTGATTGCACCGTGGTCTGAGAGACTGTTTGTTATGATTTCCATTCTTTTGCATTTACTGAGGAGTGTTTAACTTCCAATTATGTGGTCAGGTTTAGAATAAGTGCTCTGTGGTGCTGAGAAGAATGTATATTCTGTTAATTTGGGGTGGGGAGTTCTGTAGATGTCTCTTAGGTCTGTTTGGTCCAGAGCTGAGTTCAAGTCCTGAATGTCCTTTGTAATTTTCTGTCTCGTTGATCTGTCTAATATTGACAGTGGGGTGTTAAAGTCTCCCACTATTATTGTGTGGGAGTATAAGTCTCTTTGTAGGTCTCTAAGAATTTGTTTTATGAATCTGGGTGCTCCTGTATTGGGTGCATATATATTTAGGATAGTTAGCTCTTCTTGTTGCATTGATCCCTTTACCATTATCTAATGCCCTCTTGTGTCTTTTTTGATCTTTGTTGGTTTAAAGTCTGTTTTATCAGAGACTAGGATTGCAACCTCTGCTTTTTTTTGCTTTCCATTTGCTTGGCAAATATTCCTACATCCCTTTATTTTGAGTTTATGTTTGTCTTTGCATGTGAGATGGATCTCCTGAATACAGCACACTGATAGGTCTTGACTCTTTATCCAATTTGCCAGTCTGTGTCTTTTAATTAGGGCATTTAGCCTATTTACATTTAAGGTTAATATTGTTATGTGTGAATTTGATCCTGTCATTATGATGCTAGCTGGTTATTTTGCACATTAGTTGATGACGTTTCTTCACAGTGTTGATGGTCTTTACATTTTGATACGTTTTTGCAGTGGCTGGCACTGGTTTTTCCTTTCCATATTTAGTGCTTCCTTCAGGAGCTCTTGCAAGGCAGGCCTGGTGGTGACAAAATCCCTCAGCATTTGCTTGTCTGTAAAGGATTTTATTTCTCCTTCATTTATGAAGCTTAGTTTGGCTGGATATGAAATTCTGGGTTGAAAATTTTTTTCTTTAAGAATGTAGAATATTGGCCCCCACTCTCTTCTGGCTTGTAGGGTTTCTGCAGACAGACCCACTGTTAGTCTGATGGGCTTCCCTTTGTGGGTAACATGACCTTTCTCTCTGGCTGCCCTTAACATTTTTTTCCTTCATTTCAACCTTGGTGAATCTCATGATTATGTGTCTTGGGGTTGCTCTTCTCAAGGAGTATCTTAGTGTTGTTCTCTGTATTTCCTGAATTTGAATGTTGGCCTGTATTGGTAGGTTGGGGGAAGTTCTCCTGGATAATATCCTGAAGTGTGTTTTCCAACTTGGTTCCATTCTCCCCGTCACTTTCAGATACACCAATCAAATGTAGGTTTGGTCTTTTCACATAGTCCCATATTTCTTGGAGGCTTTTTCATTCCTTTTCATTCTCTTTTCCTCTAATCTTGTCTTCACACTTTTTTTCATTAAGTTGATCTTCAATCTCTGATAGCCTTTCTTCTGCTCGATCGATTTGGCTATTGATACTTGTGTATTCTTCACAAAGTTCTCATGCTGTGTTTTTCAGCTCTATCAGGTCGTTTATGTTCTTCTCTAAATTGGTTATTCTAGTTAGCAGTTCCTGTCACCTTTTATCAAGGTTCTTAGCTTCCTTGCATTGGGTTAGAACATGCTTCTTTAGCTCGGAGGAGTTTATTATTACCCATCTTCTGAAGCCTACTTCTGTCAATTCATCAAATTCATTCTCTGTCCAGTTTTGTTCCCTTGCTGGCAAGGAGTTGTGATCCTTTGGAGGAGAAGAGGCTTTCTGGTTTTTATAATTTTCAGCATTTTTGCGCTGGTTTTACCTCATCTTTGTGGATTTATCTACCTTTGATCTTTGATGTTGATGATCTTTGGATGGGTTTTTTGTGTGGGTGTCCTTTTTGTTGATGTTGATGTTATTGCTTTCTGTTTGTTAGTTTTCCTTCTAACAGTCAGGCCCCTCTTCTGCAGGTCTGCTGGAGTTTGCTGGAGGTCCATTCAAGACCTTGTTTGCCAGGGCATCACCAGTGGAGGCTGCAGAACAGCAAAGACTGCTGCCTGTTCCTTCCTCTGGAAGCTTCATCCCAGAGGGGCACCCACCAGATGCCAGCCAGAGCTCTCCTGTATGAGGTGTCTGTCGATCCCTGCTGGGAAGTGTCTCCCAGTCAGGAGGCAGGGGGTCAGGGACCCACTTGAGGAGGCAGTCTGTCCCTTAGCAGAGCTCAAGCACTGTGCTGGGAGATCTACTGCTCTCTTCAGAGCCAGCAGGCAGGAACATTTAAGTCTGCTGAAGCTGCACTTACAGCTGCACCTTCCCCCAGGTGCTCTGCCCCAGGGAGATGGGAGTTTTATCTATACGCCCCTGACTGGAGCTGCTGTCTTTCTTTCAGAGATGCCCTGCCCAGAGAGGAGGAATCTAGACAGGCAGTCTGGCCACAGAGGATTTGCAGTGCTGTGGTGTGCTCTGCCCAGTTCAAACTTCCCAGTGGCTTTGTTTACATTGTGTGGGGAAAACTGCCCACTCAAGCCTCAGTAATGGCAGATGCCTCTTCCCCCACCAAGCTCAAGCATCCCAGGTTAACTTCAGACTGCTGTGCTGGCAGCGAGAATTTCAAGTCTGTGCATCTTAGCTTGCTGGGCTCTGTGGGGCTGGGATCTGCTGAGCAAGAACACTGGGCTCCCTGGCTTCAGTCCCCTTTCCAGGGGAGTGAACAATTCTGTCTCACTGGCGTTCCAGGTGCCACTGGGGAAAAAAACAAAAACAAAACCAAAAAAAACAAAAAACAAAACTCCTGCAGCTAGCTCAGTGTCTGTCCAAACGGCCGCCCAGTTTTGTGCTTGAAACCTAGGGCCCTGGTGGTGTAGGCACCCAAGGGAATCTCCTGGTCTGTGGGTTGCGAAGACCGTGGGAAGAGCATAGTATCTGGGCTGGCACAGTCCCTCATGGCACAGTCCCTCACAGCTTCCCTTGGCTGGGGGAGGGAGTTTCCTAACCTCTTGAGCTTCCTGGGTTAGGCGATGTCCCACCCTGCTTTGGCTCACCCTCCGTGGGCTGCACCCACTGTCTAATCAGTCGCACTGAGATGTGCTGGGTACCTCAGTTGGAAATGCAGAAATCACCCACCTTCTGTGTTGGTCTCACTGGGAGCTGCAGACTGGAGCTGTTGCTATTCAGCCATCTTGCCAGATCCCCAGGTGAATGTGCTTGAGTTGTAATCTTTTTCTGGTGGAGGATGTTGCCTTGGTATTGATGCTGATGAATCAGGGTAGTGGTAGCTGAAGGTTGGGGTGGCTGTGACAATTTCTGAAAACAAGACAATAATGAAGTTCACTGCATATATCAACTCTTCCTTTCCTGAAAGATTTCTCTGTAGCATGTGATAATGTTTGACAGCATTTTACCCGCAGTATAACTTCTTTCAAAATTGGAGACAATCCTCTCAAACCCTGCCGCTGCTTTACCAACTACTTTTATGTACTATCCTAAATCCTTTACTGTTATTTCAGCAATGTTCATAGGATCTTCACCAGGAGTAAACTGTAACTAAAGAAACCACTTTCTTTGCTCATCCATAGGAATTATCTTCACACTTGTTCAAGTTTTCTTATGAGATTGCTGCAATTCAGTTACATCTTTAGATTCCACTTCTAATTCTAGTTTTCTTACTGTTTCTACCACATCTGTAGTTACTTCCTTCACTGAAGTCTTGAACCCTTCAAAGTCATCCATGAGGGTTGAAGTCAACTTCTTCCAAACTCTTATTAATGTTATTTTAACCTCCTCCAATGAATCATAAATATTCATTTTTGGTTTTGTTTTTTATTGAGACAGAGCCTTGCTCTGTTGCCCAGGCTGGAGTGCAGTGGTGTGATCTCGGCTCACAGCAACCTCCACCTCCTGGGTTCAAGTGATTCTTGTGCCTCCGCCTCCTGAGTAGCTGAGATTACAGACATGCACCACCACGCCCAGCTAATTTTTGTATTTTTAGTAGAGACAGGGTTTTGCCATGTTGGCCAGGCTGGTCTCAAACTCCTGTGATCCACCCACCTTGGCCTCCCAAAGTGCTTGGATTACAGGTGTGAGCCACTGTGTCCAGCTTGTTTGTTTTTTTTAGAGACTTGGTCTCACTATGTTGCCCAGGCTAGAGTGCAGTGGCTATTCGCAGGTTTGATCATAATGCACTACACCCTTGAACTCCTGGGCTCAAAAGATCCTCCTGCCTCAGCCTCCTGAGTAGTTGGGACTATAGGCATGTACCACTGCACCCAGCACAATTGTCCTTAATGGCATTTAGAATGATGAATTGTTTCCTGAAGATTTTCAACTTGCTTTGCCGAGATCCATCAGAGGAATCACTACCTATGGCTGCTATAGCCTTATAGAATATATTTCTTAAATAATAAGACTTGAAAGTCAAAATTATTCCTTGATCTGTGGGTTGTAGAATGGATGTTAGGAGGCATAAAAACAACATTAATCTCTTTATACATCTCCATCAAAGCTCTTGGGTTACCAAGTGCATTGTCAATGAGCAGTAATATTTTTAAATGAATCTTTTTTTCTGAGTAAGTCTGAACAGTGGGTTTAAAATATTCAGTAAAACATACTGTAAACAGATGAAATGTCATCAGGGCCTTGTTGTTCCATTTATAGAGCAAAGGCAAAGTAGATTTAGCATCATTCTTAAGGGCCCTAAAATTTTTGGAATGGTAAATAAGCATTGGCTTTAACTTAAAGTCACCAGCTGCATTAGCCCCTAACAAGAGTCCACTTGTCCTCTGTAGCTTTGAAGCCAGGCGTCAACTTCTCCTCTCTCACTATAAAAGTCCTATGTCATCTTCTTCCAATTTAAGGCTGTTTCATCTACATTGAAAAGCTGTTGTTTAGTGTAGCCACCTTCATCAATTATCCTAGCCAGATCTTCTGGATAATTTGCTGCAGCTTCTATGACAGCACTTGCTGTTTACCTTGTACTTTTATGTTATGGAGATGACTTCTTTCTTTAAATCTCATGAACTGATTGCTCCGGATTAGGCTTTGGCTTAAGAGAATGCTGTGGCTGGTTTGATCTTCTATCGAGATCACTCAAACTTTCTCCATATCAGCAATAAGGATGTTTTGCTTTCTTATCATTTGTGTATTCACTAGAGTAGCACTTTTAATTTCCTTCAAGAATTTTTCCTTTGCATTCACAACTTGGCTACCTATTTGGTGCAAGAGGCCTATCTTTTGGCCCATCTTGGCTTTCGACATGCCATCCACATTAAGCTTAATTATTTTTAGCTTTAGATTTAGATGTGCAACTCTTTCTTTCACTTGATCATTTAGAGGCCATTGTAGGGTTATTACTTGGCCTCATTTCAATGTTGTTGTCTTTCGGAGAATGGGGAGGCTGGAGGAAAGGGAGAGACACAGGGGAATGGCTGGTCGGTGGAGCTGTCAGAACACAAATGACATTTATTCATTAAGTTTGCCATCTCATGTGGTTGTGGCTTGTGGTGCCCCCAAACAATTTACAATAGTGACCTCAAAGATCACTAATCACAGATCACCATAACAAATATAATAATAATGAAAAATTTTGAAATACTATGAACATTACCAAAATGTGACACAGAGACACGAATAAGCATATACTGTTGGAAAAATGGCACCAATAGACTTGCTCAATACAGGTTTGCCACAAACCTTCAATTTGTAAAAAACACAGTATCTGTGAAGTTCAATGAAGCGGAGAGCAATAAAACGAGGTATGCCTGCACCTGCTGCCTCCTTCAGACCAGGCATGCACTCTGCAGTCTCCCACCCACCTCTCATTTCTGTCTGTGTTTGAGTCTGTGTTTCCTCTCCTTAAAACCACTGGAAAAGGAAGGAATACAATCCCTGGGCCTGGGACATAGTGGGTGCTCAGCAAATATTTGTGGAATGAATAAATCCCCACTTGCCAATCAGGTTCTGAGAGTCTCACTGACTTAGCAAAGGTCACATGACTAGTGGGTGGCAGAGAAAGGGATGCAAAGAGGCTCTGCCTGGCTGCACAGCCTAGGGAAGGCGTTTGACAGCAGTCCAAGTACTGGCCCACATGTCCTTTCTCACCTATTAGCTGGTTAATGGCCGCAGACTTGGTCTCCAGCCCTTAACTATCTTGCTGCTCTCAGTTGGAACAATAGTAACCGCCCCATTAACACAGGCTCTTGGGAAGGAGGCCTTGGGCCTTGGGGAATAAATGAGCCCTGAGTGACTTTACAGCTCCATAGAGTCAGGTTTGAGTCTCTTTTCCTTTTTATTTCTCTTTCCACATAGCTCCCCTAGGCCTCATCAAATCTGCTGACAGCTAGCACAGGGGAGCACTGTGAGAAGGCAGAGTGAGGGCTTCCCTAAGCAAGGTGGGGGCCCTGCACCCATGACCTAGGGGCTCCTTACAAGACCGCAGAGTGCATGCCTGGTCTGAAGGAGGCAGCAGGTGCAGGCATACCTCGTTTTATTGCTCTCCACTTCATTGAACTTCACAGATGCTGTGTTTTTTACAAATTGAAGGTTTGTGGCAAACCTGTATTGAGCAAGTCTATTGGTGCCTCTTTAGGGGGGAAGAGCAGGGTCTTCAGGTTTCCTAGGCCTCTCATTCTCCCAGGATTGAGGTGCTTCATTGCCTTAAAAAAGAAGAGCTAATTGTTTTTTCATTCAACAAACAAGTACTGAGCATCTCCTCTAAGCTAGAAGTGAGGGCTGGGGAGAATTCAATAGACATGTTCCTGTATTCTAGTAGGAGAAGCAGAAAAATGAGCCTGCAAGAAAAAATGCTCTCTCACAGAAGGAAGGTGCTGTGGGAAGGCCGAGTGGGAGGACCTGACTAATGCAGGGATGGACAGCAAGGGCTCCCCTGGTGATGCGGCCTTTGGCTTAGACCTAAATGATGAGCGGGAGGTGGCTAGGGAAGAGGGGGTTAGAGCAGCATCCCCCAGGGAGAGGAAATGGAATGTGAGAAGACCCAGAGGCAGATGTGAGGAGCTGAAAGTGGCTTAGTGGGCTGGAGCACAGAGAGGAGGTGGCAAAGGAGAAGGCAGGAAGGCAATACAGGGGCCTGGTCAAGCAGCTAACAGCTGAATTGCTGCGAGCACTTACTATTTGCTGTATTAAACATTTTCTCTGTGTAACAGGATGTTGGGGAACCTCATTCTTTGCCCTGAGATACGGGTACCTAGTTCCAGGGCAGAGGATCAAGAAGTAATGCTTTCCCCCTCTTCTGATGAGGAATGCCAGCAGTAGTGTCCAGAAGCATTCCCCAGGGAAAGCTGGAAGACAGAAGAATGAGTCCTATCACCCTGGTCAGCCCCTATATTCTTCTTTTGGTTTGCCATTGAAAACTAAGCCAGGTGTGGGTACGGTGGCGCACACACAGTGCTAGGGCAGGAGGATTGTTTGAGGCCAGGAGTTCCAGGCCTCACGCTTGTAAAATAGTCACTGCACTCCAGCCTGGTTGGAGGCAGGGAGAAGAAAAGGAAAACTAAGAAGAAAAGCAGAATTGTGGCCAGAAACCAGCAGTGTTCCTGGTAAGTTTCCTTCCATCTCCGTCCCTGAACCCCATATCCTTCCCTTCAGCGAGTCAGAAGGTGAGGCTGTGTGGAAGGGCTTCCAGGGAATCTCTCCTGCAGTTTGAGGGATCCTGCAAGAAGGGGAGAGTGACAAGTCATCCTCAGCTGAACATTTGCTGAGTGGTATAACCTGTAGGCCCAGTCTATGCTGCCATGGGAATGGAGTGTGGTGAATGAGCTCATCATGTGGGTCCCCTGCTGGGTGTGGGTCCCCTCCTCAGCATGGGTCCCCTGGGGTTTGCGAGTAAACATGGAAACTGATGCTAGGAAGGGAGGACAGCTGGAGCTTCCTGGGCCGGCAGGTGAAGAGGGAGCTGGCGCGTGGTACGTGCCTGAGGACCCAAAGGACTGAGTGGTCAGGGGTTTCTGCAGCTCCTGGTAAAGGAGACTGGGGGCTTCCAAAAGAGGCTGCAGTGGGTTGAGGAAGGCTCAGTTCACCCTGAGAAGAGAGGGACTAGTGTGGGCTGCCCCTCTCTGGGTGGTTCTCAGAGCTGCTAGTAAACTAAGTCAAATGCTACCCTAAGAAAAAGTAGACACACCACCAATACAAAGACCACCACAGCAGCAGAGGCTACCAGCACCATGTGGAAAGGCACTGGCCCTTTGGGAGGTGAGGGACACCTCTCTACCACTGCCAGGTGGTCAGATGTGTGACACATCCACTGCCTGCCTTGGATACTGGATGCTAGAGGAGGAAGGAGAGACCTAGAACAGAGATGGGAGGATGTAGACAATTGCTTTGAGATGCTAGGGAGGAGGGGGGTGAATGAGTAGGCCAAGTGCCTTCCCCACTTCTGGCCCTGTTTCTTGAGTCATGGGTCCAACCCACACCAGGAGGAGGGAAGAAATGAGGTTTAAATCAAGCAGGAGTTTTACATTAGACTGGACTTTTCATGGCCAGAATGTTTTGGTATCTGCTGAAATCATCATTACCACATGGGTAAGGTAGTGGATTTGGCTGAGTACAACTAGAAGTAAAAATAAAGGGAAAAAGGAGGCATTGCCTGTCGATGGCTTAATAAATCAGTTACCTGTTCATTGAATCCTCAAAAGATTCAATCACTGAATCCTCAAAAGAATCATATAAGGCAGGTACTGTGACAATCCCAGTTTTAGAGACGAGGGAAGCAAGGATCCAGAGGTTCCAGAATTTAATCAAAACCACATACCTAATGAGTAGCTGAGCTAGGATTTTTAACTTACACTCTTGGACTCTAAAGCTAAATCACTGAACAGCACCACTTCCTCAGAGGGGAATCTCAGCTGCTGCCCCATGCAAGCATCGCCTCTCTCTCTGAGTGAATCCAGTGGTGGGAAACTTACCATCTGCCCAGACATCTTATTCCGTTTTCAGATGGCCGTTGAAATAATCACTACTTATGTTTTCATAGGGCTTTGTAGTTACCACATATGACACTCATTCAGTAAATATTTATGGGGGGCCTACTACTGTGCTGAGGGCTGTGCAAGGTATCTGACCTCCCACCCACTCTGAGGGCTCTGGAGGCAATTCTTTCACTTTTCTTCTGTGTATGAAGAAAGGGAGGCACAAAGAGATTGATGACTTGCCTAAGGTCACACAGAGCCAGGACCACCACCAGCACCACCACCGCCAACTATTTCTTGGAGGTTTAGCACGTACCAAGAACTGTGCTAAGTGCTCTACACAGTCGTATGGGGCTTGAGAACTCCTGTTCAGTGCTCCTTCCACTGCCCCAGCTGGCTTTCCCACACTTTCATTTCTGATCCCCACTTTTCTGCATGGAGCTTCTGGCCAGAGGATTGGGTACCGGGATGCCTGGGAGCGGCATGAGTCTTAGAGAGAGGCAGATAATTTGGCTTCCTTCCCTAGCCCCGGCTCATCACACCTGCTGCTGTAGGAGAAGGCACTGACAGCTCCAAGAATGAGCCCTTGATTAACATCTCATCCTCTATAAATAAGTGAGTAAAGACACTCTGCATAAACAGCTTCACTGCTTCCCCTGTGCCCATTAGTGTTCCCCCCGCCTTGGCACTGATTTTGGGCTTTACCACTTCAAACTGTCAGCCAAACTCCTTAGCTTGGCAGTGGGTCCCCTGGCCTTCTGGTCTAGTTGAGCTGTCTTCTCTCTGGACTTACCAGTTGCCTATACAACTAGTAGCCAGTTTACCCTGAGAAGGCATGGGTTCAAATCCCAGCTCTGCCACTTTTGGCTTTGTCACCACAGATGAGTTACTTAACTTCTCTGCCATGTAGAATAGGGATGATAAAAATAGTCTGTATCCAGAAACTTACATCCTGGTTGGGAAGACAGACGCAAAACAAGGTTAAGCAGTCATGTACATGAGACTTTCCGTCAGTGATGAATAGTGTGATTGAGACTGGTTGAGGGTGGTCAAAAAGGGCTCCTCTGCGTAGGTGATATTTAAGCTAAGACACTAACCATGTGAAACAGCTGGTCCAAAGAGGATCTAAGAGCGGCTGGCTCCAGGCAGAGAAAGAACAGAGAGCGAGTAGAAACAGGGAGCCAGACTCTGGGCCAGCTCTCTGGGGAGGGCCTGGCAGGGGAAGGGACTCGTTCAAGGGGTCTCTGATGCTAGGAGATGGGTGAGAAGATTGTCCAGGCCTCTCATAAGGAACATATTGAGGGGAGATGGTGTCCTAGAGATTGGGTTGGCATTAATAAGTGGTTAAAGAATGGGGAGGAAAGACTAGGGGACACTGATGTTGTCAAGAGGCCCATAAGCAAGTTTCCAGGGGCTGGGCTGTAGCAGCACCTTCCACTGAGGAGTGGAGAGAAGGTGGCAGATTCTGCTTTCCTCTCTCCAGGTCCCCCATCTTCTCTCCCCTTTCCTAAGTTTAGCCACTTATACAATGATGTGCTGATAAGTGTTTAACAACTGGCTTTCCAAGCAAATACAAAAGGCACTGATTTATAGCTATTGCCAATTGTTGTGGTGTAAACATTCCCACCCTGGCCAATTTTAAGCTGCCAATGTAATGTCTGTGATGGAGGAGTTGAAAGAGATGTGCACAGTGAGATCTGAGCAGCTGGTGCAGGCTGGCTCCAGCACACCATCACATTTACACCTGAGTAATAATGTATACCATTTATACCCTGAGTAAGAATGACCAGCATTTACGAAGCACTCACTATGTAACAGCAACAGTTGCCAGCACTTCATATCTGCTAACTCCCAACAACCCTATGAGGTGGAAGCTCGTAATATCCCAATTACACAGAAACACAGTCTCATAGGTTCAACAACTTGCTAAGGTCATGCAGGTAGGAGATGATGGAGCCAAGATTAAACTCAGAGAGTCTGATTCCAGAGCCTGTGCTCATCAGATGAATTTATTTTTCTATTTTGATTTTTTAATGGTTTAAAACTTTTTAATTATAGTATAACTTATGTAAAGTGAATGAATCCTAAGTGTACAGCTCAATAAATTTTTACATATATACATTCTTGTAACCAAATCAAGTTATAGAACATTTTAAGTCCAGCTGGCTCCTTCATCACCCTCCCCTGTGACACTCTTCCTCCAGAGGTAACCACCATTCTAATTTTTATCAGCATAGATTCATTTTTCCTGTGCTTGGATTTTGATGTAGATGGAATCATTTGGTACATAATTTCTTGCATCTCATTTCTTTCTCTCCAGTGGTGTGTCTATGAGATTCTTCCATGTCATTGCATGTATTAGAAGTTTGTTCTTTTGCGCTATCATGTGGTATTTCACATTGTGTGAAATCACTATGAAATATGTATCTATTCTCCCATGGATGAATGTTGGGGTTATTTCCACAGAGCATGCTCATAATCACTAGGATGTACTGTCACTCAGGTATGGGTGGGATTCCCTGAGTCTTCTGAGAGATTTGCATCCTTAGCATGTGGGCTGAATGGTATCACTGACTGTGTTAGTTTCTGATTGCCGCTGTAACAAATTACTGCACACTCTGTAGCTTAAAACAACACAAATGTGTCATCCTACACCTCTGGAGGTCAGAAGTCTAAAATGGGACAGCAGGGCTACAACCCTTCTGGAAGTTCTAGGGGAAAAATCTCTTTCCTTGTCTATTCTAGATTCTGGAGGCCTCCTGCATCACTCCAACCTCTGCTTCTGTCATCACATCTTCTCTTATTCTGACACCTCTATCTTCCTGTTATCTGAATGTTGTGATTATATTGGGACTATCCCAGACAATCCAGGACAATCTCCCCATCTCAAGATCCTTAATCATATCTGCAAAGTCCTTTTTGCCACATAAGGTAACATATTCACAAGTGATGGGAATTATTAGTAGACCATGGATGGCTTTGGGGGATCATTATTCTGCCCATCACACTGGACTATCTACTAAGTAAGGAATATTGATGTAATGAACAGAGCCCTGGGGTGGGAATCGGGAGCCTGGGGTTTCAGGGTGGACTCTGCATTGAGTCTCAGTGTGACCTAGGGTGATCCCTCACCTCTCTGGGCTTTGGATAGATATAAAATGAAAAGCTGGACCAGATGATCCAACCCAAAGGTGCCTTCCAATCTCCACTTTATATGATTCTACAGAGAAGCTTTAGGCTTGGAGTTCTACCCAGCCACATTTTTTTTTTAACTGCATGTGCTCATGTCTTTCCATCCCCAGGGAAAAGGGAGTGTGCCTCCTGAGAAGACCAGAGAGGCTTACAGCATGTCACCCCCTTCCTCTCCCTTTCTCTTCCTTTCCATCACATGGCCTCTGGGCCTTTCATCCAGAATGTCTTTGAAACCTTGGTATTGTCTTGCCAGTTACCCCAGGTCATACCCTCCCACTTTCAATCTTCCTTTAAGTAGAAGTTTAAAAACCCAATTTGAAAAAAAAAAGAAATGGTTGCCCACATCATTTCAAGGGCCTGGCTGATCAAGTAGCTCCTTCAGGAGGCAGAGTGCAAAGCTCTCAGGAAGAAGTAACAGAGATGCCCTGATTACTCAGTTCTGATATAAGCACACCTGTTCTTTCATTTGCATTTGAGGGCTGTTCAAGCCAAGGACTCCCAATAGCTATTGAAAAGTGAAAGTGAGAAACCAAATTGTTTTCTTTTTTTTCCCCAAACTGGAAGCCTGCTTTGTTGGAAAGTGAACCAGCAGCTTGTTGGGCCTCCACATTTTCCAGGTGCCAAGCAGTTGATCTTTCCCAACTGAAATCTTGTGGTTGATCACCTCCTCCATCCATGCTTTCATTGATATAATCATTTATTAGCAACCACTTATTCAGAATTATTCACCACATGCTAGTTAGTGCATGTGTTTGAAGTCAGATACTCATTCGATAAATGTTTTTTAGGCATCTATTATATGTTGGGTGCTGTGCTCGGCACTGGGGACAAAATAATAAGCAAAACAGACAAGGGGCCTGGCCTCATGGAGCTTGTACTGATGGAGGAGACATATGGTAATCACATAATCCCACAAAACATGGAATTACGGACTGTGGTAAATGCCATGAAGGAGAAACTAGGGAAGCTGTGAGAGCTGATTACAAGAGGGTATGACATGGTTTAGGGGTTGGGAGAGTCTGCCTTGGGGAAATCCTTTTGAGCCAAGAGCTGAAGATCTGAAACCATAATTAACTGGGTGAAGAAGGGCATGTGATGCTACCAGGGAAACTGCTCAGGGAAAGGCCCCAAGGCAGAAGGAAGCTGAAAATATTGAGGGCTTTGAAGAAAAGCGGAGAGTGAGTGAGAAGGGTGGGGAAGGAACACATAATGGAAAGTTTTGAATTTATTTTACTTTATTTTTTTTTCTGAGACAATATCTTGTTCTGTCATCCAAGCTGGAGTGCAGTTATACAACCATGGCTCACTGCAGCCTTGACCTTCCAGCCTCAGGTAATCCTCCCACCTCAGTCTCCCAAGTAGCTGTGACTGCAGGTGCATGCCACCATGACTGGCTAATTTTTAATTTTTTTTTAGACATGGGGTCTCCCTATGTTGCCCAGGCTGGTCTCAAACTCCTGTGCTCAAGCGATCCTCCCACCTTGGACTCCCAACACGCTGGGCATGAGCCAGGCATAAGCCACTGTGCCCTGCCTGAATTTCCTAATTCTGCGATAAAGTCCGTGAACAAGTTAACTTTCAGTGTTCTCATCCATAAAATGGGTACAATAATTCCTTCCTTGCAGGGTGGCAGAAGAACTTACTGAGATAAAGTATGCAAAGTGCTTGGCCCTGAACCTGGTCTATGACAATCTTTGAATAAATGGTAGCAATTAGTTTATGACTGTGTGCAAGGTGTGCTGTTGCTGAGACGTGGGGAGGAGAGATGAATCAGATTGGATCCATGCCTTTGAGCAGCTTCTAATACAGTCAGGGAGATCAGCAATAGCTAGTCCATCAGTGTGCTATCAGAGTTTGTCTGCTGAGAGTATTGTGGGAGTCAGGCTCAGAGGAGGGAGTTCTGATCCTGTGGGGAGTCAGGAAAGACTGGTTGGAGGAAGAGGCATCTGACTCACACAATAAACATGAAGCATGCATGGAAAGCAAGGAACATCTTCCTTTCCTTCCTGCAGGAAACCAGGGAGCATCTTCGCCTCGCTGGGAGCATCTGGGAAGCAGAGAGAGAAACAGCTGTGTTCCCTGACCTTCTGTTGAAGTGCAGGAACTCAGAGGCGTCACTTCTCTTATTAATCCAGCTGTGAGCATTTTTTAGGCTAGCTGTCCCCCCATCCCTGAACCCCTGAGGAATGAGGTGCAGAGCCTCCAAACAATATCATTAAAATGCTTCCCAGGAAGAGACTGAAGCCCAGCGGGTGAGAAGCTGACAGCAGCACTTAGCCATGCCGGTGGAGATAGAGGCTGAGGCTGAGACGGGAAGTGCCTCCTGTCTGGCTCTGCACCCACTAGTGAGCCAACCTTGGACACATCCCCTCACCTCTGGGCCTTGGTTTTCTCACCTGTAAAATGAAGATTGGCCTAGATGATCTCAGATGATATTTGTTCCCCTGACATTCCATGTTTTTAAAAGGAAACTATGAAATGGCTACACTACCCCCTTGCTAAGATTTTGGGGACCATTTTTTCTGATAGGATATAGAAGAAAATGAAATGGAGGCAATTCCCCAGGTAATTCTGGCTCCCTCAAAAACCTCTTTATATGCAAAATCTACACAATTGCAAGCTCAGTTTGATTGTGAGCCTAGACTATACCTGACTAGCTAATTCACTTCACTTCCTCTTCCTAAATGTAGAACTTGCGTTGATATTTCTAAGAAATATGTGATCATGGGCAAGTCATTTAACCTTTCCAAGTCTCTCCTTCTTAAAATGAAGACATTCAACTAAATCATCTTTTTGTAGCCCTTTTGGCTCTCATTTTCTTTGCTCTTGTTTATTCCTGGCTTTGATCCTTCTGCAGCTCACTTATCTCCAGGAACAAGTGAGATATGGAAAAAGCAACCCCAGGTGGGCTAGTGTCTCCCTAAATCTCCTGTCGTGATCTGAATTAAATAATGTGTTTAATGGTGCCTTTCACAGACCAGCAGAATAGCAAAGTACTTTATAAGCACAGGCTTTCAGGCAGGCAGCCTGGGATCACATCTGGTCTCTACCACTTACTAGCTGTGTGGCCTTGAACAAGTACCGATCAATGTGAAGTATGTGTAAGTTTCCTTGTCTGTAAAATGGGAATTAGGATGGCCTATTGCTATTCTAATGAGAGTTAACTGCATATTGCTTAGAGTTGTTAGGAGGATTAAATATGTAGTGTTTTCCAGGAAATTTCTATCTACTGTAAGAGAAAACATATTTTTCTGATAAACATGCAACTGACCCTTGGTTAGGGAAATAGGGAGTGGTAGGGATTGTAGCCAAGTAGAGTGTATATTCCCTCCAAATAGGGTGGCTTACTCCAGTGACTATAACGTCGTAGGTCCCAGTGTTGCCAGGTCTGATTTTTTTTTCACAGGAAACCTGGATTTGTATGTGAAATTTCCTGAATTTTATACATTGGCTTGTATTTTTTTTTAATACTATGCAGGACAAATTAAAACACAGCTGTGGCCAGGATGTGGCCTGCAGTTTGCCAGTTTGTAACCTTTAATAAGTGCTCAATGAGTGGTAGGAAAAACCCTGATTGTCTAATTTAGCTCTCTCAACAACTCCATTTTACAGATATGGAAATTGAGGTCAAGGCTAAGAGACGTGAGATGACTTCCCCAATGTTACATGGTTGGATTATATTAGAGCCAGGATTTTAACACAGGTCTTTGGACTCCCAGTCTGGTGCTCTTTTTGCTAAGCTACAAGAATCCTTCTGGAAGATCACAGCCTTGATGCTAAGCTGCCTGGAACTGTCTAGAAGCCTCGTGGGAATTCAGGGACTGGAGACACAGCTCTCCTCACCTCTTTTCCACATATTTTCCTACAGTACTTGCAGATAACAGTAGTTTGAGGTCATCCACAGACCCTCAGCCTATGTGCCTACATGTAACACCTGCAGCTCAACAGTGGCTCAGGACAGAGTGTTGTGGGGGTGAAAGGGGGTGGCAATTCACAGCTTCCAGGCACCAGAACTGTCTCAGCAGTTCTTCTCGCCCCAAGCCTGCCAGCTTTGCCCACTTTCCGAGTTAGAATCACAAAATGTCTTTTAGTTGCAAAGCATCATAAAAGGATACAGGACAAAATAATCCTCAATACAATATAATTATAACATATAATCTCCTTTGCATTTAAACACTTGAGCTTTAGCACACTTTAAGCTAAAAATGGGTGGTTGTTTATTTTTAACAAAACAAGATTAGCAAATGAAAATACACTATCATTCTTTTTTTTTTTTGAGATGGAGTCTCGCGCTGTTGCCCAGGCTGGAGTGCAGTGGCGCGATCTTGGCTCACTGCAACCTCTGCCTCCTGGGCTCATGTCATTCTCCTGCCTCAGCCTCCTGAGTAGCTGGGACTACAGGTGCCCGCCACCATGCCCAACTAACTTTTTATATTTTTAGTAGAGACGGGGATTCACCGTGTTAGCCAGGATGGTCTCGATCTCCTGACCTCATGATCCGCCCACGTCGGCCTCCCAAAGTGCTAGGATTACAGGCATAAGCCACCGTGCCCGGCCTACACTATCATTCTTATTAGAAAGAGCTGAGCATCACTGGGCTGGGGAACTCCTTTGGGGAGCCTGATATGTCTTTCTAAATCTCCCATTGGGGCCCAATTCTCAACCTTCATTTCCATCACTTTAAATTCTAGTGCAAACCAGCCCAGCCCTCCTGTCAGCATTTCCCGGCTCTGACAAGCTCTCTGCCCATCAGGAACTCCTCTCCGCTCCATTCTAAGAACCTTGTTAGGGGTGACTAGGATGTGTAACGTTGGCAAATCGCTTCTGAAAACACGTTTCCCACTTTGGCAGGAGATGGAACAGGGACTATCCTGCTGGGGAAATGGCATGGCTTATCAGCTTTGGCCCCGACTCCATGTTCTTTACCGGGGTTTTCGTAATTTCTTTTCCCTCAATTGCTTCCTCTCAAAGGTATTTGCATTTAAACAAGAGTTTGCTCCCCTGCTGATTATTTTCCCCTTCTTTGATTCCATTGCTAAGGCAGTCAGAGTTGCTGGCATGTTGATGGCTGGATGGGCTCCATGGCAACAGCCAAGGAGTTGAATGGTGTGAACTTCACCTCCTTCCTTTTGCAGATACTATTGGCAGGGTAGGCACATTTAGGAGAAATTTCAAGGAAGTGAAAACGGAACTATTTTTCACCTCTGGGTGTCCTGGGCTTGTTTCGGAAACCTCTGGCCTGATTGAAATTCCTCAGAGAGGAGAAATTACTGTGAGTGATGTTTTAAAGCCAAATGCACATGGTTCTATCCGGGGAGAATGGTATAAGGAACAGGAAGAACAAGGTTCTAGGGTCTGTGCTGTCACCAACCAGTGGCGTGACCTTGAGCAGAGAGGTGATCTCTGGTTTACTTGGGTACTTTGCACACTGCTGAGTGAGCTCCCTGAGGGGCTTGGTTCATCTTGCATTCTAGCGGAGGAGTTCAGCATACTAAACATACAAGCTTTGTCATCAAAGCTGGTCCCAAACCTAGGTGCATTATATACAAGGCTTGTGACTTCAAACAACAACTTGATTGTTTTAAGCTGTGGCTTTCCCCAGAGGGTAAAATGGGGCTGTAGCAGATGGAATTGTTCACAATTCTTCAAACCCTCTATCTTCCATGTGATTATGCAGTGCATACATGTGCACAGAAGTAGATTTTCTCATTCAATAGATGTTGAACTTGGCCATGTGACTTGCTTGGGCCAATGGAATGTTATCAACTTGGTATGAGCAGAGGCTGTAGTGTGCTTCCAAGGTTTGGTTTGGTTCTTAACATCCTATGATCCACCATTGAAAGAGCAAGTACTTTACAGTGTCTGGTCTAAGGAGAAAGAGGACACACATGGAAGATGTGATGACTAGAACCCAATCATCAGCTTGGAGATAACCTATGGCTTGAACCTGAGCCCTTCCCAAACTAGCCTGCAGACCCATGAGCTAGAAAATGAAATGCTTTTTATCGTAAGCCACTCCGTTTTGGGGGTAGTTTGTTATGCAGTATTGTGGCCACAGCTAACTAATATAGAGAAGCTACAATAGTGAGAATTAGAAAATATGCAGGCTGGACATGGTGACTCACACCTGTAATCATAGCACTATGGGAGGTTGAGGTGGGAGGATCACTTGAGGTCAGGAGTTCAAGACCAGCCTGGGCAACATAATGAGACCCAATCTCTAAAAAATATTTAAAAATTAGCTGGGCATGGTGGCATGCCTGTAATCCCAGCTACTTGGGAGTCTGAGGTGGGAAGACCACTTGAGCCCAGGAATTCAAGGTTATAGTGAGCTATGATTGTGCCTCTGCACTCCAGCCTGGGCAAGAGAGCAAGATCCTGTCTCTGAAAAAAATAAAATAAAAAAGAGAATATGCATGTGTTACTCAGATGTTGGCTGCCTCCATGTGCCACTGCTTTGTTCAGTCTGAATCAGCTCCAAAGCAGGATTTTGTATTTGATCAACTCTCTCTGCTCCCAACCCCCCTCAAGTGTAGTACATGACCTTAAGAAGATTTTACTGAGGAGACAGAGATGGCTTATACCATGCTGTGCACAGCAACTTACATCAAATTCTTTATAAACATATCTTTTTCCCTTCAAAGACTACCCTGGGCTACCATATAGTTATTACTCTCTATCTGTTGACAAGCCCCATGCTCCCTCTGAGACCCTCCTCATCACTCTCTGCATTCTCAGAGGAAGTTAGCTTTAGCTTGCCCCCCTCCAAGCTTGTGTCCTATGTCCATCACTTAATGTCTTGAGGTACAGTACACCCACGCCCCACAGCAAGTGAGACTTCAGTTGTCCAGATCCATCCCCTGAAATGGTGTAGCAGGTAGCAGACATTATTCTTGCCTGAAGACCTCATGCAGCCTAAAAATGGGCAGGACAGAAATGCCAGGTGTTGACTCTGTTGGGTGATGGATGGGAGTTGGTCAATAAGTACCTAATATGGTTTGGCTGTGTCCCCACCCAAATCTCATCTTGAATTGTAGCTCCCATAATCCCCACATGTCGTGGGAGAGACCCCATGGGAGGTAATTGAATCACGGGGGTGGGTTTTCCCATGCTGTTCTCATGATAGTGAATAAGTCTCACAAGATCTGATTGTTTTATAAAGGGCAGTTCCCCTGCACACACTCTCTTGCCTGCTACCATGTAACACATGCCTTTCCTCCTTCTTTGCCTTCCACCATGATTGTGAGGCCTTCCCAGCCATGTGAAACTGTGAGTTCATTAAACCTCTTTTACTTTATAAATTACCCAGTCTGGGGTATTTCTTCATAACAATATGAAAATGGACTAATATAGTACCTTAGCTTCCTTTTCCTTCGAAGGAGCAACTCTGAGGCATGTTCTACACTGTGTACTTGAGGACCCAGAAGATTTGAACCCCAGGTACTCACAGCAGTCACCCTCTCAGTAATACACCCAATACTGCCTCCTTTCCCTTTCCTGTCATTCTTAACCCACTCCCTTACCATCTCTTCTCCAGATCACCTCCCAAGTAAACTACATGCATCCCGATCTTGGTCTCAGAGTCTTCTTTTGGAGGAACTCAACCTCAGACAGATGGTGTGTGTGTATAAGTGTGTATGCACACTTACATGTGTGAATGCATGTAAGTGTGTAGATGATATTAAGAGTAAGTAGATACTTTTCTTGCTATAAATACTGGTTCCCTCCTTACTTAATGTGGTGTCAGGCAGACAGTTAGCGTTCAATACTTGGTGGCCATGATGATCATGATGGTGATAACTTTGGTGACGGTGAATCTCTATGTACTTGGCATTGTCCCCCAGGAATCTTCTCCATAGACTCTTATTGCTTGTTGCTTGAACATCTGAACTCATAGGTACCTTTTTTACTTGTAATACTCTCTACCTGCCCCCAAGCCCCATTCTCCCTATGAAACCCTCCTCGTCACTCTCTGTCTTCTCAGATACAGGAAGTTAGTTGCAGCCTCTAGTCTGGCTTTAGTAGTAATAGTAACCTATAACTTCTAAAGAATATTTTAGAGTTTATAAAATGAGTTGATATTCATTCATTCACTTACTCATTTATGCAACTATTATGTTTCAAATGCCTACCACATGCCGGGCATTGACCAAGGTGCTGGAAGAACAGCAGGGACCAACACTGGCAAGGTCTGTGCCCTCATGGAACTTAGGTTCTAGTGGCGGAGAGGCACACAACAGTGAATTAATTTAAATAATATTCTAAGCAAGTATTTAAAAACACATATATTTGGGAGGCTGAGGTGGGCAGATCACTTGAGGTCAGGAGTTCGAGACCAGCCTGGCCAACATGGCGGAACCCTGTCTCTACTAAAAATACAAAAATTAGCCAGGCCTGGTGGCGGTCACCTGTAATCCCAGCTACTTGGGAGGCTGAGGCAGGAGAAACACTTGAACCTGGGAGGTGGACGTTGCAGTCAGCTGAGATTGTGCCACTGCACTCCAGCCTGGGCGACAGAGTGAGACTCCATCTAAGAACAAACAAACAAACAAACAGGCAAACAAACAAACACACATATCTTACAAACAAACAATTAAGCAAGAGCTTAGACCATGGTAAGTGCTACACAGAAAATAGAACAGGACAGTCTGATAGGGAGGGTATGGGGAGTACTTTTTAGGTGGGTGATCAGGCCAGTGACTGCAGAGAGAGAACAAGTAGCCAGAAGTTCAGGTATTTAGAGGATGGAGATTATACATTTCAACCTTTTTTATTTTAATTTTTTTAAAGACAGGGTCTCGCTTTGTTGCCCAGGCTGGAGTGCAGTGGTGTGATCATGGCTTACTGCAGCCTTGAACTCCCAGGCACAATTGATCTTTCCACTTCAGCCTGCTGAGTAGCTGGGACTATAGGCGATGTTACCACACCCAGCTAATTTTGTTTTGTTTTGTTTTTTTGTATTTTTTGTAGCAACAGGGTTTTACCATGTTGCTCAGGCTAGTCTTGAACTCCTGGGCTCAAGTGATTCTCCTGCCTCAGCCTTTCAAAGTGCTAGGACTACAAGCGTGAGCCACCATGCCTGGCTTCTCGTCTTGGAATCTTAAAACAACTTTGGGTACTTATTCTTCTTTCTTTCAGGCCTTATTTTTTTCTAATAAGGAGGCTGTGGCTTAGAGAAATCTGGTAATTTTCCCTAGGTCACAGAATATGGAACTGTCACAATTGTTTGGAGGTTACCCAGATGGTGTTGCACAGAAGATCTCAGATGAAAACATCAGGAATACAGATGATCTCTCTGTTCACCCCAAACCCCAACCCCCAGTGTTGGGGATATGATCAGCTTTAAGCCAAGTGTCACTGATGACTTCCCTCTCCCTGCTCAGTGTTCCTGGCCAAGACGCACAGCAGAAGGAAGGCAGCCCTCACCAGTCTTTCCACAACAGAGCCAGCTGGGTGCCTAGAGCAACAGACGCTGCCTGATCCACAGCAGTGGCCAAAGATGCCAGCTGCCACCTCGCAGTCTTTGGATGATGCAATGATTCAGGGAAGTGCCATTGCTAACTCATTTACACCTCTGTGCTGCATGTCACAGCCACAGAGCCGCAGCAAGGGTGCAGAGGTGGGCTTTCACTTGCAGACACTGCCAATGATGGGCAGTGGGCTGGGAAGGCTCATTCCTGCCTGCAGTCAAGCAGGTATGCCCTCCTAGTTCTCAGGTTCTGAGCTTGGAATTCCACAGCTACAGCTTTTCTGAGTTTACCACCACTCAGGCAACTAACGAGTGATGCCTGCTGTCTAAAGTTTTCCTTTATGTGGAAACAGAGGCATGGAGCAGGCAATGACTTGTTCATAGTCGCTGCAATTATGAGCACCAGCTTGAACTTAGGAACTCTTATAAATTTCTGTTTTCAACCAAGTATTGAGTGTCTGCTATGTGTCAGACACTGTGCTAGGTGCTGAAATCTCACTTCTACTGAGGAAGACAGGAACATAAATGGTGATGATCATTGCATTAGAAGTGATGCCACGGGAATAGTGTGGGGCCTCTCCAGGGGGATCTGAAGGTAGGGAGACCACACTTCTCCAGTGGTGGAGAGGGCAGACAGCGTGTATGGGGTCCTGAAGGTCTGATGCAAAGGTCATGTTTGAGCTGTTCACTGCTCTTTCCAATAAGATATAGTAGAGTCTTCCATTTATTTAAACCCATTTTATTTAAAATATTCACTTATTTTTATTTTTAGCTTCAATTTTAAATTTGAGTATTTAATCATGAAAAAAAGAAAAGCATTACCATCAACCTGTGTGACCTGTGTCAGGTCTCAAAATGTATCTGTGTCTCAATTTCTTCAAGAAGACTGAATGAGTTTAAATATATAAAGTACTTAGAACAGAGTCCTGCACTACGCTATGATTCTTGCCTTCTCTCTCAGAGGACATCAGTAGATGGAAATTGGGTGTGAATGAGCAACTGCAGCAATTCATGCACCTGCAAGCTCTAAATCCGGCCCCTGGGGGCTGCAGGTGCCACCTCTGGCCTCAGTGAGCTGAAGTCATTGATGAAGACTATACCACAATAAACTCTGCAATGCTGTTGCGAGGATCACTGTGGGATATCATTTCAGTGTATGATCATGGTGCTTATTGTTTTGCTCTCTCTCTCTCTTTTTTTTTTTTTTGAGAGGGAGTCTCGCTCTGTTGCCCAGGCTGGAGTTCAGTGGCATGATCTTGGCTCCCTGCAACCTCCGCCTCCCGGGTTCAAGTGATTCTCCTGCTTCAGCCCCCCGAGTAGCTGGGACTATAGGCGTGCACCACCTTGCCTGGCTAATTTTAGTAGAGATGGGGTTTCACCATATTGGTCAGGCTGGTGTTGAACTCCTGACCTCAAGTGATCCATCTACCTCTGCCTTCCAAAGTGCTGGGATTACAGGTGTGAGCCACCACGCCCAGCCTCTTTTTTTTTTTTGAGACAGGGTCTTGCTCTGTCACTAAGGCTGGAGTGCAGTGGCAATGATGGCTCACTGCAGCCTCGATCTCCTGAGCTCAAGCAATCCTCCCACCTTAGCCTCTGAGAAGCTGGGACTACAGGTGCGTGCCATCATGCCCAGCTTTTTTTTTGTATTTTCTGTAGAGACGGGGTTCTACCATGTTGCCCAGGTGGTCTCGAACCCCTGGGCTTAACCAATTTTCCTGTCTTGGTCTCCCAAAGTGCTGGGACTACAGGCATGAGCCACTGCACCCAGCCTTATTGTTTCTCAAAAGACAAACATGTGGCCTCTGGGTTTGTTGTTTGCTGCAGACCAGCATTTATTTCGTTTGCTAAAACACACATACAAATAAACTAACAAAAAGCCCACAGTGCAAAGCATTCCTACTGAGAGGCAAGACACACATTTAGGCAAATAAGGGGACAAAAATGATCTATCTCAGTCATGTCCAGAACCTGCTGGGCTTGTGACTGGGCTTGGAGAGGTTCTGTACAGAGAAATGACACTTTGAAGTGGTGCTTGGGCCTTTGGTGTTTGCTGGGAAGCTTGCAGAACAAACTGCCTCCTAGCATCTGATGGGAGGGGCTGGCAAAGGTTACGATAGGTCAGCTGTGAGTGGAGGTTTGGATTTCAGAACAGAGCAGTAGATGGGAACTATTATTCTCTATATTTATTTATATATACATATATGTAATTATATATCATTTATTTACATTTATTATAAATATGTGCACATCTCTTTCTCTCTCTCTCTCTCTCTCTATATATATATATATGTATACATATATATATATGTGTATATATATATATATATATATACATATATATATATATATATATATATACATATATATATATGTATGTTTTCTCCTCACCTGCATGGAAAAATATTATTCCCAAAGAGGGTCTAGCACATTGAAGACCCATCAAGAAACATCTCGGACCAATAACCAGCTGGTCCCAGGTGTTGGGGTGGACACACACAAACTGTCAAGGAAAACGAATAGCATTTGCCTGGTGCTCAGGATACAGAGTGTCTCCAAGTCCTCCCAGTGTTGGGGAGGCAGGAGGAAGCTCAGGATCTGGCACATGCCAAGGAAAAGATGACTTCCAAACCCAGTTTTGGTGCCCACTGGAGCAGAGTAGATTCTGCAGCTGCTCTGTCTCTGTGCTTTTAAGGATGTTGTCCCTTCCTTTCCCTGAGATTTTTGTCTTTTAAAGAAGGCCATCTGCCTAAAGCTACCTTTTAAAACCCTGCTCAGAGTTTGTTAATTGAATCATACCATTGCTCAAAAACCTTTAACAGTTCCCCAATGCATAGAAATAGAAGTCCAAATCCTAAGCTCGACACCCATAGTCTTCCCTAATATGGCCTTAAACCCCACCTTTCCTCTACTCCATTTTTCAACCACAGCATGCAAACTCACCAGTATACAAATAAGCCTGTATTTACCACTTCTGGGCCTTTGCAGATACTGTCTCCTCTGCCTGAAGGCCTTCTTTTCTCTTCCTTTATCCTAACCTTGTCATTTATATGACAAGATTTTATTTGACTGGCGGATCTATTATATGCTAGACATGATTCTAGTGCTATTTGAAATGACCATAGTCGTAGATTGCAGACAGGGCCACAAATTCCTCACTTCCCTGAATCCATGGCCCCTTGGCATGCCCTCCAATTCTGACTCTGGGTTTAGTCATGTGATTTGCTTTGGTCAGTGGGATGTTGGCAAATGCGATGCAAACAGAGGTCTGAAAGGGCTTAAATTATTTTTTCTTGGAAATCTTCTGTCACTGTGTGAATGAGTCTGGACTAGCCTGCTGGAGGCTGAGAAACCTGCGAAACAGAGACAATCTACCCCAGCTAAGGGCTCTAGACCAATCAGCCCCAAGTTAACCTGGCATCTATTCACAGATGCATGCCAACCACAGAATCTTGTGCTAAATAAATGGTTGTTATTTTAAGTTACACATTTTGGGTGGTTTGTTGAATATGGTAGATAAATAATACAACCACCAATTGTTTTTACCAATTTAATACCTCTTACTCTTCTCTTGGTAATAGCAAATATATAAACACCTTCCTCCGTTCTCATCTATGCTATATGCTTCCAGTGAAGTTGATTCGAACTGCTGCCTCTGACTCTGGAGATGGTCAATCAGTGTATCCCTGGCTACCAGAATGGGCACATGACTCAAGATGGTTCAGTGAGACTCAGGTCTAGAATTTTTGTTGGAATTCTTGGAATAATGATGCCATTTTTCTACTGAGATGGCTTGGCTAGGAGAATATGAGTCTCAAGAAACTGATAGTAATCTTGCCACTGTGAGGGGAGAGTCTGCCTTAGAATGAAGCTAACCACAGAAGAGAGAAGAACTGAGAGACAGAGAGTGAGCCCTGCAGACATCAGGTGACCCTGGATCAGCCTGTGCTTGCAGTTCCATCTCTCCTTGGGGTTTTCACTTACATAGGACAACAACAACAACAACAAAAACCAACTCCTATATTTCTGCTTAGCCAGTATGAATGGAATCTGTCATGTACAACCAAAAGTTTCTGATGGATACACTGCTCGAATGCTACCTTCTCCAAGAAACTACCTTGTCTCCTAGCAAGAATGGGGGTTCATACAGATTTTTGCATGTGGTCAAGAACACTAATTTCAAATCAGAGACACCTGAGTTCAGATCCTGGGTTTGCCATTTGCTAGCTGTGGATACCAGGCAAGCAACTTAATATCACCAAGCCTGGATCAAATGGCTACTTTAATATTAGACACACACAGGATTGTTGTGAAGGTTACATGAAGCAACTGTATGTGTAAATCACTTGGTACACATTTAGCAATTGCTATTATTGTGAAAAAAATTAATTATTCCTTACTTCCTGATGGCAAGAATAGTGGCTTAAATAGTCCTTTATTCCTTGTCATTTTTTTTTCTGAATTCAATGTATTATGTAAGACTTTAAACACAGTAGAGGCACAACTTTTTATATGTGGGTTCCTTGGGCAGGATAATAAGTTATATGTCCTTTCATCAGAACAACCCTGATCACTTTCTTCCTGGTTATCAATCAGCCCAAGGGTGGAAAATGGTTGATCTGGAGAAGGTATCAGGTTGTAATCTCAATTACCTAGCATAATTTTCTGGTCTTCTCCTTTGGAACCCACTGGGAACATAAAATATTATCTCTGTTAGTAGCATAGCATGGTCCCAGAGCAGAAGCCTGATAAAGCCAAATGTGCACTAGTGATACACATGTGACTGTGGGAAGAATGCAGCTGCTTGTCAGCAGGGTGGCTACAATGGACATTGGTTTTTGTTGTCTGCTTGTCTCCTTTCCTCCTTCTTTTGAAGCTGCAAGTCGAATTTCATGCAGAAATAACCCTGCTCCATCTCTCAACCAGTGCGATATTGGAGTGCTAGGCTTTCCCCCAGCTCCAGCTATGGGTCCTTGAATCAGGCATGGCCAGTCAGTGCTTGTCCCACCTCACTGACTCCAGGCCAATGGGTGTGAGTCCTGGGACTTTTGCTGGAACCATTGAGACAAAGAAGCTCTCTTTTCACTGGGGTTGCTAGGCTAGAAGAATGAAGCCAAGAGTTTGTGGTTCCCATCTTGCAACCAAGAGCAAGAGCCTATGTTGGTGTGTGTGTATATACAGGGCCAGGGAGAGAGGGGAGGAAGTAGTGGAGATGGCAACACAGGAAAGCCAAGGCAAGCGATGGACTGCCAGGACATGTTTTAGTTCCTCTATCCAGCCATACCTGAAGACCAACTTACCCCTAGACTTTTGAGTTACTTGAGCTAACGTATTCTCTTTTTTATTTAAGCCAGTCAAAATTGGGTTCTGTCATGGAAAGAATCCTAAACAACTTCTCTGAGCCTCAGTTTTGTCTTCTGCTAAATGGAATTTAATAACACCACTCCTACACATATAAGATGTTGAACACAATGCTGGCACATAGTAGTAACTGTCCTTCTTCCTCTGAGCTCTGGGAGTGAAGGTGACTATGCCCCCTTTTTTACATGCAGCAGCTCAACCTTTGTTGGCCAGATGACTAAAAATTGCTCAGAAGGCTGACAGAAGGGCCAGCAACCTTCTTTCCCTGATGCAAATAGCATCATTTCTTCTGGGTAGACGGAAGAGCTCAGCAGAATGTGTATTTGTCCCTGAGCTCTGGTTTTTGATTGCCACCTGGATGTGCCCAACAGGTAGCCTGCTGTGTTCTACATGCCACAGCCAGATGATAAACCTTTGATTTTTGCTCTTCTCTGATTCTTGGGAATAATGGGGTCCATAATGAATTACATCCCCAAGAATAGCTGTAATTGTAACAATGCCAGAGAAACGGAGCTGGCAAATCAGCCAGTCCTGTGAAATGCACCTACTTGGTTCCAATCACTCTCTTTGGAATGAATACCATCCTTATTTGTTTTTTTGTATCCCAAATTTCTAATAAGCAGTGGGCTTTCTGTGGGAAGTGGAGAATAAAAACCAGACATACGGGAGGTTTTATTCTCAGTTTGAGTGCTTTATTCCCTTGTATGTGCAATTTCCCTAGGAATTTGGTCACAGGGAAAGAAGATTTCTGCAACCCTTCTTGCTGCCACCAACCCTATATCATGTCAAGGAACTGACACCTGCCTTACCTGGAGATGCAGAATCATTTGTATGCTGTCCAAGGTGCTGATAAGTGGTACTCTTATGGAAATCGCCAGGGGAGCAGCTTGGCTCAGCTCAAAGGCTGTACTGTCCACAGTCAGGGAGAGGTATGGCTAGGGTTCCAGGCTGCAGGGTTGGTAGGAAGGGGAAGCTCCTGGGCACTCTGAGTCTTTTCTTGTCAGCATGTCTTCTTGGAAGGCCATATTCATCTTGGCTCTCTCTCAGACCCTGGAATCTACACAGAACAAAATAATGAGCAGTCCAGGGTCAGGACGGTAAATATGATTTCTAATACTCAACTGGAATGGTAGGTAAACATAAGCAAATTTAGTACCAATTATATTTAGTAGTTGCCACTATTGCTCGTGTATTATGTGTCAGGCACTGTATGATAAGTATGCTGTATCATTTTCTCATGTAATCCTTATGACAAACCAGTAAGTAGGTACAATTATTGTCCCTATATTTTAGTCAAAAAAAACTCCTGGAACTTAAAAAGAAAAAATAGTTTGACCGAGGGCAATAGATTGGTTTTGCACTCAGGTCTGCCAGACACCACGAGAACCTGACCTTTTAACCATCATGTTCTGCCTGGTAAACGTGCTCAAGGAGGGGTTCTAGAATACATGGGAAGGTCAGCCCCTGGCTCATCTGGCAATTAAAGGCAAGGCACTTTCTCATGGAGCTTTGAATTCTCCAGCTGTAAAATTAATGGGTTAGCTCTAAGCCCTTGAATTAACCAGGTAGCCCTGTTTTAGTGGTGAGCTCCCTGTCCCTGGATGTAAGCTTGAAGCATAGCTAGGGAACCACATGGCAACAACATGACAGAAGGGGTTCAATCACAGGACAGCAAGATGGGTCCACACGACCTTTACTGTTCTTTCTTCTATGAGAGTCTTATGCCAATTTGTCTTAAAAATTGAAATTTTCAAATTTTCAAATTGAAAAGGCCAATGCTTGTGCTCCCTAGGACCTGATCTTGCCAATTTTGAGGCTGCTCTATTTGTCTGCTGCAATTTGCTATGGTGACTCAGCAGGAGGCAGGGAGGAGGCACGACAGCCAGCGCTCAGCCTTCCTCCTGAAGATGTTGCTTGGCTAAGGGAGGGGACACTGGGTGGGAGGTCCCCAAGATAATTGCTCTGAATATATTTGTTGCTGATGTTCCCTTTGTCTTCAGCAGGCGCCAGATTTCCCCACTCTAGCCGAGTTCTCACTTGGTTGAACATTCGAACAAACGCCCATTAGGGAAGCTTGTCACTTTCTCATTTGAGGGAAATGTCTGACGCAGAAGGGCAGGTACCACTTAAAATGTCAAGGCAGCAGTGTAGCTAGCAGGTAAATTTCTGTGTAAAACTCCACTTTCTGCTTTGGAGAAAGGAAATGATGTTAGGATTCTTGTATGGCAGTCAGCCACGAAGACTATCTTGAGCTGGAGAGGAAGGGGTAAATGATCTCAGTAATCCAGACAGTTCTTTCATCAGTTTAAGATTCCAGTGCTTACTCCCCCAAACCCCAACATTTCTGGTCTTCATTCAAGGCACCCTGTTCTCCTTCCAAGGCTCCTCTTCATATTCCCCATTAATCAACACTTCTTCCATCATTACCTCCCCTATCTCTACAGCAATGTCCACATTCCTCTCAGAATAATGTCCTAACTTATCTTCCTGACCCTAACTTCTCTGAGTGACAGTCTATTCTACAGGCAGTCCTCAACATCAGCTTCCCAGCATAGAAAATTTCAATGGTTTCTTGAGTGTTTACAGAAAACAAAAGACACCTCCCCAACAACCCCCAAGCCTAACACTTATGAGTGCTTGCTGCATGATGCCAGGTGCTTCATGCATTAACTTGTTTTTCACAACAGCACTATGAGTTGGGTACTAATAAGTACATATTACAGCTGAGTAACATGAGGCTGAGATATTAAATAACCTGCTTAAGAGCTCCCTACTTGTAAGCTCCTAACCCAGATTTAAACCAAAGTGGTCTGCATTTTTCTCCCACTTTCTTTTATTATTACTATTCATAGACTATTTTTTAGAGATTTTTACGTTTACAGAAAAACTGAGCAGAAATTATAGTTCCTATATACTCTCTTATCCCCACCTCAGTTTCCCCTAACATCTTGCCTTAGTGTGGTTTATTTATTATAAATAATGAATCTACACTGACACATCATAGTCACCCAGTCCATAGTTTACAGCAGGATTCACTCTTGGTGTTGCACGTTCTGTGGGTTTTGGCAAATGTGTAATGACATGTATCTACCTTATACTATTATACAGAAAAGTTTCACAGCCCTAAAAATGCCCTGTCTCCCACCTATTCATCCCCTCCTTCCTCTCCCCATACTTCTGGCAACCACTGATCTTTTCACTGTCTTCATAGATTTGCCTTTTCCAGTTGTCATATATTTAAAAGCATGCAGTAGTACATAGTCTTTTCAGATTGGCTTCTCTCACTTAGCAATATGCATTTAATGTTCCTCTATGTCTTTCTGTGGCTTGATAGCTCATTTCTTCTTCTTCTTCTTTTTTTTTTTTTTTTTGCTGAGTAATATTCTATTGTATGGATGTACCATAGTTTGTTTATCCTGGTATATATTTTTAATTTTTACAATCTATAGCTTCCTTGAAGGCACATTACTTAGGCTGAAGTTTCAGATATTTCCTAATCTGACCCTCGCCTTTCATCCCAATTTTATTCTGACCTCACTGTTCCCTGAACATGACCTTCATTTCTCTGAGCTTTTGCTTGGAGAACATTCCAGGAATGTTCAAGCATGGATAGCCATCACCCCACTGCCATACGGCAGGTGCGGAACCTAAGACCAGACTTAAACCCATTACTGAATTGCATTTCCCAGGGGATTGATTTAGGAATGAGAATGTTACCTAGTGGGAACCAATGAAACCTGCATTGAGAGTTCATAAATTTGAAGCTGAGAGGGTATGAGGAGCAGTGGCAGCTCTATTGTGGCCCAAGGGAGAATGTGTCTGAGAACAGGATCATTTGTGGGAGAAATGAAAAAGAGAAATTAGGTCATAAGGATATAATATACACCCACAATCAAACTGTATTCATGTGCACCTGTACATTCTTTTTCATTCAAGTGTATTTTGGTTGGGTTTCTGATATTTGCTACTACAAGGACTTGCCAATACAGGTGAAGAATGGTAGGTACTATAAGAACAGTATGGCTCAGTTTTCCCAACAGACCATCTGTAGATTCACTATTCATTCAACAGATATTTATTACATATCTATTATGCTCCACATGCTGCACTGAGTGTTGGCCACTGGAAAGGACTAACAAGAGCTTTTTGAAGCACAGAGATAGTGAATCCATGCATACGGGGGTCCCATCTGCACTAACAAACACATTTTTTTAGCAAACATTTATTGTAGGACACATGGGGTGGTGTGAGGGGTTTTTCTGGGTAGCAGTAGCTCAGTAGGCTTACTCCTGACCCAGCTACCTAGAGGCTTTCAGTAGTTTCTAGTTTCTTCCACTCCTGGAAGAATAATGCAGGGCAGGAGTCAACAAAGCCAGACCCCACCACCACTACCACCATCATTGGTGGGAAGGGGTTTCTTCCCCTGCTCAAGCCTAGTTCTGATTGAACTTATGGGTGCCTAAAAATTCATCACCTCTTTGTCTGGCTCCACAGAGAATTCAGCCTAGTGAGCAGGTGATGGGATATGGCAGCATAGAGCCGTTGAGTCAGGGCTCACTCAGGCTGTGATGGGGTTGATAGTGCTTGCTGCATCTGCCCATGGAAGGTATACTTGTAGCTCGTTTTTCTGAAGAGCACTTCCCTTTAATCAAATATGTGGTGCCGCAATTCTGAAACTTTAACATGCATATGGATTTTCTGGACATCTTGTTAAAATGCAGATTCTGATTCAGTAGCTCTGGGGTGAGGCTTGATATTCTGCATTTCTAACAAGCTCCCTGGTGACACTGAGAGTAGCAAGCATGTAAGAAACAGAACATGAATTTATCTTGGGAATATTGCCTGTTTTGTCATTGGGCTTGCTGCCTGATTTCCTTAAAATCTCTGATTGTTTCTTATGCTTTAGAGAAATACTTGCACCTGGCTGAGTTCAAGCATAAATTCCACCTTTAAGTAGGGACATTTTCAACTTGCAATATACTCAAATGAGGGCACCTGAAATCAATAGCGAGGCAAACTATTTAATAACCAATTTAGTTATTCAGTAAATATCTGCTGAGCTCCTACAGTTGCTGGACAGTTGCTCTATTTTGGGATAACAGCCATGAACTAGAAAGACATAGTATTGTCCTCTTGGGACTTCCAGTCTAGCAGTCACAGAGACCAAAACTAAGCAAGCAGACAATCAAATACAATAATTTCAAGTTGTGGTAAGTGCATGGATGGACACTAATAAACGGTTAAGTTTGAGACTAGTAATGGGGAAGGGAGTATTTTAAAATAAGTGGTTGTATTAGTTTCCTATTACTGCTGTACAAAATTGACACAAACTTAGTGGCTTAAAACAACATAAACATATTTTCTTACAGTTCTAGAGGTCAGAAGTTCAAAATCAACTTCACTGGGCTAAAGCCAAGGTGTCTCAGGGCTGCATTCCTCTTGGAGGCTCAAGATTCTCTGCATGACATTCCATTCTGCAGGCAGTTCTGAGCAACAGCTTCCCAGCAAGTAAAATTTCAATGTCTTCTTGAGTGTTTACAGAAAACAAACAACATCTCCACTTCCCCCCCATCCCTAAGCCTAATACTTATGAGTGCTTGCTACACGATGCCAGGAACTACACTAGGCATTAACTTGTTTTTCACAACAGCTCCATCGGGTGGGTAGAAAGAGACATATATTACAGCCGAGTAAGCTGAGGCTGAGAGATTAAATAACCTTCCTAAGAGTTCCCAACTTGCAAGTGCCTGACCCAGATTTAAACCAAAGGGGTCTGCATGTTTTTCTCTCTTTCTTATTACTATTCATAGACTTTATTTTTTAGAGAAGTTTTAGGATTACAGAAAAGGTCAGATTCTGGAGGGGAAAATTCACTTTTCCAGCTTCTAAAGGCCACCTGAATTTCTCAGTTCAGGGCCGCTTCCTCACATCATGCCAACCTCTATATCTGCTGTTAAATCTGTTTCTCTCACTCTGCCTTTCCCACCCTCCTCTTATAAGAACTTCTGCAATTACATCAGGCTCACCAGGACAATTCAGGATAATCTGCCCATCTCAAGATACTTAATCACATCTGCAAAGTTCCTTTTGCCATGTAAGGTAACACATTCACAGGGTCTGGGGATTAGGATGTGGGCATCTTCAAGAGGGGGAGTAGGCATTATTCTATTTATTACAGGAGTCAAGAAGGCCTCTCTGAGGAAGTGGTATTTAAGCAAAAGGCTTAGTACAAGTCAGACATGGGCAGACTAGAGGAAATAGCTTTCCCAAAGGAGGAAACAGTAAGAGCAAAGGCCCTGAAGAAGGACGGGGCTTTTTAAGTACAGGGACTGGAGAGAATGCTAGCATGGGGGAGCAGAGAGTCAGACAAGACGAGAGTGGAGCAGCAGGCAGAGGCCTGACCCTGTGGGCTGTAGTGAGGGCTTTGGATTTTATTCTAAGTGTGATTAGGAGCCATTGAAAAGCCTAAGCAGGTTATTGCAGTGATCTGATTTGTGTCTGAAGGGGTGACTACTACTTGGCTTGAGCTCATTCTTCCCATGTAGGAATGCCAGCCCAGTGTGGCCAGGTCTTCTGACTTTTCAGGGAAAGGTGCAAATCTGAATATTTCTAATGTTAAACCCTCCATTTAAAATTATTGAAGCCAGCCGGGTGCGGTGGCTCACGCCTGTAATCCCAGCACGTTGGGAGGCCGAGGCGGGTGGATCACGAGATCATGAGATCGAGACCATCCTGGCCAACATGGTGAAACCTCATCTCTACTAAAAATACAAAAATTAGCTGGGTGTGGTGGCACATGCCTGTAGTCCCAGCTATTTGGGAGGCTGAGGCAGAGAATCGCTTGAACCCAGGAGGAGGAGGTTGCAGTGAGCCAAGATTGTGCCACTGCATTCTAGCCTGGCAACAGAGCAAGACTCCATCTCAAAAATAAAATAAAATAAAATAATTAATAAAAATAAAACAATTAGCTGGGAGTGGTGGTGGGTGCCTATAATCCCAGCTACTCAGGAGGCTGAGGCACGAGATTCACTTGAATCCAGGAGGTGGAGGTTACGGTGAGCCAAGATCGTGTACTGCACTCCAGCCTGGGCAACAGAGGGAGACTCCGTCTCAAAAATAAAAAAAAAAATTATTGAAGCTATACTGGAAAATTTTAAGGTACACACGCAGGTCAGGTTTGGCCAGGAGCTACAGGGACACCTTCTCTGAAGAGGCTCTGCTACATACTTGCTGCATGACGTGGGGTGAATGACCAAACCTTCTGAGCCCCAGGTTCCTGGTTTGTACAATGGAGAATAATGGTGGTTATTGCAGAGGGTTGTTGTAAGGATTCAGAGTATATCAATGACAGAATACATATAAAATACTTAGCATAGTGCCTATAAGCATCCAATATGCGCATATCCATGTATATGTATTTTTTAATTTGAGGGGATTACATGAAAATTGGAAAATAGATGGCCTTTAAAATTGCTTCTGGCTCTGAGATTCTAAGATGATTAAAAATGTCCTTATTAATCAGACCATATATTTAATAGTGACCTTGAGTTGCCTTTCCTAGCCTGGATTTAATTTCCTTATCCAGTATGCATTGTACAGAATGCATCTTTGGTAAGATGACAATGGACTCTAAGACAACTATGTTTGATGGCAAAACCCACTGCAGTGAGGAACAAAATTCTCTGTTGTTGATTACACACAAAACCAAGGAGTAGAGCCCCAGTGATCATGTAGCTAGAGATCCAGCAACTTTTCAGTTTGCCCTTTTCCTCAAGGGCTTTGGAGTTGTGCTTCTGACAATTCATGTGGTTCTTTCCTCCTTTCTACCCAGTAGAGAGGAATCTGGGAAAGGGATGGACATGTGTAGCTCATTGCCTGAATGTGGGCAGGTGAGCTGGAAGCTTAAAGGCTTTTGCTCAAGAGGACATCGTCTGAGAATCATGCTAGGTATCTCTTATCTCCAGGACCCAATGCAGTAAAGTATGGAGCAGAATCAGAGCAAGACTGATCCCAGGCAGAGCTCCAGGCAGGAGTGGTTGTCAACAGGCACTGGAGGATGTGCTGGGTTTAAATCTTATCAACCAAGAGCAATTCTTGCAAATGACAGTGACAGATAAATTGCTTGACTTCTTGGAATACCACCCAAGGACACTTGGGCACAGAAACACACCCACATGCACACAGAATTTTGATTTCTTTATCAAGCTTCAGAAAAGTTGGAAAGATAAAGAGCCATCCTTGATACCAACACATCTCTTTCTCTAATTGAACATCCCCAGCAGGAGTCTGAGGTCACAGCACTAAGCCAGATGGCCCCAAATTTTCTGAATCTGACTTTTCAATATCTCTAATAGTGTGAGGAAACTGCACAGTACCATACAGACATCAGGCATGTATTCTAATGTTACTCTTGCCCTGGGATGGCATTCACTCAGTGAGCTTCAGTGTTCAAGACTGGCCACTAGGCTTCTTTGTTTGCAAATTGCGGATTGGCTCAAGTTAACTCAGGCCCAAAGGGGACCTGGTGGAAGACTGTGGGGCTGACAGAATCAAAGGAAAGGTGGGCACCTCAAGCAGGGCTAGCAGAGGGATCCAGGGCAAGAATGGACTCACTCCCTAGGGACTCCATCTGGTGAGTCTGTGCCATGGTTTTCAGTTCCTGGTGATTGTGCTCAGGATTTAAATCCCTGAGAGGTTCTCATGGCATGAATTAGCTCTTTCCTTGGCCAGAGAATGGCCAGCACTAACAGGCCCGCCAGACTGCATGGTATGGGAAAGGAAGTTTCTTCAGAGAAACATTGATGTACTATTAGCAATAGAACGGGAAGAAGGCAGGCAAGCAGAAACAACAGATGTCTGCTGCAAAGGCCTTGCCCAAAAGAGGTTCCGGCCGTCCCTGCTGTCCCAAGTCCCATGACTCCTAGCGCACACTATCCCCTCTTCTTTACTATTAGGTTGGTGCAAAAGTCCTTGTGGTTTTTGCCATTTCTTTTCAATGGCAAAAACTGCAGCACCAACCTAATATATTCCCCCTTCCTCCAGTTCACACCCTGCACACACCAGGATAGTTCACACCCTGCACACACCACGATAGTTCACACCCTGCACACACGATAGTTCACACCCTGCACACACCAGGATAGTTCATACCCTGCACACACCAGGATACCCTTGCTGCCTACCTCTGCAGGGTCCCCAGGCCCATGTCATATGAGGTGGACCCTTGTGGATCTCTGCCTATGATGCATCATGGTTTGGTTTAAATTGATTGACATGGCACAACGAATAAGGTTTATTGAGGAAATGGAAAACTTACAAAGCTGGTGCTTCTATACTTCACAGGGAGGAGCCATTTCTGGGCCTGCAGTAAGGATCTGATTGCCAGTAGGGACCAAGTGGGCCCTGTTCTTCTCCCATTTGTAGACCAAAAGTGAGAAAACAGTCTTTGAAGAGGGTGGAACACATAGGCTACTCGGTGCTATCAGTCCAGAATTATGGGGCCAACCATGTAAAGAAATAGTGTGGGGACACCAGCTGTCCTGCAATTCATCTTACGGTGCATAGAAAATTAGAGTCCTCCCTCCCAGGTGAAGGAAGCCAGCAGTCCTGTAGAAAGCTGAGTGTGGGGGCAGCCCTTCTGGTGTGGAGAAGGAGGGGGGATCCTGGTCCTAGCTAGCTTGTTTTCGGGCAACCCAGGACGGACAATTCTCCTAGCTGCGCCACACATACCCAACTTATAGTTCCTTCACTGATACACACTCCCAAGCTCTAATACCCACAAATTAGACATCTTCCATTTCTCTGAACACCTTATTAGGGTTCCCTTGAGAATTTTCCCTCTCTTTCCTATGTTGGTCTTTATTCATCTCCTCCGAGCCTCATACCCTAGATTTTAGAGGCCCATGTTCCTGTCTTCTCTACTGGACTATAGTCTTATCAAAGGTATTTTCCATATGCCTCTTACCTTTGTAATTTTGTCATTAATTAAGTGTTTGATCCAAATAGGCCCTCCACACAACATAGAGTTGATGAAAGAGTGAATGAATGGTTCAGCTGCAAGATGTAAATCTACTCAGAAATGAAATGAGGATGGATCATCCAAAGTAGCTCTCTAAGAAATGTGAGGAGGCGGTATGGATGACAACACTACCAGGGATAGATGAATGGCAGGAAACCTTGTATGGTTTTGGGGGTGGAGTGGTAGAGATGGTGTTGTTGAAAACATTGATTCCCTCAACGAATATTGTCGGTCATCTTCTACACATCAGACCCTGGGCAAATCCATGGAATATACCAGTGAATAAGGCATTTAGGATCCTTAACCTGAAAATGTAACAGGATATTCTTTAACTTCCTTTAAACCCTTAGAATGAGTTTTCTTTGCTTCACTAAGTCCTTAATACTCCAAGATAAACTGGGCTGTCTCAGATCCAGATTTACTAGTGCATGACATTGAATCAGAGGGAAACCTGGACCAAAAGGTGCCTGTATTTGTTAAAGATTAAAAAAAAAATAATAAAAATCTCGTTTCTTTCTGTCTTTTAATCTGCACACATTCACATGGTTGGTCACATGGAAGTTGAGTCAAGATTTGCTCTGCACAAGCCAGTTATTATGCCAGAGTCACAGCAGGGGGTGGCATTGTTTTGACAGACTCACAGGCTCCAAAATGTAAATGGCTTAAATGTAACATGCCAGCTCTGTGAGCTGTCACTCAGAAAGTGCTCAAACCTTTCATCTGTCCAGAGTGAAGTCTGATCAACGGTTGGGTAGGGGGTCTGGCTTCAGGTCCATGCCTCTCTTACTCTCCAGCTCTGGGTTTGGGAGAGAGATGGGAGACAGAAGGCACTGGATTATTTTGAAAACCTTAGCTTCATCACTAAGAATAAAGCTTAGAGATTGTAAAGCATAGGGCCCCCTTTTCTATAGCTAGTATGGGTGAGGAGCCTTATTAGTGCCTTCTCTAATCACTTTGTTGGTTCAGTTCCCTATCCATCCTCACTTTAGTCACCCATTTGGATTAAGGAGCCCCACAGGAGGGAAGCTCCTTTTCCTATTGGTCACTGACATATGGAGGGAAAAAGTGGGGGTTACACACACCATATGTCAGTTAGTTTAGGAATGTTGGTTTCTGTTTCACAAATGCATGTTTAAGTCACAGGTGTTTGAATGAGGATCAAGAACTACACAGTTGATTGAATGATTCATTTATTTTTAAAACCTAGACTCACTCCTCATGTCTCAAGCCCAACATCTGCTCCTCTGGGCCCCACCCAGCCAGAATTTGGCACTTGCCGTATACACCCACGCTTGTGTGTACTTCTGGAAAAGCATTTGTCGGACCATATTATAGTTGTTTGGAAGATCCTTCCATTGTTCATCAGTCCATTGCCCTGAGAACGGGGAGCCCATCTTATTCTTTTCTATATTCTTAGCACCTAGAAAATATTCAGTAAATGTCTCACAAATTAAGGAATGAACACCTAATTATACAAGTACCTCATAGTATGGTAGTTTTGAGAGAAAGAGGTGGGAAAATTTGCAGGGGTTGGGAGAGGAGAGTAGTTCTGAGAGCCAGAAGGAAACAGAGAGCTAAAGGGAAAAAGAAAGAGGCACCGACAAAAGAAAGGGAAAGAGCAACGCTCCAGGAGGGAGACTCAAACTTAGAAGGAAGGAGGTCATTGGCTTTGGGTATGATTCCAGGAAAACATTGGTCAGACCCTGCTGTTCCCTGGAGCTTAGAACTGAGAGTGGATTCCAGTTATCACTACTCTCTGAAGTGCTAATTAGAGGATTAGCTATTGTTCAGAGCTCTTTAGCCACTCTTTATCTCTCCTAGCTCCATTCTGAAGGGGACGACTGCAGGGGAACTAATTTTCTGTACTGCAGCCCAAAAGCCAGAACACTACTACAAGAGCTGGATAAAACCAGATTTGGCTCCTTGAGATGGTTCACTGGGTCTTCTTTGTCTCTCTGGTTGAAAAGCAAGGTTTTTACATCTACCTTTGATCATCGATAGAACTGGATCTCATTCTCCCTACTCAACCACATCTGTCAGCAAAGAGAGAAAGAGATACAGAGAGAGAAAGGCAGAGGAAGAGAAAGGGAGTTTTCATCTCCTATTTACTAGGCTCTTACGGTGTGCTAGCCACCACTCTCAGCAAGTTATGTGTATTGTCTTACTTAATCCTCACCTCAGAGGAAGCCATTTTTAATCACTCCCATTTACAGATGAAAGAATCGAAACTCAGTATAAATGAGTTGCCCAAGGTCACATACCTGGTTCTCACTGGAGCCCGTATTTGAAACCAGGATGGTCTGACTCCAGAACCCATGCCATTCACCATGACCTTGCTGAGCTATCACCTACCAAAAGACACTGGTGGGTCTGAGAGGATGAGGATGATACACGGCAGCTAAACTGTTATTACTGAGTGTTTATTTTGTGCCCAACGTGGCACTAAGGGATTCACACACATTGTTTTATTAAAACTGTCTGACAACCCAGTGAGGTAGGTTTTATGGTTTATTTGTAGACAAGAAGCTTGAGGCCTAAAGAGGTTTAGGGACCCATCCAAGGTTGCCCAGTGTTACACAGTGGCTGAACTCAGAATTAAAACAAAGTCTGTCTGGCTCTAAAGATGATGCTAAGGCTGGGAAGGGTTAAACCAGAGGATTTCTTTATTGACTGGAGTTCACTTTGATTTATACAAACTTCCTGAAGGAAGTGTTCTCCAGGGATCTTTGATTCACTCCTCTGCCTTTAGGTAAATAAGCCATTATTATCTCCTTTCGATACTTGCAGTGGGGCCAGAGATTTTTAAGGGGGTGGTTCAAAGTCACTTAGCTTGGATATTCAGAAATGTGTTTGACATCTCAAGTCCTCCTACGGTTGCTGGGTGGTTAAGAGTTGTCTGCTCCATCTCTCTGGACTCTCTTGGCCTTTCTCCATTTCATCTCCCTAACTGGGTGCCCAGTGTCCATTTGCTGTTCCTGGTGCCTGGGGCCCTTATTACTTCTGCCTTTGCAATTTTTTTTGAAGTCCTTTCCATCATTAGAATTTGTCCCTGCTGACCCTATCAGAGGCTGAGGTCAATTTGATCAAATTCATTTACAGTTAAGCATTAATGGCATATTATAGCAATCCTTCCAGGTAAGTGCTGCATTAAAAAATACCCGATGTAAACCTGGACTAATGTTGTACACTGCAGCACAGAGGCAGGCAGCCTGAGAAATGTTTTGGTGAGGTTGTCTTGCAGGTTAGGCAAAGCACTTGACCTACACATGAAGGCTAGTCTCCCCAACACTTTCGAAACTCCCCAACAGTTTAGAAAGGTCTTCCCTGGCAGGGCTTCAGTTGCCTTAATCAGCAAAATGGGGATGGGGACTTCTGCCTGGAAGGAGGGCATAGGGTCTGTTGTTCTCTTGCAGCATTAAGATCAGTCTAATTCCAGAAATCTAATCTGAGAAGGCAGAGACTGTCAGGCAGCCAGAGAAATTAATGAGAAAATTGGAGTAAACACAACATGTGTCTTGTCAACTTGGGTTAGGAGAAGGTGACTCAGTGCCAGTCTGCAGAGTCAGGCTCTCCAGGGTGTGTACACTCAGTGTACCTGCCTCTTTGGAGGCACAGTGTACTCCGAGCTAATGAATTCAAAGCCATGGATGAGAGCTTAGAAGAGAATGCCTCTACGTGGATAGCTTCTGGAGAACCTCTCATTTACTTGAATCACATCTTAAATCTTCCCTCTGTGATCAAATTAATGAGGAGTGGCACACACACAAAGCCCCTCGGTGTGGGATGAAAAAGACATCATGCTCAATGGGAATGGCAAGAGAGAGAAAGCAGTAAGTGATTGAAGAGCTTCTGTGATTCACTGCCTGGGCATAAGCCTCACAAAGCAGGGTTTCTTCTTTTCTCTGCATTGGGAAATGCGAACATCAGGACTGAGAGAAAATGCCATTTGATCGAGTTCCTTGTAATGGGGAGAATCTCTTATAAAGGATGTACACAGGAGGAGGTGCCATTTCCTGACAAGCCATTTGCTTGAATTGATCAAATATTTTTATTCCTGGTTTACTCCTTCGAGGGAAAATTTGCTTGGCAGAAAACAAGTACAAGATGGGTGATGGGGCCTAGTCCATGGGGCTGTGCTTGAAAAGTGGGAGCAGAGAATCAGGGACAGGTATAATACAGGGCGAGGGTTGTGCAGATTGTCTTAATAACCCTAGGGCTTTTAGTGACCTGGAAAGTGAATTCAAAAGGTGTGAGTTGCCTTTTTAATAATAAAGGGAAGGAATTATACCATAGTGCAAGGTTGCAAATGCAGTGTCCACAGGGGGAAAACAGGCAGTGTAAATGAATAAATTGGGCTGTGTACAGGAAAGTCAATGGGACAAGCCTAAAGACAGATAGTACTTAAACTCAGTGTCTGAGAGTAATAGGGAATGGCGAGAACTATGGGAACTACAAAGCACCTCCACTGTAAGGGATTAACCCCAGGGAGTGGCCGAAAGAACAGGCTAACAAATCAAAAACCTGGATTAGAATTCCAGTTTCCCTCTTACTGGTATTGTGACTGTGGGCAAAATACTTAAGCTTATGAAGTGAAAATAGGAGGTCAAAAAACTGCATAAGAAGAATCCCTTGCATTGGCCAGTATAGGCTAAACTATACCATTGTAATAAACATCCACTGTTATGGGTTGAATTGTGTCCCTCCAAATCCACATGTTGAAGCCCTAATGCTCAGTACCTCATATGACCTTATTTGGGAGTAGGGATGTTGCAGATGTAATTAGTTAAAATAAGGTCATTAGAGTGGGCCCTAATAAAATATAACTGGTGTCCATATAAAATAAGGAAATTTGGACACATGTGCATGCATGCATGTGTATACACACACACACACACACACACACAAAGAATGTCACGTGAAGGTGAAGGCTGAGTGTGGGGTGATGCTTCTACAGGCCAAAGAATGCCACACAAATTGCCAGCAAATTACAAGAAGCTAGGTGAAAGGCACAGAACAGATTCTCTCTCACAGCCCTTTGAAGGAACCAACCCTGCTGACACTTTCATCTTGGACTTCTAAGCTCCAGAGCCGTGAGACAATAAGTTTCTGATGTTAAGCCACTCAGTGTGTGGTACTTTGTTATAGCACCTTTAGCAAACGAATACAGCTACTAAATCCCAATGGCTTGAAACAACAGTTTGCTTCTTGCATATACTATATGCTCATTTTGAGTTGGCAGGGGACTCTGCTATTATTGTTGTCATTGAGGTAGAGATGGTGGAGTAGCCACAATCTCAGTTTGAAGCTTCACAGTCCACAGTAGCAGATTTAAGGTCTGGTAGGCCATTCTTCATACCAGATAATTATCTGGACCAGATGATGAACACAATTAATGTCTATCACAATTAAGAATATCTGCATAGAGAAAAGGAAGATTGGATAGAAATTTTCCAAAAAGTACTGGTTGAGGTGAGGGTGTCTGGATTATTGTACTTTTCTAAGTTTTCTAAATTTTTCTATGAAGGACACACATGACTTTAAATCAGAGAGAAGGCCTTTTCCTTTTCCCTTTTTAAGTAAAATAAAGGTTAGGTCAGTTATCAAAGGTTACCTAGTTAATAAGTGGATGGATGAGAAGAACTTTTACCCAATTTTCTTACTTTTCTTTCTTTCTTTAAAGCAATGGGATAAAGTCAGCATTATGTGTAGTGAAATGTTCTTATCCAAAAGGCTGTATATATAAGATGGACAGAGACACCACCAGGTTGAATTTATTGTTGCCTAGAAGACTGGTGATACCTTTGAACAGTGACACTCTCATTTACCATATATATGTCCATAACACAACTTCCACAGGGAGGCTGGTTCAGGAGATGCCCGGAGGGGGTGTCTATTCAGGTGAAGATAGTCTGTGGACATAGAAAAGAAGGTAGCTTTTCTATGGATGAAAAATGATGTCTTAGGTCAAGTTCCCCAGAAGGAGATCCTGGAATGATACTGTATTTGCATGTGACTTATTAAGGGAGTGCTCTGAGGAGAAACTCGTGAGGGAGTGGGGTAGCAGAACAGGACGGGGAAGAAGCCAAGCAAAGCATGCATTTTCGGGCTCCATCCCAGCCTGATCCCATGGGGAGCTCTGGAGTGAAAATTCTACCTTAGACCTGGCCCTGACTTGATGCAAGAGAGCTGGGCTTCCATAGTCCTGCCCTTGTCAGTACTGGCTTTGAACACTTTCAGCTCTCTAAAAGTGAGGGCAGAGCAGATCCGGCAGCCCCAGGGCAGGCCTCTGAAGAAAGTCACAGATGTGAGCCATTAGGAGCGGAGCACACAGAAGCTGGCAGACGGATCACAGAAGGGGTAAAGGGGATCTGAGGGGCACTGGTTGGGGCATCGATAGTGCCCACTACAGATGGGGACTCCCTGAGGACAGAGGTTTGGGCCTTGCAGATGACTTTTGCTTCACAGTGTGTGCAGAGCCTGTGGGAAAGAATTTTAATCAAGACAGAGAACAGGTTCTTAACCTGCTCCTTGCTGGCAGTGGTGGCTTTTGGCCACAGATGTCTCCATCAGCTGCCATTAGGAAGGGCTGACAGATGGTTCAAATCTCTGTGGATGCCTGGGGAAAAAGGATGCATCATTTTGACCACGTAGGAATTCTTGACACACAATGAGGAATGAAATATGAAGATGTTGTGCGAGGTCCATGCCCCTATGATCTGACATGTAGGAGAAATTCTTGCCCCTTGCCTTCTCTTACTATAAAGTTTTCCTGAGGCTACATGTGAGGAAGTGCACAGAAAAGGCCTGCAGAGAGTCAGACCTCTGTTCCAATCTGGGCTTTACCCCTTACTAGCTGCATGAATTAATCTTTCTGAATCTCAAGTTCCTTACATATAAAATAGGGAACAATTATACCTATACCTATTAGGGCTGTATTGATGAGAGAAATGAAATGTTTTTGAATTTCAGTTTCTTAATCTATACTATAAAGTGTAATAAAATTAATAAATGATGATGATAACTCCTTCTCAGGATTGATGTGGGGTAAAAGAACTAAATATAGCAGATTAATAGGATAAGTTATTGCACCTGGCCTATCCTGGGCATCCTCTACCCCACAACTTTTTTTAAATGTGAGAAGAATGGGGTTTTCCACTCTTGCTGCTTCTAGTCAGGTTACTTTTCATATAGGCTTGGCATCCATTTGCAGTGCTGCACCTTGTAATTTTTCATAAAAATCCTTCTCTTTTTTTTTCCCCAGCCATCATGAGGTATGGCCACAGCTGTCTCTGGGTGAGCAGACACAGAGCCCTCCAAAGGGAGAGAAAACCCATCAGAAGGCCTGCTGGGCCCAGGTGGAATCGCTGTGAATGAGGACATGTCAAAGAACTTATCTTTCTCCTGTAAACACCTTGGACCAACCCAGACCTGTTTAATTTCTAGGCAAGAAGCACAAATTGAATCCTGCACTACATGCATTTATCTCCTCACCTTTTTCGGCAGGAATCTAGATAGGAATTAATAGACTCACTCAAAGAGGAAAAGACATAGTGGGTGCAGTGGAGTCCTTTGTCTTTACGGGGCTTGAAAGGGTGGATCTCTAACACGTCTCATTTAATATTGGCTCGAGTTAAAGTATAGTAAATTCCAGGCCAAGAAGAAGAAACTAGGATGCCACAGAATGTTAGAGATAATTTAATTTAAACTCCTTACTCAATAGATAGAGAATCTGAGCTCAGGGAGGGGACAATCTGTCCACAGCCATATACCAAACTGCTGCTGGCTGGGCTGAGGGCTACGACACCTTACTCCTGGGCCAGTGCTCTGGGCAGGGCTTCCTATCTCTGTCATTCATTTCTTTTTTTTTTTTTTCTTTTTTTGAAATGGAGTCTTGCTCTGTTGCCCAGGTTATAGTGCAGTGGCACGATCTCAGCTCACTGCAACCTCTGCCTCCTGAGTTCAAGCAATTCTCTTGCTTCAGCCTCCTGAGTAGCTGGGATTACAAGTGTGCGCCACCACACTCAGCTAATTTTTGTATTGTTAATAGAGATGGGGTTTCACCATGTTGGCCAGGCTGGTTTTGGGCTCCTGACCTCAAGTGATCCTCCTGCCTCAGCCTCCCAAAGTGCTGGGATTACAGGCATGAGCCACTGCGCCTGGTCTCTGTCATTCATTTCTGTACCACGGTCATGATTTGTGTCATATTTACACACCCTCGGCACCATTATTAACATGGTCTTAATATCTGAATCGACTGTATTTTTTTATCCTTAAATAAATTTCTTTTGAAAGGAAATTGCTGTGAAGAGAAAACAAGGATTGTTTTCCACAAATAAAAGGTGACCACAAAAAATACATGCTATGAAATGAAGCAATACATTTTAAATATATTAAATTTTAAATATAATTTAAAATTTAAGTTTAAAAGTTTAATTTAGAAGTTAAATTTTAGCAAGGTACTGCTGTGTGTGAAAAGACTGTTCACTCTCTCTGTTAAAAGGGAGATTTGTCATGTTAAAGTGAACTTGAAAGGGAATGGCTTTCTCACCATAGGAGAGGATGTTTCTTAATAAGGTGTTTATGAACCATCTAAAATTGTCTCTCATATCATGAGTGGTCAAGTTGATCAGGAAAGAAAATGTGTTTGCAAACTTCCAAGGAAATGTAATACTTGACACTACTTGGGTTAGAATCCCAACTGTGCCATTTACCAGCCACTGGATCTCCAGCAAGTTATTTAACCTCTTTCTGTCTGTTTCCTTACTCATAAAATAGGAATAATTGTGTATATCATGGATTTATTGCAAGTACAAATAAGATATACATATAAAGCCATAGAACGGCACTCAGCATAGAGTAAGCACTCAGCACCACGTATTCTTGTAATTATCATTATTAAAACTTAAAGTGGTATTATGCCCTAGAGCAGGGTTGCAACCTTTTTCTGTAGAGGGTCAGATAGCACATTATTTTACCCTTTGCAGTCCATACAGTTTCTGTTGCAACAATTCAATCTTCCATAGTTCCAAGGAAGCAGACATATTGCATACATATATTAATGGGCATAGCTCTGCTCCAGTAAAACGCTACCAGAATAGGTGGCAGGATGGTTTTGGCTGGTGGGCCATGGTTTATGCTACAGGGATATAGTTATGTAAAACAAAAAACAGGCCAGATGCTTTGTACACTATTTTCGAATGAGGTAGCGTCATACTTCATACCTTAGCCCAAATCCCAATCTTTTGAATTCAATCCCATGCACCTGAAACGTAGGTTCTAGTCCAGAAACTTTGGTCTCACTACCTGCTATCATCTTAACTGCTGCCCAAATGGCCATGAGACTAAACAGCTCTTGAACTTGAAGCAGAATAAAGGTTAAAAGCATGGGCTTGGGAATTAGAATGACTTGGGTTTGCTGCTCACCCTGCAAAGGGTATTATTTTCTTTTTACACAGGAGGAAATTGCAGCTCAGTGGGGTGGAGTAATTTGCCCAATGTCACATAGCCAGCAAATTGACATCAGTTCCACAAACATGAAATTTGGTTCTAATCCAAAAACCCTGGGGCCAGCTGCATGTCATCATGATGCTTCCTTTTCTTGTTTCTAATTTCCATGATAAAGAGGGGGAGAGCTTGAGAAGGATTTAGAGTGGGAAATAATGCCGATGGCTTAGGACAACATTTTGATCAATGGAGGAAGAAGAATGCAGTCCCCAGAGACCATAAGATATAACTGAAAGAGCACAGGGCTAGATCTGCTTCTTCCCTTACCAGTGAACCCTGGATGTGTACCTGGGCAAATGTAATGATAAGAGGCAGCATTTATTGAGTTCATATGGAGTGCTTTCTAATACCTTTATCTTATTTTCCCTTCACAACAACTCTGAGATTTTAATCCCCATTGCACAGATGAACAAGGTGAAGCTCAGAAAGGTCATTTAAATTCCCAGGGTCATAGAACTAGTGAGTGGTGCAGCTGGGATTTGAATGCTAGTCTGTCTGGTTACAAGTCCAGGTTTTTCCAATGCAAAACATCCTCAAGAGTCTACTTTCCTGCCTAGGTGAGTCCACAAATGAAGTTGTACAATGTATGCTCTGTAACTTTAGAATTGGAGGTGACTCACGTTGCAATCTTACCATGTGCTTGGCAATGTGCAAGGCCAGTCCTTCCAAATGACCCTGTGAACTCAGTGCTAATAGTATTCTCTATCAGTAGATTTGGCAACTGTGGCTCATAGACCTTAAGTAACTTGTTCAAAGTCATTCAGCTAGTAAGAAACAGGCTGGGGTTTGAACCCAGGTCAAATCCACTTCAAAGCCTGTGCTCCTAATAGGATGACCAAATAGTTTGTCACCCAAACCAGGACACTTTTGAGAGTGAAAGGCACTATTAATAATTATGTCAAGACAGCAGGCATAAACTTCAGTTCTTGACTACTGTGCTTATCCAAATGGGCTCTTTCTATCCCTCAGACCACCATGAATCATAACGTGGAGAAGAAACCCATTACATCTGGCACCACCATCATTTTCATTATTACCATTTACCTAGACAGCATTGTAAGAAAGAGGTAAAGTCCTGTGGGAATGAGGCATTTGAAACTTGGTGCTTGAGAATTTTAGAAAGGGGTGAATGTAATTGCCTCGGGAGTTGCTATAAGAAGCAGTAACAGGGCAGCTGGGACCCTCCTCGCCTTTCCTGCACTCTCTTGACTGCAGGCACTGGGTGGAAAGGAGAGATGGATTAAAAGAGAGCTCCAAGGAAATGGAGATGAATGCCTTTAGATTTGGTATGATAAGAAGAAGGGCATTTCTCAGATACATAAAAGAGACCAGATCATTATCAAGATAGTGCTTGAAAACACACATACCTCTAACCCAGGACTAGTATCACATGGTGGCAATGGTGGTGGTTGTCTCAACTGTACTCTTGGAGGTGTGCTGGGAGGATTTTCTGCTTCAGAATTCCCAGAATTCTACCTTAAGTGCCTTAACCTTCGAGTAAAGGTTCATTTCTCTAGGAGATCAGTTTTAAAAAGAAACCACCATAGAACCATTTGAGTCCACTATCAGTCATGAACATGGGGGAGTTTATTACATAGCAGACTTTCTTTTGAATCTTACAGTTGTTTAGGATGTTGGAAAGGTGAGTTTTGATAGAGAAATGGGCATAGGGGAAGCTTTGGGACCTGGGTTTTTGCCTAGAGAAGGCACCTTAGTGTGGGGTCGTGGGTAGCCAGAAGCCTAAGTGGTACACAGCAGAGCAAGAGTACTGGGGAGAAGATGGCAGTGGGAGGGTAAAGTTCACCACCGTAGCGTTGACTATGCCAAGTTCCAGGGCCAATGGCTCTGCAGAGAACTAGCAAGGTCATGGGAGTCAGAGTGGTACAAGGCAAAGAGGACAGGGAGCCAGGACCCTGGGGTGCTGAGGCCAGCTCTGTTAATGAGAGTCTCTGAGCAAGTTAATCTCCCTATGATGCCTCATCTACCACATATAAAGCTTGGCTGAAAATGTAATAATCTCTATGGTCTTTTTCAGCTCTAATACCACATGTGACTCTAGACTGTGCCACTAAGTGAATCTTGCTGTACCTAAGTGGGTGGCTTAGAGCTAAGAGGCTCTTGACTGGAGAGCAGGCGTGACCTGAGCCACTGATCTCTGCCCTCCACATTACCCCTTCTCCTCGCCTTAATTCTCTTGATGACCAAGGGAGCTTTTAGCCTCTCCTTCCCTCATTTATCCTTTTAAGCAAGAAAGGAGGGAGGCTGCATAAAGGCTTCCAGTAGCTCTCTCTCTCTCAGGATCCCAGGAGGGAGAAGATCAGAAATTAGCTAAGAGAGAACTGAGAAAAGTTTAGGTCCTAGACTACTAACTGCAGCAAGGATAAAATCTCATCTGGAGATGGCCTGAGGACTGACTACAAAGTCTAGGGGAACACACTGGGTCACAGGGGCTAAGACATTTAGCCTCTTGGTGCTTTGGTTTTTTCATCTTTAATGGGGACACAGGGGTAGACTAATATTTAATGGACCTCTATGTCGACAGTAACTAGGCTGGGTGCTTTAAGTATTATCTAATTTAATCTTCACAACAACCTCCTTTCAGGGGAAATATTATCTTCATCTTTTGGAGGAAAAACCAGCAGTGTAGAGGAGATAAATCACTTGCCCACTTATGCAGTTCAGTAGTAGTAAAGCTGGGCTGGGCGCGGTGGCTCACGCCTGTAATCCCAGCACTTTGGGAGGCTGAGGCAAGTAGTTCACCTGAGGTCAGGAGTTCAAGACCAGCCTGACCAATATGGTGAAACCCTGTCTCTACTAAAAATACAAAAATTAGCTGGGCGTGGTGGCATGTGCCTGTAATCCCAGCTACTCAGGAGGCTGAGGCAGGAGAATTGCTTGGACCTGGGAGGCGGAGGTTGCAGTGAGCCGAGATCACGCCACTGCACTCCAGCCTGGGTGACAGAGTGAGACTCCCTCTCAAAAAAAAAAAAAAAAAAAAAATACAACAACAACAAAAGAAGTAGTAAAGCTGGAATGCACACCAGGTCTGCATGACCCTAAGATTCAAAGCGGGTTTACCACATCCTGCTGCCATTTTCTGAGAAGTCTGATTTCGTCATCCTCCTGGCTCATTCAGCAGGCTCTGACGTGGAGGATGGGGAAGGGAGCTGATTGCCTCGGTCCAAGTCTCATTTATTAATTAGCCTGGCATTTGGGGCAACTTAACCTCTCTGAATTTTAGTTTCCTCATCTATATATAATGGAGGATTAGAATAGTTCTTACCCCATATATTTGTTGTGATGATTAAATAAAATTACATGTAATGGGTTTAAGTGCCTATGGCAAAGGCTCCATAAATTTTAGCTCTTATTATTAATAATATTATTATTCTTTTTTTTTGAGACAGAGTCTCACTCTGTCACCCTGGCTGGAGTGCAGTGGCACGATCTTGGCTCATTGCAACCTCCACCTCCTTGTTCAGGCAATTCTCCTGCCTCAGCCTCCCGAGTAGTTGAGATTACAGGCTCCCACCACCACACCTGGCTAATTTTTGTATTTTTTGTAGAGATGGGGTTTCGCCATGTTGGCCAGGCTAGTCTCGAATTCCTGACCTCAGGTGATCTGCCCCCCTCGGCCTCCCAAAGTGCTGGGATTACAGGTGCGAGCCACCACGCCTGGTCAATAATATTATTATTCTTAAACTGTATGCAAACAACATGCAAATAAATCCTGTGGCTCCCCTGGATCTGTGGTTGGATGGGTCTTCTGTTAAATTCCTGGTGGCTTCAAGTGCCACTAGTAAAAGCTAATAAGTCATCCCACCATCATCAGAAAAACCATCCTGATCCCAGCACTTTGGGAAGCAAAGGTGGGAAGATCACTTGAGGAGTATAAGACCAGCCTGGACAACATAGTGAGACCCTGTCTACACAAATGCATGCACTCACGCATGCGTGTGTTCCCCCCGCCCCCCCCACACAATTAGCTGGGTGTGGTGGTATACACCTGTGGCTCCATCTACTTGGGAGGCTGAGGTGGGAGAATTTCTTGAGCCTAGGAGGTAAAGGCTACAGTGAGCTATGATTGTGCCACTCACTCCAGCCTGGGCAACAGCGTGAGATCCTCCCTCTCTTTGACTCTCTCTCTCACACACACACACACACACACACACACACACACACAAAAGAAAAACCATCCTGACATTTCCACAATTCACAAGGAGGGTTTACAATATTTCATCATTTGATTAATACCCATGAAGTAGGGAACACAGGTATGCTGACCACCTTCTTCATATGTAAATCTTGAGTCACACAGATAGAAGTGGGACAGAAATCTTAAAAATTTTTGTAGAGATAGGGTCTTGCTATGTTGCCCAGGCTAGTCTCAAACTCCTGGCCTAAAGTGATCCTCCCGCCTCAGTCTCCCAAATTGTTGGGATTATAGGTGTGAGCCACTATGCCTGGCTCCCTTTTTTTAAAAAAAATTTCCAAGCCCAGACCTTTTATATACTGTATCATAGAGAATAAAACTGGGTGAGTTTTATGGAGAACTGGGTCTCAGTTTTATATATTATGTTATCTACACGTGTGTGTGTGTGTGTGTATGTGTAAATATATGCATATATATACATATATATGCATATGAATATGTAGATGGCTATATTAATGAGGTGTAGGGAGACCCCCTGAAACTATTGCTACGGAATAAAAGATGAAATGCTCCTGATTATTGTAAATACAAAATTGCATGCAGGATTGTGTAAAGACAATGCCAGGTTGGACTGCCAGAATGAGCCAACAGCGCGTGATGTGCTTCCCCCTGCAGAGAGCCTAAGAATGGACGTGCAGTCAGGGAGGTTTCACATCACCAAGATTCCTATCCCAGAAAAGCAGATGCTCATAGCTCTGGGAATGGAATGAGACCCTTGTGGAGAGTCTATAAATGGACGCATGGGGGGCGCCTGTCCATATGGATAAGATAGGGCTATAAATGCCCTCATCTTGCCACAGCTCTTCTAGGACTTTTTAGGGTTAAGGCATACTCCCTTCTGAGAATTTCTGGTCTACCCGATTGTCTAGCTTCACGTCCTGTTTCTATGGATTGTTTGTAACCAGCTTTTGCTGCAACTGTTACTGCTGATTAATATCTTGCTAATCATAGATTATGGAAAGACTGTGTTTCTGTTTTAAGGCTCTGTTAGAAATTACTGATGCACACACTATATTGTAAATTATTTGTATACTGTACTTCTACATACAAATGCACTGTACTTCTACATACAAATGTTATGTTAAAGAATTACTTCATCCCCATGTGACCATCTCACCTCATAATCAAACGACCCTAAATCCCTCACTAACCTACCCCCGCCCTCACTAAACTTAATAATAAATGCTGGTATATCCAGTGCATTGGTGGCACCGCGGGACCAAAAGGCGGTGACCCCCTGGACCCAGCTTTCACTATCTTGTGTGTGTCTATTATTTCTCAACCTGCCAATCCACCTAGGAACAAAGAGAGAGCCCCGTCGCATTGCGGGCTGCTGGCCAGATCCCGCACTAATGAGGGAAGGGCAAAGAACAGGCCCTGGAACTTTCCTGATTCAGGAAGGGAAGCATTCAAGCTAGGCTCTATGCCTGTCCCTCTGCAATTTTTAGAAATTTAATTTCTGGACTACAACTCAGAGTGACTCCCCAACTCTATCTAATTCAGCTCCTGGGCTGTATGTACCAGGACCAGGCCAAGTTCATTTCTCTCCCGCCGGCTTTCTGCAGGAACTGGCGTCCATCAAACCCCATTGAGTATTTGTTGAAATGCTCTCACTTTGGTGTGTTCCCTTCAAAAAGCTTACTCAATATGGGCTGCAGCTGATCTCTAGGAGCCAACAGGGTTGGTGTTGAGCACGAGGCTCTGGGGGGGCGATAATAAACATGTTTCCACGTCCCAGCTGTCCGCTTGACCACCTAGGTGCCCCCCTGCTGTTCCCACTCAAAACTCTGCTAGGCCTGCTGGCTGTGGAAGAGCAGCTGCCCGCTCTCCTGTCCATTCCACGACACAACAGCGGCCTCTTGTGGCCATCACCAGCTCTACAGGTACTATTGTCTGGTCTCAGTGGGTTTCAGGGTTTTCTTCATTCTTTCGATTTATACTTAGTGAGCTCTACTGTGTGCCAAGCATGGTCCTAGGCACTATGGACAGAGCAGTGAGCAGAACAAAGTCCTTGCTCTCCTAAGGGTGGGCAAGGTGGGCCTGAGAAGTGCTTCATGGCCAGTGTGGGGGCTTTGACTTTTATTCTGAGAAGCCATTGGAAGTTTCTGGGTAGAAGAGTACCACAATCTGACTTAAGAAAAGAAAAGGAAAAAACCCATGCTTGTGCCTGAGTCCTATCCCCAAAGATTCTGATTAGATTGGTCTGAGATATGGCCTGGAGATTAGAATTTCTAAAACTCTCCAGGTGTTTCTAATGTGCAGCCAAGGGTGGGATCACTCTGGTTTCTGGATAGAGAATGGACTAAAGGGGCCAAGGGAAGAAGCAGGAAGTATAGTTGGGAGGCTATTGCTATAATAGAGGTGAGACATGCGGCTGGCTCAGACCTCAGTGGAAACAGTGAAGGTGAAGAGAAGTGGTTAGATTCTAGATTTATCTTAAAGGTCGAACTCTCAAGGTTTGCTGATGGATTGGATGCAGGGTGAAAGAGAAAAGTGAAAAGTCAGGATGACTTCCAGAGTTTTACTCCAAGCAACTAGAAGGAGGCAGTTTCCATTTGCTAAGGTGGGGAAGACTGCAGAAGGACCAGGTTTCACCAGAGAGGGGAATCAGGAGTTCGATTTCATACATGTTAAGTTAGAGATGTCTATTTGAGATCCAAATAGAGATGCTGAAAGGGTGTGTTCAGGAGAAATGTTCAGGCTGGATATCTAAGTTTATGTGCCATCAGAGATGGTATTTAAAGCCTTATGGCTGGATGGGATCAGTTAGGGAGGAAGCAAAGATAAAAGAGAGAAGTCCAGGGAATCCCCCAGGGCACTCCAGTATAGGAAGGAAATAGGTAGAGAGTCAGGAGTGAGTGATGCTCCAGGAACCCAAGTGAAAAAGTGTTTTAAGAATGAAGGAGTTGTCAATAGTCACGAGCTGCTGACCGGCCAAGTAAGATGAGTACTGAGAACTGACCACTGGAATTAGCAGCCTGGAGGTCACAGAAGACCACAACATCATGGGAGGGTTTGGGAGAGGGGCAAGGGCCTCTTTGTAGAATGGGAGGAGAAGATTTGGGGACAGAGAGAATAAAAATTCTTTTGCAAAATTTCACTGTAAAGGGAGGGTGTTGGAGAACAGAATCAAGAAAGGTTTTTTTGTGTGTTTTAATATGAGAGAATTAGCATGTTTATATTTTTGTTGGAAGAGATCCTCCAGCACAGGAAAAAATGAGTAGATACTTTAATAGAAACAAACATTTATTAAGCACATTTTTATATTCCTGACACTGTTTAATGCTGCACATGAATTATTTTTCCTCACATTTCTTTCTCACTACAATCCTATGAGGAGGTTTTATTATTATTATTTTTAACTTTTAATTTTTGTGGGTACATAATAAGTGTATATATTTATGGGTTACATGAAATATTTTGATTCAGGCATGCAATATGTAGTAATCATATCTGGGTAAGTCCCCTCAAGCATTTATCCTTTGTGTTACAAACAAGCCACTCACACTCTTTTAGTTATTAAAAAGTGTACAACTAAATTATTTTTGATTACAGTCACCCTGTTGTGCTAGCAAATACCAGGTCTTATTCATTCTTTCTATATATATATATATTTTTTGAGATGAGTCTAGCTCTGTCACCCAGGGTGGAGTGCAGTGGTATGATCTCAGCTCACTGCGACTTCCACCTCCCGGGTTCAAGCAATTCTCCTGCCCCATCCTCCCAAGTAGCTGGGACTACAGGCACACACCACCACACCTAGCTAATTTTTTGTATTATAGTAGAGACAGGGTTTCACCATGTTGCCCAGGCTGGCCTTGAACTCCTGATCTCAGGCAATCCACCCACTTCGGCCTCCCAGAGTTCTAGGATTACAGGCATGAGCCACCATGCCCTGCCTCATTCTATCTTTTTTTTTTTTTTTTATACCCATTAGCCATCCCTACTTCCCTCTGTCCCCCACTACCCTTCCCAGCCCCTGGTAATTATCCTTCTTCTCTCTTTTTTTTTTTTTTTTGTTTTTTGTTTCTGAGACACAGTCTTGCTCTGTAGGAGATGGGTCAGACTGGTGGGAGAAACTATAGGGAAAGGAGCAGGCCTTCTGAAAGGTTGGAAGGATCTGCATAGCTTCGGGGGAGAATAGCTGAAGGCAGCTGTTCTCTGACCCTGAGGCAGAGGGCAAGGAATAGGTGCAAGGGAGTGTAGGGGAATTTATCTTGATCAAGCTTGTTTACTTATTGTTGACCAGGAACTGGCCTTTGATCATCCACCCGTGATGTTCCCTGAAAGGGGAACAATAAATGTTAATTACCTGCAGGTTGTGTTGGCTCCAGGTTTTCGGCACTGTGCCTACACTGAATAAAGCAAGCAGCTCCAGCTTCTCGGGGCTGCTCTCTGGCCACTACAGCCAGGCAGTCACCTAGCTGCTCTTATACTGCATACCTGTGTCTGAGTACTCATTTCATCTGTTGGCTAGGGTCTGCGGGACAGACCTGGTATTGCTCTGTTGCCCAGGCTGGAGTACAGTGGCATGATCTTGGCTCATTGCAACCTCTGCCTCCTGAGTTGAAGTGATTCTCATGCCTCGGCCTCCCAGGTAGTTGGAATTACAGGCATATGCCACCACGCCCAGCTAATTTTTGTATTTTTAGCAGACCCATGGTTTTGCTACATTGGCCAGGCTGGTCTCAAACTCCTGGCCTCAAGTGATCCACCCACCTTGGCCTTCCAAAGTGCTAGGAGTACAGGCATCAGCCACCACCCCTGGCCCATCCTTCTAATCTCTATCTCCATGAGTTCAATTGTTTTAATTTTCAGCTTTCACAAATAAGTGAGAACATGAAAAATTTGTCTTTCTGTGCCTGGCTTATTTTACTTAACATAATGATTGAGGAGGCTCTATTATTATCTTCAATTTATAGACAAGGGAGCCTGAGCTTTGAGAAAGAAACTAACATTTCCACAGACACATAGCCAATAAAATGGGAGAGCAGACGTTCTGCCCTGGAATCCCCTTCAGAGCTAGAGTCCTTAACACCTGCCCTGCACAGCCCAGCCATCAGCCTTCCAGCACACTCTTTTAAATGCCTGAATTTTTGGTGCTCAGCTAGAAGGGATGAAATGACTCAAAAGACCATCAAAGAAATCAACAATCAAAAGTAATCATGATGACAGCACTATCTTATAAAGTCCCCAAGTGTCTAGAAAAGCTTCCACAATTATTTCGCTCTTTACTCTGTCATCCCAAACACAGTGTTGCTGTTGCACAGAGCTGTTTACTGCCTGGAACAACCCGGGCACTCAACCTGACCATGCTTGTAGTGATGTACATGTCTGCAGGGCACAGCCTGACAGATTCCATTAAACACAACCGCTCCTTTGTTGCCAGCCTTGATGCTCAGATGTACTCCCTACCTCTTCCTCAAACCCACCCCTCTCTGCACGAGGCAGCATGACCTTTCCAGCACAGTGTCTGCAGATGAACACTGCTGGAACAGTCCATATTTTTGGTAAGAAGCCAAAAGAAATGGTAGCTAGACTAAGTTGAATAGTGTCCCCCTATCCAAATTTCATGTCCATCTGGAACCTCAGAATGTGACTTTATTTAGAAATAGGATCTTTGTAGGTATAATTAGTTGAGGTGAGGTTATACTGGATTAGGGTGAGCCCTACTCCAGTGACTGTCCATTCTTATAACAAGAGAAAACAGAGACACAGACACACGGGGAGGACACCACCCATGTGACAATGAAGACAGAGACTGGAGTGATCCAGCTATAAGCCAAGAAACGCCAAGGATTGTTGGCAACACCAGAAGCTAGGAAGAAGCGAGAAAGGATCCTTCCCTAGAGCCTTCAGAGAGAACATGGCCCCTGTCAACGCCTTGATTTCAAAAGTCCAGCCTCCAGAACTGTGAGAGAATACATTTCTATTGTCTTGAGCCATCAGCTTTGTGGTAATTTAGTATGGTAGCTCAAGGAAATTAACGTAGTACCCATTGGTCAGAGCTTGGCAGTACACCTGTGAAGGATTTTGTGGTACCCTCAAGTGCCATGTACATCAATCAGTGCTGCACTGGATTGAGATCACCATTAAGAATGCATTAAGAGGCCTGGAGCAGTGGCTTACACCTGTAATCTCAGCACTTTGGGAGGCTGAGGTGGGTGAATCATCTGAGGTCAGGAGTTCGAGACCAGCCTGGCCAACATGGTGAAACCCCATCTCTACAAAAATACAAAAATTAGCCGGGTATGATGGCAGGTGCCTGTAATCTCAGCTACTCAGGAGGCTGAGGTGGGAGAATCCGGGAGGTGGAGGTTTCAGTGAGCTGAGATTGTGCCATTGCACTCCAGCCTGGGCAACTGAGCGAGACTCCATCTCAAAAACAAACAAACAAACAAACAAACAAACAAACAAAAACCCACCAAAAAGACCCCAAAAAGAATGCATTAAGGAGGGCACAAAATGATACATCTGGGAGGATCTTTGGAGATAATGTAGTTCAGCCAGCTTATTTTAAAGATGTGGAGAGTAAAGTCCAGGTAGGGCAAGGGGCTTGTCCAAGGTCACATGGCCATTTAATTGCAGGCCCCATATAGGTTTGGTTCATACTGCATCCTCTGTAACCTGGAATCCTGCTTGGCACCTAGCAGGTGGTCAATAAACATTTGTTGAATAAGTGAATGAATAGAATGCAAATACACTATCTCTAGCTCAGGATTCCTTTAAATAATGTTCTCGTGATACTTGCTAAGAGTAAAATTAACATTACTTGGTTTAAGCTGGCAATTACTTTTCTTTACATACTCAGGCTAATACCTACCAGCTACAAATTGATTTCATTTTGTTGAAAATGTGAAGGCTTCTTGGAGACTTAGCCAGAGAAAATTTCTAATATTGAAGCATAATGTTTTGTAGTTTTCCCTTTACCATCTAAAAAGGACTTTCTTGTCCCATTGGACATTCCTCTTAATTGCTGAGTTTCCCAAAAAAAAGTGCCACCTAAAATTAACTAATATTATACCAATCCATTGACTGTAGTTATATTTAGCCTCAGGACTTGGAGATAAATTTTGACTGGTTGTTCACAAGGATAAAGGCAACATAACTAATAGCCACCATTTATTTGGCAACTATGATATGCCAGATATTCATTAAGCACTGTGTTACATTATCACCAATCTTCACAATAAAGATTAACAACTTTTACAGTATTGATTTTTCCCTTGCTGTCAAATAAGGCAGCCACTAGCCTTGTAAGAAGCTCTTTTTGGAGACTGACATTAGCAGTGATATGCTCATGGTCTGGCAAACATATAGGAGGATGCTATTCAGAGTTTTCAAACTTTGAAGAACTTATCTTGCAGATAAACTACTTCAAGTGTGCAGTGACATATCTCCAGAGATGTTTGTTGCAGAGATGTTTGTAAAAGCAAAAGATTGGAAACAAACATCCACAATGTCCATCAAGAGGGGTTGGCTAAAGGGTACATTCCATTAATGGAATCCCAGCAAGTCACTCAAAAGACTCAAAAGAATGAGGCAGATCTGTGGGTACTGGTATGTAAAAAAGTCCAAGATATAGGATCTGTAGAGTACAGTCACATTTTTATAAAAATACAATTATATAGAATATATACAGGAAGGGAGGTGGGAAGTAAAGATGGTATATTATTTGTGTAAAATAAAGACAGTTATGGAGAATATATATAGAAAGGAAGGAAGGAAGGGAGGGAGAAAATTCCTGGAAGGATGCATAAAATACTGAATATATGGGTAGTATAACTAGGGAGCCGGAGGTGGGAGGCAAAGAAAAGAGTGTTTCTTTTTTAACCTAAAAACCTTCTACACTGTTCATATTTTTAAACAATGTGCATGGATTAAATTTATAATTTTAAACTGAGTTATTTAAAAATAATAAGAATTTAGAGGGTATGTGACTTGTCATTAATATCCCTGGGGGCTGCAAAGAGACCACAAAGAAACCACCCAAGCTTATTTCTGCACTGATGCTCAGAAATTTTTAAGAAGTTGGCTGTTAGCATAATGTATACTGATACATGAAAGCTCAGGTTAATAACATGCTCAGAATAGACCAGGGATAGCAGCACTGAACACATTCAAAGTGGAGTTGGCCAAGCTGTTAGAGGAAAGATATTCCAGAGAGCAAATGTTGGGCAGATGGGTGGTGCAAGATGCTTCCCAAAATGTTACCAAGTCTCAAAAGGATACAGAAAAATGTAATATGTAACATGAATTCTTAATTTGCAAGAGGCCTCTTTTTCTCTTAAGGAAACATTCATTTCCAAATACTTTCTCCTGCCTTAGTGCTAATGTGTGAGCCATTAGATAGTAAGCTATACAGTCACAGAGTGATCCTAATGTTTACTGATTGCTTTCTCAGAGCCTGGCATTTTAGCCCTCACAACAACCTGATGAGATAGGATTTTCACAAATAAGTGAAGTGATAAAGTAGTAAAAACTTGTCTAAGGTCGCTTGGTGAGCAGGTGGGGGAGTCCTCCTTTGACCCTCCTACCTGCTAATAATGTATGTGCATTTCAGCATTCTAGAGAGGGGAGGGTCCCCTAGGCATCATCTTAGTCTACCAGTAGTGGCCAAGGTGAGCCTAGGACTCAGGTATCCATTCCCAGTGCGAGTTCTTTCACCCTAACCATCTTCCCCTTAGATCTTCCATATGTATATAGGTGTCTTGGACAATGTTGAGTGGAATTTAATTGAGGATATTACATGTCCAGTAATGTAACAGAACTCCAATAATGAGGTTCCTTTCTGAAACTGGCACTCCCCTAACCTGAATACTCCCTTTTATTTTTGCCCTTTTCCCATGTCCTTGAGCACCATCTGTTAATTCCATAGTCTATGAAAGGTGGGTTACTGAGGCACCACTTACTTTAACTTCATCTAAACCAAAAATATATGTGAAAGCAAAGGTTTGTTAGTTCTTTAGCTTTCTTCTAACATATATTTTGAAGTGCAACACTGATCATGTAACTCCTCTCTTTAAAACCATTTAATTTGTTCTTAGAATGAAGATAAATTCCTAGCCTCAGCTTATGAGGGGGCTCTGCAATTGGCTCTGGCCCTCTCTGCAATATCGGGAGCCATGCTGGTCTTCTTTTGTCTGCTCAAATGCACCAGCACCTTGGCTCTTAGCTTTTATAGACTTTGTACATGCTTTTACATCTGCTTGGAACATTCTTCCCCTGAGCATCTCCTTCACAGGAATCAGCTAAAAGACTGCTTCTTTGCAGAGGCTTTTTGCAAGCCCCTGGGTAGGCCTTTGAGACTCTTCTAACACTTGTACTTACTTGATCATGACATGTCTTCCCCAGAAGATTCTGGCCTCCAGAAGGGCAGGGACTACATTTATTACTCTGGGTTTAGTTGTCAGCAACCAGCCTGGCATGTGCTAGGTGCCCTATTAATAGTTGTTGGTTAAATAAACGAGAGGAGAGGAAAACCTATACAATACACATAAGAGCTTAGAAAGCCTAATAGTTTCACACATCTATGATTGCAGAGCTTCTCACTATTTTATACCCAGACATAATAACATATGTTTATAATGATGTCCCCAAGTTATCGACAAAGGCTCTGTTCAGTATGTTGCCAGAGAAGGTGGTACTGAAATTCACTGGAAAACTATTTCTGTTAAAATGTTCAAATGGAAAAATGTCTTCTTCCAATGGGAATACTAACTATCTGAAAAAAAAACAAAACATTTAGCAAAATACCTATTGATGCCAGATAAAATGTTACTGTATTTGAATTAATGTAAGCTGTATTTATAAATTTTTACATTGTATATGGGTAATTTTATTTTTCTCCATTTTATTCAGTCCCCAGGAGGTTCATGGATAAGAAAATAAATGAAGCCGGGTGTGGTGACTCATGCCTGTAATCCCAGCACTTCGGGAGGCTGAGGTGGGCAGATCACCTGAGGTCCTGCCTGGCCAACATGGTGAAACCCTGTCTCTACTAAAATAAAAATCAGCCAGGTGTGGTGGTGGGTTCCTGTAATCCCAGCTACTCGGGAGGCTGAGGCACTAGAATCACTTGAACCTGGGAGGAGGAGGTTGTAGTGAGCCAAGATCACACTACAGCACTCTAGTCTGGGTGACAGAGTGAGACTCTGTCTCAAAAAAAAAAAAAAAAAAAAAAAAGACTGGGCATGGTGGCTCACTCCTGTAATCCCAGGACTTTGGGAGGCCAAGGTGGGTGGATCACAAGGTCAGGAGATCGAGACCATCTTGGCCAACATGGTGAAACCCTGTCTCTACTAAAATACAAAAAAAACCCCAAAAAACAAAAACAAAAACAAAACATTAGCTGGGCGTGGTGGTGCCTGCCCGTAACCCCAGCTACTTGGGAGGCTGAGGCAGGAGAATCACTTGAACCCGGGAGGCGGAGGTTGCAATGAGCTGAGATCGCACCATTGTACTCCAGCCTAGTGACAGAGCAAGAGTCCATCTAAAAAAAAAAAAAAAAAGAAAGAAAATAAATGAACTTCTTTCTCCATTAGCTTGTCATTGCCATTTTCAAATGGCTTGCCCATAAATTCCAATATTTTTCTCAAAAAAAAGTGGTAAACTCTTCAGTCTTTTATTTTCTTACCTACTTCCTTTGTGTTCCAGAAAGCAAGTAGTATATTACCTTCATCTTCATCAAGTAAAGAGGTACATTGAGGCCTAGATGCTAAGTGATTTCCTTAATTTCACATAATTTATCAGTATTGACCCATCCACTACATCTGATGATGCAACAAATATTTAGTGATTGCCACCTTGGTGCCAGGCTCTGTTTTAGCTGCAGGGAATATAAGATAGGTAATGTCTCTATTTTAATGGAGCTCATGTTTTAGATGGGAGAAATAGAGAATAAACAAGAAAATAAATAAAAAAATTAATATCAAATAGTGACAAATACTATGATGAAAATAAAAGAAAAATGAAAAAGAGGGTATTAAACCCTCATCCTAACCCCAACCTAGGAACACCTACTTTAGTATGGTCAGGGAGGCGTCTAATGGTGATAACTAAGCTGAAATCTGAATTCTGAATGCTCATAAACCAGTCAAGGGAACATCTGGGGTAGATCATTCTAGGCAGAGGGGCAGCATGAAAAAGGTGGTTTTTTTTTTTGTTTTTTTGTTTTTTTTTGAGATGGAGTCTTGCTGTCTCCAGGCTGGAGTGCAGTGGCGCCATCTCAGCTCACTGCAACCTCCGCCTCCCGGGTTCAGGCAATTCTCCTGCCTCAGCCTCCTGAGTAGCTGGGACTACAGGTGCGTGCCACCACGCCCAGCTAATTTTTGTATTTTTAGTAGAGACGGGGTTTCACCCTGTCATGTTTCACAACCGTTTCATGTTGGCCAGGATGGTCTAGATCTCTTGACCTCGTGATCCTCCCGCCTTGGCCTCCCAAAGTGCTGGGATTTCAGGCGTAAGCCACTGTGCCCAGCCCTGAAAAAGGTTTTAAGGTGGGAGCAGACTTGGTGTGTGTGTTAGAGGAACAGCAAGGAGGCCAGGGTGGCTGGGATATAATGGGTGAGGTGGAGAGTGGTGGGCAATGAGTTTGGACCCATAGGAGAGAACCAGTTCATATTAGCATCCTGTAGGCCATGGCAAGGAGGATGGATTTTCTTCTGAATTTTTTTTCAGTGAGGATAAATACTGTGGCGTATAGGCAGAGGGTGACATGACATAATTTATTACTTTCACAATTCATTCCAGTGGCAGTGTAGGGAATGGATGACCTGGGGACAAAAGTGGAAGCAGGAAGCTCAGTAAGGACCATCAAATAGTACATGTGAGAGATGGCAGGGTCTTGGGCTAGGATGGTATCAGTGGAGGTAGGGAGCAGTGGATGGATTGCATATGTTTTTTGAAGTGAGACAGTAGGACTTGTCGACATAACAGATGTGGAGAGTAAAGCAAATAGAGTCAAAGATGATGCTTTTGCTTGAGCATATGAGATGATGGTGTCATTTACTGAGAGAAGACGGCAGGGGTGAAACTGGTGTATTTTTTATTATAAGGGAAAGGAATAAGGAATTCTATATTTGATATATTAATTTTGAGATGCCATGAGAGATGTCTGGCCAAGTGGAGATGTCAAGTAGGAAGGGATTAGATCTACAAGTCTGAAAGGCTACATTTGGAGCTGCAATATACCTTTGGGAGTCATCAGTGTGAGGATGGCATTTAAAACTTTGGAATTAGGTAATGCCACCAAGGAAGAATGCTATGGAGAAGTGGTGGCCATACCTCCCAAGCCTTCATTCTTAATTCTCACATCAACTGATGGACATAGTCATAGACCACAGAACAAGTTCACTCCTTCCGTTCCATTAAATGCAGCAAACATTGTCTTTTCTATATGAAAGGTGCCCTAAGATACAGAATCTACAAAAATAGATGACTAATATATGATGCCATCTTGTCAAGTTGCTAAAAAATTGTTAAGGAGAAGACAATTCTAATGGAAAATGTAGAATACGTTAAGGTATTTGCAAGGGACTGGGGAGGATCTTCAAAAGATAAATTTGGTAAGATAGGATGAGAACAGATCTTGGAGGGCCAAAGAATTATATTTTTCCTGCTTAGAGAACAGGGCAACATTGAAGATTTCTGATTTCCATGATCAGATTAACACCTTTCCTTCTGCATCCATGACTAATTCATCCTTCCATGTCTAGCTCAAATCTCACCTAGTCCACAAAGCATTGCCCATTCTCTGCTCACATACTCTTTTCATCTTTAAGTCCTCTTGCATTTATTTTCCAGCACTAATCCATTTAGCACTTGATACACTGACTCTTTCAGATGGTTTATGACAGGAACATCTTATTTTCTCAACTGGTCTGTAAATTCATTCTAGGCAGGATCTGACTTAAATCCATAGATCGGGCTCATGGCTAGGAACATAAGCCCTCAAATAATCCCTGTTGCGTTAAGTATCACCTCTTCAGGGAATTCTTCTTTGACCTAGATGAGGCTCTTTTGTTCTAGGCGCCTATAGAATCGTTTCCTTTAGCACACTGCTCAGTTTTAAACTATACACTCCATGTCACTATGTGAATTGGATCTGCTTTCCCATAGGATGTAAGTCCCCAAAGAGCAGAGACCATGTTTAGTTGTGCTTGCAGTTAGTGTTCCCAGTTTGGGTGCAACAAACAACTGCTAAAAATTAAATGAATACATGTGAGCTTAGGTGTTCAAAGGACGAAGGGGCTTTAGAACAGTGGCCTCAGGAATGGTCCAATTGTGTGCTTACAGCTTCTGAAAGAAGACTGAAATCCACAATGAAAAACTGCTACATGAGCGGGAGTGTCTTCTGATGAACTCCCTTCTGCTTACGGACAAACTACTTCCCAGAGGGTGGCTCTTCTATCTGAATGAGGCCCCTTAAAGGCTGATTTATCATCACTTAGGACACTCGAGTCCTCCCTATGGCATAGCTGAGTTGGAGGCAAAGCAGAGTGTTCCCAACTGTCAGGAAGAATAAGCATGCTGGCAGCAGCCTTGGATCCTCTAGGCAGATGGAGTGACATATGTGTATTTACATATATATATTTCCTAATCAATAGGTTCCAGCAAAAACATGAAAACTCAAGAGAATGATTGGAATTTAAGGGACTCTGAAGGAGTTTAATTCCTTAAAGAAAATTAGGGCCAGGTGCAGTAGCTCATACCTATAATCCCAGCACTTTGGGAGGCAGAGGTGGGCGGATCACTGGAGGTCTGGAGTTCAAGACCAGCCTGGCCGACACGTTGAAACCCTGTCTCTGCTAAAAATACAAAAATTAGCTGGGTGTGATGGTATGCACCTGTAGTCCCAGCTACAGGCAGGAGAATTGCTTGAACTGGGGAGGTGGAGGTTGCAGAGAGCTGAGATCGCACCATTGCACTCCAGTCTGGGCGACAGAGTGAGACTCCATCTCAAAAAAAGAAAAAGAAAAAAAAAAAAAAAAAAAGAAGAAGAAGAAAAAGGGAATCAGCGCAAATTTTTTTTTTCTTTTTTCTTTTTTTTTTTTTTTAGCTGCAGATGACTTTAGGAATAAAAACTAAGAGTACTCTTTGAATGATCAAACTTTCCCCACCAAATATGTAAATCTTCTGTTCCAAATTAGGTACTTCTAGCATTTCTTCTAAGAAATGTATTTCTGGGGCCAGCCAAAAGGAGCTTTGAAATCTTCTTACCATATTTTTGCCCCCCTGCCTGCTTCTGTGACTGTCTCCCTTCACTAGACACACTGGCCTACTTCTTCTGTTCCTCCAAAAGGCCGACCTTGCCATTGCTCTTTCCTCTGCCTGGAGTACCCCTCCTAACTTTTGAATGTCTGGGTCCTCATAATTTGGGTCTCAGCACAATGCCCTTTTCGAAGGGGGTTTTCTGACCCCAGTGAATAGATATACACTGCCAGTCACTCTGTCACTGTGGAGTCCCTGGCTCATGGAAGAACACTTGGCACATAGCAGGTGTCAGCAAATACCTGTTCATGAATAAATAGGTTAAGAAAAGCCAACTATGCCCCAGCAGAATCTGATAACCTGTCTGCGGTTTGAGCTACGTGTACTGGAGACAACAGAAATGATGACTTGAAGATTTAGCCTAGCACTTACTGCTTCTGATTCTTGTTTTGTTCATGTATGTGATCATCTTCAAGGAACATGGTTTGCAATTTTATCCACCACAGAACCACGTTTTGCTCCTGTCATTCATGTGAAGCTGACCTTGTCACACACTGCTTGTTACCCACAACCTCCATTTTTCCTCCTTTCTTAATTACAGAAGCCCAAACTTTGGGACAATGTGTCCAGTTAAAAATAAACACGCTCCTCTCCGCAAGCTTTCTTAGTTACAGCAGGTAGCCATGTCTCCTAGTTCTGGCCGCTGCATAGCAGAAGTTGGTTGAGGCTTCGGGAAAGCTATCACTTTCTCGATAAAAAGGTACAAACTCAGCTGCTGTGTCCTTTGTCCTTTGACCTTCTACCCTTCTCCCTGTCTGGAATGCAGACACGATACTGGAGGTAAAACAGTCGTCCTATGTAGCAGGTGCTGTCAGTGCTCTGCCCATTATTCGTTGACAGTCACCATTCTATTTACCACAGGCTTCCTGTTGAAAACTCCTTTTCTCTACCCGAGGCCTTTTGCTAGCTACAGAATCATGCTGAGCCTGTAGAATGCAGTCTGAAAGTGGGGGTTAGTGACCCTGGGAGCAGCCTTTAACTAATGACAGATGGTAGTTGGTGGATAAATATCCCAGCTCTTTGGCCTTGAGGTGGGACAACTGAGGCATGAGCTACATACACCTGGGGCAGAGAGAGCTCCCTGAGGTCCCCAGCGGGACTGAACACTGGTTGCCCACAGCAGTAACCCACTCATTAACACATCCTGTGTAGGCTTTCTTACTTTGCCTGTCTCACTTCCCCATTTCCCTACCTTCCTGGGATCACTTCCCAAATAAACTATTTGCATGTGAATCCGTTTCTCAGGAGCTCCTTCTGGGGGAACCCAAACTAAGACATCTTGTGACCTTGAGGATGAAAGCCACATGCTAAGGATAGAGAGCAGTCTAGAAAGAGCCGAGTCCCTGATGCCAGTTCTTAAGCCCCTGCACCAGCCTTGGACTGCCTATCTCTGGATTTGAGAAAAATAAATCTCTTAGCTATTATGATAAGCCACCACGATCAGGTTTCTATGGCATGCAGCCAAATGCAATTCTCAGAGGTGTGGAGGAATTTTTAGTTGACCACAAATGCAAATATAGTCATCAGTTGGACAAGGCTACTAACAAAGCTGACGCCGGCTCATGACTAGCCCCTTACAGTGTGGTAGATCAGAGCTATCAGTGTTTGCTTATCGGTTGCTATATTTAATCCTTGTGTTAATTCTGTGAGGTAGGCATTATCAATTCTATTTTACTGAAGCCGAGAAAGGCTGAAGCCCTTGTCCATGGTTACAAGGCTAGGGGTGAAATCAGGATTTAAAGTCCAGCAATCTTTTGCCATAGGGATATAAAGGCTAGATTTTCATTCTAAGGAGTCTGTGGCATTTAAGTAATGAGTCACACCTCCCATCTGTTGCCTTTGCGTTCTCCTAACACCTTGTGCTTTTCCATGCCTGTTAACCATCACCACTCTTCACCCTGATGGGACTGCAGACTTTTGCTTCTACCAGAGCTAAACCTCCTGCCCGCCAAATCTCACCATAAACTACACACTATAATCACAAGCTCTTTAAAAATGTACCAAATCTTCTCATCTCTTTTTCTCAAGCTCTTGCCTTTGCCAAAAATGCTTTACTTCAGAAGAGTAAACTGCTGTATTTGGGCCCAGGGAGGATAGTCTGGTATCTGCAGGCCCGTTGTGGGCAGGATACCCATCTCAGTGTAGCTCATAGCACTGAAAACATACACAGTGCTTAGGTGTAAATATTTGTAAAGTTAAAGTGGATTCCAGCCACACTAGAATCCAAGTTGAATTCAAATTTACTCCTATGCTGGGGGCTGTGGCTCATGATTGTAATCCCAGCATTTCGGGAGGTCCAGGCAGGAGGATTACTTGAGATCAGGAGATAGAAACCAGTCTGGGCAACATAACGAGACCCATCTCTACACACACACACACACATAAAATTAGCCACGTGCGTTAGCGTGCACCTATAATCCTAGCTACTCAGGAGGCTGAGGCAGAACTGCTGAGCCCAGGTTGAGACTGCAGTGAGCCATGATCATGCCATCATACTCTGGCCTGGGCGACAGAGTGAGACTACCCTCTCCCCAAAAAATTACCCATTTAAAATCATTAACGTCAAGTTCCATCAAACATACAAATTTCGTCAAACATACAAATGAAACATACACTATAGAAAATTTCAAATAGACTATATACTCCATTGAACGTTTAATAAATTATATTCAAGTATGACTTTCTTTAAAAAAGAGACAAAATTATAATGCAAGTATTTATTAAAATGCTGACAATTTAAACATCCTCTGAATTATATGAAATACTTATTTACTTTTGTGAAATGCGTTAGTGAAAATCTAGGAGTTTCTATGTAAGGCTGAGCATTTTCAACATTCCTGGCCTAGATGAGAAAAGAATGCATTCTCTTACTGGTACTCAGGAAATATTTATACAATACACTTGGGTTCTACTTGCTGGTGTGTGGAGACTAGGCTAGCACCCATGACTGGCTGGGCTCTAGAAAACAAGCATGCAGTGCTCCTGTGCCATCTGGGACCCAAGAGACAAAAGTCTGATCTAGGGTGAAGCTACATGCAGAGGGTGAAGAGGACTATACCAACAGCCTCACTTGTCTGGAGGAGCAAAAGGAAAGCCGTGCACAGATATTGCTTTGACCTTAAAATATTTGTTAAGTGAGGCAAGAAAGAAGCCAGGAGTCTTCTCACAACCGTTCCAGGTCAGCAATTTCTAAGATATTTCTATCAAGGTAATTGGTAGAAAATATAAATGCGTGCTGGCCCTGACTCAAGAATTAAACCATCGTAACATATACATACACAATTTGGAGGACAGGCAGTTATCAAACAGTCTATAAACTCAAGTGGGGCATCAGCTCAATTAATACCTGTCTATCTGGCTTCAGCTGGTAAGGAATCATAAAGATGTTCAAATTTTGATTTTTGGTGAATGTATTTCACAAAGCTACCATTTCATAAGGACAATAAGGTTCACTATATCACAATACACGACAAAATTTACAAATGAGATGACAGCTATTTTAAATACATTTTGTAAAGGCATTTTCCACTAACTATAAAATCCAGTGAGACAAAAAGATAATTACACTATAGTTACCATCAAGACTTTTAGACTGTAGTTGAAGTTCAAAAGGTTGATTTAAAAAAAAGATAACATGAGGCTTAATTATATATGAAGAGTATTTGATTAGATACAGAAAACATTAGTAAGTGTGGTTTTCTTCCTCTTGAAAACTAGCTTTACGAAGTAATACCAACTCCAATTAAATTTTGACCTACTTTAATTCCTCATCAATGGCACCATAAGCTGGTACACTCAAAGTAAACCAGTTACTTTGGCCACCAAATTAGGCCACCTCTGTTTCTAAAATAACTAGGATACAACGGAGTAGCATGCATTTAGTTACTATACAGTATCGTGCAAACTTACAGACTTTAAAAACATTTCCTCCATTTTTCCAAAGTTCTGTTTCTTAGGACTTTGATTTTAAACATGTCTACCTTAGGGTTCTAAATAATAATGTCTCCTATGAGAACATGTGGGGTAAAACCATTCTCTAATTTGACAAGCTATATTCTAAAAGATTACTGCAAACCTGCTATGTTAGGACAGGGTTGAAAGTACTATCTGAAATCTGAGGGATGTTTAGAGGACTGACCCCCAGACAAGGGATTTAAAATGTTTTTTGGCCAGGCACAGTGGCTCATGCCTGTAATCTCAACACTTTGGGAGGTAAGGCAGGAGGATCATTTGAAGCCACAAGTACAAGGTCAGCCTGGGCAACAAAGTGAGACCCCCATCTCTACAAAAAATAAAAAAAAATTAGCCAGGAAAGGTGGTGCACACCTGTAGTCCTAGCTGCTTGGGAGGCTGAAGCAGGACGATCGCTTGACCCCAGGAGTTGGAGGCTGCAGTGAGCTATGATCTTGCCACTGCACTCCAGTCTCAGTGGACAGAAAAAAAATTTAATTTTTCCAGAGAAAAGGGAAGGGAAAAAGTGTTCCATAATCTAGGATATGTTCAAGAGCCTTTGCTCTTATAGTCAAATATATAAAAACAATTTTCCTTAAAGAAATACCAGTCTATGAGCCAAGGCAAGCTTTGGCTAAATGATTGGTTAGCTTTTATTTGGCTCTAGAGGTTTCCATGGAAACAGCCTGAGAGACAGAAAAGGCAGCATTATCATCTTTATCCATGATGCCATCTGATAAAACTGCACATTGATTCATTCATGCTATTCAGAGCAGATGTATTACTTCTGATAAGCCTGGACAAAGGGAGGCATGAGTTTTATCCCGTCACGCTTTGAATTTCCTGTCTTCCCCTGTTTGAAACCTTAAATTAAAATCCTGATAAAACCTCCTCTGAACATTTCCCTCAGGAGCCTCTAGCTGAAGTAATGCTTCAATAATCAGAAGTCATATGAAGAAACGTGAAGCCCCAAATGGAGCTCCACTGCCAAGTTCTTAAAATTATATGGCACCACGCTTCCTGTAGCTGAAGAAATTGTTCTGAAGAGTATTTACAATTCCATTATATCAGATCTCAGCCAGGCAAGAAATGTCATCATAAGTGTTTATTATATACAGTTGAAGCAGGTGGCATCATCCATCATTTTTCTTCCTCTTGATGTCTAGATCAGTTGTGTGTGTATTTTAATATAGTAACACACCCTCACAATTATCTAATCTTATTTCAGGTTAGTGCTTCTTGGAAAGGCTACAAAAGCAGCCATAGCTCAGAATTATGTATCTGAAGTAAACAAAAATAAAAACCTCAACAACAAAATATTAACCAAACAAACAAGATAAAGACGCATGCAACCTATAGCACCATACCTAAGACCACAAAGGGCAGGAGGGTTGACAGAGGTCTTAAGAGGAATCCAGTTTTGGGTTTTCTCCTAGGATGAGATCCCAAATATAGAACCTATTTGTAGAGTCCAATACTTTTAAAAAGGGAAAGCCTGAGAAATTCTGTTAACAGAAATATGAAAATCCATGATTTTCCAGAAGACAGATGATTTGACACTGTTCTTATTCTAAAAGCATCAAAGACGTTATACCTTAGAAATAAACTGCTCACTTTGGAAGATCAGTTAGGCAATCCCTGCCAACCTCAATGAACTAAAATGATATCTCAGTAAGTTAAAAATATGATACACCCCCACCAAGGACCAATTTACTCATGGAAAGTAGTTTACAGAGCAGTTAGCTCTCTGACATCTGTATAACCCTACAGACATGTGCTACATTGAAAAGATTCAATCTTGCACATATCATTATATGCTCCACATGGCAAAACATCTGAAAAACACTCAGATGTTTTTCAAAAACCTCTGTGCATTATGACATTGGTGTGGAAATTTAGATCTCAGCTTAATCCTTTCCAAAAGAAGCGAGTAAAAGTCCCGGGAAAGGTTTACTTAGAGATGAGTGAAGATTCTGGTAATTTAAAGGTGATGGGTTAAGAAGCTATAGAGCTAGAAACAACTTCAGATCTCACCTAATCCCTCATCTTATTGACGGAAAAACTGAAGTCCCAAGATAAGTATCAGATCCAACCAATGGAAGAACTGTGACCAGAAGAGAAACCATGGGACTCTTAGTTCAGTGCTTTTCCCCATCATGTTTATCTGGGGCTCCTTTAAATCTTAGCATGCATAATTTAATAAAGCTCTAAGGAAAATGACTGAAAAGTATCAGAGAGGAAAAATGCTGCCTTCTAATGAAGACTTTGGCAATTCACGTTCTGATGTGCTTAATATTAACAAACGGAAAACCCCAGTCATCTTTTGGCAAAAATGTTACTTCTTCTAAGAAACAGGTTCCTTTTCTGAGAGCGAGCTGATTTTGTAGGTACTGGGTTACAGCATTGTAGGTTACAGCTGACAGTTTTCATATGCCCCATCTTTGTAGTTACAGTTAGATTCTGCAGATCCTATATCATCAGGTGGACTGAAATGACTGCTGCCTTGAGACTCTGTATCAATACTTTTGGTTTCTGACTGAAGGTGGACAGAAACCTGAACTGCTATTTCCTGGCCTTGTTCATTCAGAGAGCCATCATCTGAATCTCCTCCTGGTGAATTACTCCGTCCCATCTCTGGGTTAATGACATAGATGCCACCTTGAGCATTCAAGGCAGGTCTCTCTTTAATTCTTTCACCCAGGTCATCAGGGTCGTCCACTCGCACAGCCTCAAACATCTCCTCAACAAAGGCTCGACAGTTTAGAATAAGAGGTGGAAGAGGGACACTTCTTGCCAGTTCTTCAATATAACGAGCAAACTCCATGGTCTTAAATTGTGTGACTTTGGCGAGCTCCAGAGTTTTGGCTGAGGTAATGATGGGGATACGTTTTGCAATCTCAAAGGCCTTCTGAAGTTTCTCAGCCCCTTCAGTTCTAAAGAACTCATTGATAGCCTTCTCAGTCTTGCGAAGATGGCTGCTCATCATGCACAGCCGTGTGACATTCAAGATGAGTGTGATTGTAAAGGCAATCAGGCAAACAATCATGTAATAGACACTCATGTCTCCCGAGGTGAAGATAACACGTAGGGTGACAGAGTAGGAGGCACGAATTGGAGAGGTGACGAAACAGGTATAGAGCCCACGGTCATCAAAAGCTACATTGGTGATGTTTAGGAAGTTATCAGAAACCAACCACTTTCCACCTGATAATTGAACAGAAATGAAAAAAAAATTATAGCAAAAAGATTACTAAATATGCCCGCTGCCTTATCCATATTCCACCTCTTTATCAAAGTACTTTAACTTAGCTGATTTGTTAGATTCTACCATTTGTTTAAATCATGTAAAAAAAGGGCAGACTGTGAGGTCCAGAGTCAGAATTTAATTAGCTTGGATCTTAAAAGGAAATCAAGATCTTCCTTCATGACACTAATAATTAACATAGCTTCCTTTTCACTGCTAGACTTCAAAAGCCTTTCTGTGAAACAGGTATGTCTATAAAATGCTAAATGACTAATCATAAAAAAAGCTTATAGTTTATACATATGTGTCCGTCTACATCACATTGCAACCAATACATTTTCATATACTATGAGGGTATGTCTCAGAAATATAAAACAATGGTTTAAAATAACAGTATTTTAAATTTTTATGAGTAATTTTTATTTTCTTCTAACTGTGTTTGCTCACTTTCCATAGTGAAATTATATAACAAGAAGAAATTATTTTAAAAAATCCTAGCAATTTAATGCATTTGTTGAAGTAACTGCCTAATCTGGTATGCCTTGCACATATCAATTTTTTGTTGTTGTTGTTAAGAAACTTTTGTTGATTTTCTGGCAAGAGTAACTGAAGCACAGGCCAAAAAATACATCTCACAAGTCATGGTAAATGAAAAGCTTGGCAAAAAGAATAAAGTTGCCCTTAAGATGCCTATGCTTCCATTTTCAACCTAAAACATACTGCCTCTCTTCCACACGTGAAGGTATTTTCATTCAGGGAACACGTATATAGAAGTATACAAGTGTAAGAAAAGCAAAGCATATTGACTACGCATCTTGATTCACATCCTTCAATAACTTGGCTCTGACTGCATAATTCCTACTTTTGTGATACATTCCCAAAGCACTCTGTGCTTTAACTATGAAAGCCATTCAGAGATGGGAAGGATGGGCTAACCTGCAGTGTGGGGATGCATTCCAATGACTAGAGGAGGTGTCCCAGAGGAGGTTAGCGGACTGCTTGTTAAGCATTACTTGAGTGCCCAATCTTCAAAATCTCTTTCATCCCCAAGATTCTATGGTTCTGGATTATTTTAGTGGCACATAAATTAGTAAGCACTCTGGATTTTGTCCATTTTCATCATCATCCAAACTTATCTCAATCCTATAGGTATTAATATATTTAAAAGCCATCACTTCACTAATACAAAAAGAGGAAAACATGTAGTTATGAATATAGCCATTTTCCATAAGCTTCTGTTCTATGAACTTAGAGCTATGAAAACGACACCACTTGAATCCAAGGTATGATGAACTACAAAGACTCCATTCATCAACCATTGCACTACAACCACAATCTAAACTCTCTAGCTCACTTGCTGATAATAGCTCAAGATTTATGAACCTTATACTAGACTGACATGCTCTTTAAACTCCTCTCACTTGAGATTCATAAAATTTAATACAATTTTCCAGAGCTGCTGCTGAAAGCATCAATGATAGATGTTAGTGGTTTTCAAAGTAAAGGCAAAATAGAAAAATAAAACTGCCATTCCACTTGGCTGGTCTTGTTTTAACCTAAGGCTTTGTTTATGCAGTCAGTCTACAGTGATGACACTGAATGAATAATTCAGATCTCAGAGGTGTTTGGTCAGGATATCGTAGAGCCCAGAGAAGATAGGAGTCTGGTTCAGTGGGTTCAAATATGGAACCCCAAATCATGTTCAAAGTACACATTCCAGGTATCACTCTAATTCAATAGTTATGTATTTTAAACATGCTGATTAAAAATACCCTAACAATTCAAACTCTTCAATCCCTTGGTGACTAGTCACTCAGTCTATAGATTAAAATAGTGCATATGTCTGAAGGAAGTATCACCTGTCTCCTTTTGTGTTTTCCAGCCTAATATGAATAACCAATATCCTTTTCTATTTCAGAAGGCTACACTATCTTCCTAACAAAAAAATTTCTGAAAGTGTAGCTTGTGAGGATCTTAGAATTTAAGCTTCATCCCTTTGGCTTTTCATGGTGATTTCTTTTTGAGGTCCATTATAACTCAAGTACTCATCAAAAAGATCTTTATAACAGAACACTGGTTAGGAGTAGTCTGGATTAAGATATATTCACAGATCCATGAATAGGAAAATTAAATAAAAATCTGTCAAAAAGTAGACCTTGAACACACTATGTTTATGTGATTTTTAAGACATAAACAAAAAATGCAAAAAAAAATTTCTCATTTCCAGTAAATTAAGGTATAGAATACAAAAAAAAAAAAAAAAAAAAAAGAGCTGGAAGGGCTTACAAGTTCCATAGTGCCCTTCTAATTCTCTGAGACCTGACGTCAAAGTTTTATGCACAGATTGATACTCATTTTCAAAAATGTCCTGGATTTCCTCTAAAGTTTATAGTAACTAATTTCAGAGCAAAACTTTTTTATTTATAACAAATTTTCTTAAGTCTAGCCAAAAACCTTCTGGATGTATTCACACAGGGCCACCACACTGTACTACTGACATAGTAGTCTAGGTGAAGGGTGCTCCCAGAGTTGTGTTGTATACCACCTGTACAGCTGTATGCAGCAGCCCTGATTTACTCTACCTTCAATGAAGAAGAAAACCAACTGATCAGGAGAGAAAATAGCTCATTGTCATCATGTGAACATCTTTTAAATTTAGAATGATTCTTTTTTTTCTTCTTCTGGTTAAACAATTATAATTACTTTGCATTTTCTGATAGGTACAACACTCCAGACCTTTCAAATGTTTTAAACTATTCACCTTGGCACCTTATCTTTGAGACTTTTTGTTTAACGTGTTAAAAAATAAGAAGACAGAACAGGAAATGAGTAACCTTGATTAATTATACCCTGACCAATTACCTCTGCTTCTGCCATCCAGTTGCTGTCCTTTTGAATTGTGCCAATGGACATCTTCATAGTGACTGGCTGTGAGAAGACACTCAATTGAAACGCTAGTTCCCTCTTTGGCTATGATGACATCATCATCCGAGTGGGAACTTGCTGAGAGTTCAAAGCTTGAGGGAAAGGATGCATTGTAAGAACTACGATTTGCTTCCAGTGAAACCATTTGGTCGAAGTCCACATCTTCCAAAACAAAAGCAGCTGGCACAATAATACTTGCCACTAAAGTGAATAAGCAACAATGTAGCTTCATGGGAAAATGGGACAAAATCTTGTTTAGATTTGGAGAACTCAAAAACTTCTACACTACAACAAAAGCACAGCGGGTAATTTATTGCTTGGTAGAGAAATTTTCCAAACAAGTGGTAGATCCAGTTATATTTTCTAGTCTTCAAGATTAAAAGATGTGAGTAGAGAACCTAAAAGAAAGCCAGATACAAAGTTTAACCAACTGAGATTCATAATGGGGTGAAAGTGCGTATGTTCCAGAATGAATAGATGTTAATTAGAATAATTGGTGCTGACATTGGGGAGTAATTAGATGGAACAGTACCTAAAAATCTCACACAGAGACAGCAGAAAAAGCAATGAATTGGTAAATAGCAGACCTAGATTTTGGTCCTAGCTTTGCCACTAACTAGCTGTACGACCTTGGCAAGCAGCATTCTCTCTGGGTTTCTGTTTTCTCCTCTGTCAAATAAGGGACTGGATGAGATAATCTCTAAGGACTCTTCCAATTCTGAAATGCCATGATTCTATTTCATTCTGACAAATTTTATGCAACAGGGAGCCAATGAAGGCTAAAATATTTATCTTAATGATCTTTTATTTCAACCTGCACCATTACCATCTGTTGTTATAATGTAAATCAACTGGCATATCATAATCATAACCATGGAGCTCAAAATTTGAGTAATTCAAGTATGAAGATATGTTACATATAAATAATGCAGGGACACCTGAGGTGGGTTGTTTTAACACTGGAAAGAAAGCTGCACTTACTGCATACACATAAATAGAGTTATTGACTTCTAAAGCTATGGAACCTCCTTCATGGGCAAGAACATTAGACAACAGAATTTTCTTTTAATAGTTTCTCCAATACGAAGAGACAAAGTACAGTGTATTTAATAGTTTGTAAGCATACCAAATTTCTAGCTCAAACTCTGTAAACTAGCTAAGGGAGGAACTGACATCTTAAGTGTCTAGTTAGTAGAAATGCAAATATAAAACTACAGGGACAGATTGTTAGACACATTTAAAAGAAGAGCAAAATATCTTGAATAAAAGGCAAAATAACATCCTAGTCCAAAAGTCTATGTATTTATGATCACCTTCCTGGTAATTTGACTCCCCCTTTAAGCCACCAACTCTCAAAGAAAAAATTCAACTTTTATTTCTATAAAATATGGGATGAAATGCCTAGCTTTATGTCTTATAAAGCACCAAGATAATTAGTTTTGGAAATGACATTTACTCTCCTTTATATTTATATGAAGGCTGCTTGATCACAGAACATAAAAAACAATGAATCACTGTATTTTGCCATTAAATATCTCAAAGTCTAAATTACAATACGGTGCAAATGTCATTTAATTTTCATTAATTAACCCTTGAAAGGATGGTTGAATGGTGACAAATACTTTTCTAAATCTTTACAATTTAAGGATGGGGTATACAGAGTAAAATAAAAAACCTTCAGACTTTGGCAATACATGACACACTAAACGTGTTTATTTCCATTTCCTCCTAAAACCGCACAAAAAGGACACTAAAGGAAACAAAGACTTAGGCAGAGAGGGGATTTTGGAAGTAATATAATCTAATTGATTCAGTGCACAGTGATTTGCTTCTTACGACATGCTACAAGTTAGTAGGAGAATCTAGTTTGGAATACAGTCTCTTTTTTAAGAGGGGGTGATGGGTAGAAACAATGGAAATAACATTTATTGAATGACTGCCATCAGCCAAGCACTGTGCTAGGGGCTTGACATGTAAGTTTCCAAGCTCTTTTTCACTGCAAGATATACAGCAATTGGAGGACATAATTTTGTACTTTATTCTAGATTAGTGGTTCTCAACGGTGACAGGCTATGAGTGTGCTGAAAAAATGCTCCAGGCTTTCTCCAGAACTTTGATTAGGAGTTCCTATAGCTTCATCCAGGGCAGCACTTCCCAAACTTCATTCATTCCTTCTCCTGTCTTTTTTGTTGTTGTTGTTTTTACTATATCCATGAACCAAATTATCGTCATTTCTGCTTTTCTTTTAAATCAACTCATTTTATTTTTACTTTCACATTTATTTAAAAAGGAAACTCTACATCAGTTCTGTGGACAAATGTAACCGTACACATAAACATAATGAAAACAAAGAAGTGTTATTAGCTTCCAGAGATACTACTGCCTGCTGAAAGGCTTTGAGCTGGAGGCTTGCTCTCTCTGTAGTAAAACCAAAACCAAAACAAAAAGCCCCCCACAACTCCAGTTTATTTTAATGCCACCTCATTTCTTAACCTGCCATCTCCTTCCTTTCTACTCTTCCCCACCACTGAGTTTGAGATCGGAGGGATACATTTTCATATACTGAACAGTATCTATTGAGCACCTACCATGTGCCTACCTACTGCCCCATAGACATTGTCTCGGCCTCCACGAAGTTCAGTCTGGCAGATGATGGACACTAACTACATATATACAAAATAAACTCAATGTTACCCAAGGGAAAATACAGATGCTACAGGAGGACCCAACATGGGGAGTTAATCTCATCATGGAAAGCCTCTGAGAAAAAGAGGTGTGCAGCACCTATTCTTCAGGTGCAGGACCTGAAGAATAAAGAGGAATAAAAATTGGGAGGAAAGCACTCAAGGTAGAGGGCCAGGAGACAGGGAAAAATGAGAGGGGTCACTGGTCAGGAGTTGTTCACAAAAAACAGCTAAAAAATTGTGGTAAAGACAGGCAGTGGCCAAAAATGCTGCGTCTGATTCCTGATTCTGGAGGAGAACTAACTGGGCCAATGGTGAAACTGGAGATAGACTCCGGAAGCTGCAGTGGCTGAAGTGAGTGAGGGAGATATTCGTCCATGATGAAGACGTCAAACAACTGAGAGGCTCAAACGTGGGCAGATCACCTGGGGGTATGGTCACATCCCCCCAGGATCAAAGTAGCTAGTGTAGAAGAAACTGGAAAGAAAGGAAATGGATTCGGTCTTCCTGCTCTGAGATTCAGGAACTTCAGCAGAATGAACAGCTGTCACAGGCGAGGGCTGCAGGGCAATGAGTGTCCTCACCAACACAAGGCTTGGCAAAGCATAACTCCCACATGGAATTCTGCCTTCCCGCAAACTTCCTGAACCTCCTATCAAGGCCTTAGCTATTCCTCCTACATAAATTCAGAGTATAGCTGTATAAAGGATGGCTTCTCCTTCACCCCAGAGCCCTCCCCACCTACCGTACTCATCTGGCGCTGGTATATGCTGCTCTGTACTGCTAGGCAGTCTATCCCATCTCAACTACCCCTTAAGAACAAGGCCTATATTTTTTATTGCTGTACGTCATAACTAGCACATGCTCAATAAATATTGATGGAGATTAGTTTAAATTTGATTCAGTATGTGACAGATCTTTATAAATTGAATAATGTTATGCAACAGGGATTATAATTGTTCAAACTGACATACAGTTGCCTATTATAAATTCTCTGAAACAAAAACAGTCAATGCTAACAATCTTGGAAGACCTTAAAAGTACCTAATTAAATGCATTCTTCCGACTCCCAACCTGATACCTTCATTTACCATGTTGTCCTAGAGGATAATGGTAGGAATAAAAGATCACCAAGTGCAGTTTCCAAACCAGGTTGAATATCACAACTGTCAGGAGAGCTTTTTAAAAATATGGATTCCCAGGTCCCAACCCAGAACGAGTAAGAAACTCTGTGTTTGCGCCTTGGAATTTATGACTTTTAATTGGCTCCCTGGGTGTTTCTGAGGCATTGGATTCATGTACTGCATCTAAGGGCCACTAATACAGTTCCTCAATTTCCTCTGCAACTGACCTGCAGAATGGTGCTTCAGGCTATTTGAATATTTCCAATGAGAGATATAATCACTCACATTCCATTCTAGATTTAGATTACTCTAGATCAGCAAAATTGAAGGTCTCTAATAAGAGCAGGGTAGCAGAGAGGTTCAGAGTATAGGATTCAAATACGATCTGTGACTCTAACCAGCCTTGCAACTTTTATAAATGACTTAATCTCCCTGCCTCAGCCCCTCATCTTTAAAATGGGCAAAATAACAGAATCTATTCTCACAGGATTATTGCAAAGTCTGAATGAGGTAGTATACATAAAACACAGAGTCTGGCAATGGTAATCACTGAATAAGCTCTATTATTATTGTTCATGGTTCTTTCAGATATTGAACTAAAATTTACATTTGATAGTTACATCATTATAAAACACTCAGAATACCATGCAACCATTTAAAAATCTTGGGGGTTGGGGGGAAGGGGACACCATTATGCAGTTTTAATCTTAAATTTAAAATTTCACATTTTTCTTTTTCTCATTGCAAATATTTTGCAATATTATGGAGCATATAGGCATTGTAAACTGAGCTTGGATCCCAACCATGATATGACATTGTATGTGTCCTCAGTTTGTGGTAGAGAAGATTTGTCGTGATCTACTTACCCAACGGCTCCCCTCTTTGAGCCCTATCCCTATCTTCTTGGGTCTAGGAGGAAGACAACCTATTGGCAAAGTAAGCTAATAGAATCTTTGTTCTTGGAACTTGGAATTGAGACCCTTGTGGGTCAGGGTCATTTGAGGAAAAGGAGGCATGTGGGGGCTGAGGCAGTCAGGTTTGGGCCACATACAAGGAGAAGCTGTAAGAAAGGACAAGAGGGATGGGGAAGGGAGAGAGTGGGAAGACAGGAAGAGGAGCAGGAGAAAGACAAAGAGAGACTCATACATGGTGCTTTGGTGCCTGATAGAATTCTACTTCCTGGCACTCCTGTGACCCTTTTTTTTTTTTAAAAAAAGAAACAACTTTATTAAATTTTACTCAAAATTAAAACCACAAAAGTGAAGATGAATGTGCAAACACGTAATAAATGCGGAAATGGTTAGGCAGGAGAAAAAAGATTAAGTTCACAAAAAGTTATTGAACTGTGTCTGTGGCTGCCAGGCAATCTTCATCATAGATCTCTAGTCTCTTCCTTACACAGTGGAGTGTGGCAAGCAAACTGCCCATGTGGCCAAGATTTGTGGTTCTTGTGTTGTACAGACATAGCCATTTGCCTCTACCTACCAGACAGGATTTAGGAAAACACTATAAACTCCCTTAAACTGCTCTTAGGCCAAACATGGCAGAAGAAACCTGGCACACTGATTTTGAGCCACAAGAGAAAGAGGCTGCACAATAGCCTTACACATCCAGTTAATACTGGGCACTTCACTCATACCATGTACATCCTGAACACAGAGGACTTCTGATTTGAAAGACTAACGGATATAACCCATTTGCAGGTAACAGGCTGTTCAGCAGCTGTGAGAGAAAACACTGGCAAAGATACGTGTCCAAGAAGGTGACAAAGCAGAAAAAAATAGTGAGGGAAGAACAAATCATCCTTGGTATCAGGGTACTATTATTTCCTCACACTAAGTCTCCTTTTTGCTAAGTCAGCTTGAATGGGTTTCTGCTACTTGCAGCACAAACTGCATTGACTATGACCATTCTGCTCATTCTAGACTAATGACTTTAAAACTACAGCTCAGCTAGGTCAAGGATCCATCGTGGAAGATGAAGTACAGTAGGTGGTGCAAGAGTTGCTAAGGAGAATTAGGACACTGTCCTAGACCCTCAGGAATTTACAAACCAGCTTGAAAGACAGCCCAGAAACAGCCAACTGTATCTAAGACAATGTGACTGAAATGTAATTATATTGTGAATGCAACAGAGAAAAGACAAATGTGTCAGTTCTAGGAATGCAATTCACTTATATGTTTGGGACTTCCTATAATATTAGGCCTGCATGCTTTGAACATATGATCCTTTATACTATAGTTATTTTACTTTCATTTCCAATCCTTTAATTTTTCCTCACATATACAGCCTCAGATGCAGAATTGTTCACCAAATCAGTTAAGTGGGCTGAGGTCATTAAGGCAGGTATATTAGATGCCATGGGAGACACAAGAGTACGTGCATTTGTATTTGGAAAAAAAAATATATATATATATATTATGCCTGCTGTTTTTAATGTAGCAGCTGACATTTGAAACCCAAGAACAGATTTCAAAAAGGAAAACCAAAGTGTCACCTTCTTCTTATCAGTTAAAAAGGGCTATACTATGTTTGTGGATGAAGTTACTTGATAAAATTTTTTATTACCTTTCCTTTTTGTGTGTGTGTGTGTGTGTGACGGAGTTTCGCTCTTGTTGCCCAGGCTGGAGCGCAATGGTGAGATCTCGGCTCACTGCAACCTCCACCCCCCAGGTTCAAGCGATTCTCCCACCTCAGCCTCGCAAGTAACTGGGATTACAGGCATGCACCACCACGCCTGGCTAATTTTTTGTATTTTTAGTAGAGACGGGGTTTCTCCATGTTGGACAGGCTGATCTTGAACTCCCAACCTCAGGTGATCTGGCTGCCTCGGCCTCCCAAAGTGCTGGGATTACAGGCGTGAGCCACCGCGCCCAGCCTATATTACCTTTCTTCAGCATTAATAAATAAAAATGTAATAGATAAGTGTAAGACTCAAGTTTAATCCAACTCCTTTTTCATCTTTCAGGTATACAGAATGTAAGCTTTGCTAGGATCATAAAGAATCAGAAATGTGGATGATTTTACCCCAGAAAACCATGTTGAATATTGACTATATTATTTTTAAAAAAGAGAAGAGCCTATAGCTGTCACCCCTAACAGATTGTCTTGTTGCCGTTCCTGCCAACTTCTGAGGGAAGAAATATTTCCATTCTGTTCCAATTTTCAACACAAATAAGGAAGTAATATGGCTGATTTCCGTTCTGGTGACTCAATATTAAGTTGGCTGAGGAAACTGATGTTTGCAGAAATAGTTCTGGGAAAATGCAAAGCAGGGAAACACATTGATGCCCAGGTGGTATTTTTTTTTTTTAAACTCCAATTATATTGGGATATTAGTGCTTCATTCTCTATAATCAAATGTGTTCTAGGCTGCATTTACAGCTCATCCACCCTTCTCTGCCTGCACTGTCACACTTGGAAAACGGACCAGTTCCTACAGCAGGCACACAAATTGACAAAGCAGCATTCTGAATCGGCAAAGGGGAGAAAAAGCAAATGAAGAGCAGGTTGTTAGCACTACCCTACCCTTTGCAAAGAATAAACACAAAGTTGTTCTGCCTAGACTCAAGCATTATTATAGGGATCTGTAACTAAAAAAGGTTAGTGACATTCAAACAGAAATCACTATCCTGAGGGCCATTTACTCAAAAGTTTCTAATTAAAATAGCCTTTATATTACTACCTTGGAGCTATCACATACCCCATAACTAGCATTTGGTCAGTCTGAGCTCAAACTTCAACATATCTTCTGGCACCTGGAGAAACATCGTCTGTATTTATCAGAGCTTTGCTTTAAACCCAGGATTATTTCAGTTATACCCATAACTTATATCCTTTTTGCCATAGGTATATTTGCTGAATAGCTACTGGATGCAAATGACAAAAACATCAATGAAACAGGCTTAGATTTATGATCTTCCCAGGCCATTTTTCCCCCTCTATAGTCTGAAACATCTCTATTTGAAACTCAGTCTAGTTAAAACAGAACTCCTCTTACCCTCAGATCTACTTGTTCAGCTTATGAACAGCTTAGATAATAGCCAGACAATTCTTCCAGTTTTGCAGTATCAAAATTGTAAGACAATCATGGCTCAGTGGTTAGGAGAATGGGCTCTAGAGTTAAGGTGCCTGATCCTACCCCTGGGTGAAGCCATAGGCTTGCAAGGCCTTAGTTTTCACATTTATTAAATAAAATAATATTAACAGTAACTGCATCATAGGGTAGTTTTGAGGATAAGATGAACTAATGTGGGTAAATTATAAATATATGCTATTGTTATTATTCCACCTCCTACACATTTTTCAATTAAGTCCTGTTGTCTCTGTCCTAACTCATATCCTTTTATCTCACCTGGGTATACCACACTATCCCCTTAATTTCAGAATGGATCTCCTTAACTCCTTTTACCTCTATGATGTATCCAAACACTGTGACACTCAGAATTGGTCCTAAACACAAATCTGAGCAATTCAGGGTAATTTTACAATCTACTGGTGATTTCTCACTGCCCATGAGATAAGCTTAAAATTCCAATTTGGCATTGTAATTCTCCAAGAATAGATTCAGGCAGCAGAACAGAAAGTCATGAGAAGCCCAGAGGTGCCTCTATGTACGATAATTGCTTGCAGGAGGAATGAATGGATTTAAACATTAAGTCTGGTCTTTAGTTTTACCTCTATCACAAATTAGCTATGATGTGCTCCAGTGGTTTTAGTTTCCTCACCTAGAGGCTGATTATCATTATCATTCGTTTCTTTGCTTAAATCCTATAATCTACCCAGCTTTCCTGCCATGGCTGAAAGCCTAAACTACGCTTGTTTTACTTTATTCTCTCTAAATAACTTTTCACCTTACTAGTTGTTCCTTTTGCTTAAAAATCTTTCTGCCCCTTCCCGTCAATATCTTTCTGGGGGAAACTGTACCCTCTCTATAATATTCAACTCTAATTTCATCTTATTCAGGAAACCCTCTCATGCCCACCCTCTTGTCAGATGAGTTTTTTTTTTTTTTGCTCTGTCAGTCCCCTAGCACATTAAGAGTACGCCATTATAAGACTTATCAGTTTTCCTCTTAGCAGTTAGTTATCCGTTCAAAAGACTGTAAGCTTATGAATGATAGAGTCTAAAAACCTTCTGTCCTTAGCACAGGGCCACTGCCTGTGGCAAGTGCTCAAAATTTTGAGTTCAGACACTCATCGACTTGGTAGTGTGAAAGGTGTCTGCTACAAACTTATTAACTTTCCAGAGCTTCAGGCTCTGGAAACTATTGATGGAGAGAGGTGAAGATAAGAAAGACACCTATCTTGAGTTTTAGTAGGCAGAACACTCTAGAGAATCATTTGACTGGTTTTCTCACTCTGTAATTTTCAGACCATTTATATCAAATTAATTTGTGGTGCTTGTTAAAGATGCAGATTTCTTGACCCCACAGACTTATTGAATTGGGATCTCTAGGGGATGCCTGGGCATCTGCATTTTTAATGTGCATATAGGTTTATTGATTTACAAATCAAACTCATATTTCTTTTACTGGCATGACAATCACCGTAATTCAGTGTAATTCTCAAAAGTGTGGTGCAGGAACTCCTGGGTGTCCCTGACACTGTTTCAAAACAATTTACATAATATTAGGACATATCCCTTTTTCACTCACATTCTCACACAATATGGCACAATTTTCTAAAAGTTACATGATGATTGATATTGTAAGAGAATGAAGGTAGAAGTTACGAAAATCTAGCTGTCTTTTATTCAGCCAGACATTAAAGAGATTTGTAACAATGTAAAACAATGCCATTCTCAATAATTTTTCATTTTGGAAAATATCCTTTACAGAAATGCTATCTATGTTAACATATAATGAGTTTATTTTAAAATGAATAACCTTTGTTGAAAGTTGTTTTCTAAAATAGTAAATATTGATAGCTATTATAAACAAAAACCCTTTGAAGTTCTCAATACATTTTAAAAGTATAAAGAAATTCTAAGATCAAAAAGTTTGAGAACTGCTGCTATAATTATCAGCAGCATTTAAAAAATAAGTGGCTTCCCAAGATTCCATACTTTAGCCCCAAATTCTATGCATTTTCCATTACAACAGAAAATCAGAGGAAATGATCCATTTTATATTTAAGCAGGGGTTTTTTTGTTGTTGTTTTTTGGAATTTTAACAAGCTTCCAGGTGATATTGATGAACCTAAATTTAGAGAACCACTGTCAAAAGCAAAGGAAAATATCTGAAGAGTTTTAGAAGTGACAATTACTCTTATCTGGGAATTAAGATGATAATTCCGAGGGCATTAAATGGAGTTGGAAAACATGAGTTCTTAAAGGCTAAGTCCCTTCACCTCTCTGGGATTCAGTTTTTCTTATCTGTACAATAAGATTGATTTTAATATTTTACTAGCTCTGTCAGTCTGGATTTCATGCATTTTCACTGCTCGAGGGCAACAGAAGAGTTGCATCTTTCTGATGAGGTCCCAGGAGTAATCTTAGAGTCATAAATCAGATCATGTCATTCATCTGCTTAGAAACCTTCAATGGTTTTCCACTGGATTCCAAACAAAAATCAAACTCTTTATCCTTGCTCATAAGCCTTACAAGATTTGGGCTCAAGTCCCTGGCCTCATCTCTCTCCATTCTCACCTTGCTCCTTTTGCTCTAGCCAGTGGCCTTTGTCTTTTCCTTGACTTTGCTAAGTTTGTTCCCACTATATGGCCTTTGCACGCGCTATTCTCTCTGCCTGGAATGCTCTATTCCAGATTTTCATACGGCTTATTACTCTCCCACTTCGTTCCATCACATTATCCAGTCTAAATTTCTTTACAGCACTTACTACCACCTTAGATAATCCCGTTTGTTGACTTGTTTATAATCTGCTTTTCGCACTGCTTGAGAGCAGGGCCCTTCCGTTCGTTGACTGATGTGTCCCTGGAGCCCAGGGCAGTGCCTGGCAGGTATCTGGCTCTCAGTAAGTGTTCGATGACCGAACTCCCACACCCAGGCCAGACTTTCAAAAGAATGGCAAACATTTTCGCCTCCTGCACTCCCGACCCCAAGCCACAGGCTACGACTCACGCCTCGGCGCTCCTAGTAGTCCCCTCGCAGCGACCCCAACCAAGCCGTCACCTACCCGACCGCCGTCTAGCTCCTTCCGGCCTCAGCGGCGGCTTAACTCGGAAGTTTTCTCGGACACACCGGCACGCCTCTGCGCTGAAGGAGCACTTCCGGGGCAGTAGGAACGCCGAGTCGGCTGCCGTGGCTGTGCTGAGGGTGGCGGCCGGATAGGTGCGGAGCTTCCTGAACGAGGCAGGAGGGGTGCGAGGTTCAGGGGCAGGGCCCGGGCAGCCGAAGTCGTTAGGGAGGCGGTGACCTGACGGTGGGCGGCGGACATCTCGCGGCAGGGTCGAGGGCTGTGAAAGCGGTTTAGTGATTGAAGCGCTACGTTTGTGTGAGGAATTCTTGTCGTTGTCAGCGCCTGAGAACTTAGTTGGGAGCGGACGTTTACGTCGAATCTCTCGTTTGGGACCCCATTCTTGAATGTGGGAAGAAGTGAGAGCGCATGTTTGCTCATCTAGAGACAGCCGTATTAATAACGATAGGATACAAACCATCACCCCACCAAGTGATAGCAGCTGTTAACCTGTGGGCGGTTACGTGCCGGTCACTGTTCCAAGCCCCTCACATATCGCGTCACTGAATCTTTATAGGGACCCAGAACTCCATTTGACAGATGAGGAAACGGAGAGGCAGACAGGTGACCTGACTTCCCCACAATCGCTGCAGGACAGGAAGAAAGTAAACTCCAGAGCCCGTGCTCTTAGCTACTAAGCTGTACTGCTCTTCATTTTGGTAAATGGGGCGGGTGGAGTGTATATATACGTAATATATATGTGTGTGTGTAAGCGTATGCGTTTTTATTTCTTAAAAATATGGCTCAGCCGTATTTATTTACAGTTATTGGAATCTTTCTCCTCCAACTGAGAAAATAACTGGAGGAGAAACTACAATTATTTCTACACGCTTACTACACAATGCCTGGAAGACTTACAAAAACACTAAATAGTGCAGTTCCACGTACTTGGTGTTTATTCCTTTTTTTTTTTTAACCTTTCTCCTAGATTATGAATGAGTTGAGGAAAGAGATGGTACAGTCATTCTAATAACGATAGTAATGATAATATAAACAACCATCACCATAAAAAATTCTCTTCTGGCTTAGCTCAAATATCTGGCACAAATGAAAGAATAGAGATAACCAGTGTTTAATATTTTAGTAAAGGGACTGTTTTGGCAGGGCATGGTGGCTCACGCCTGTAATTTTAGCACTTTGGGAGGCTGAGGCAGGGGAAGATTGCTTGAGGCCAGGCCTAGGGTTCAAGACCAACCTGGCCAACATAGCGAGACCCTGTCTTTAAAAATATATTTTGGAGTATGTCCTTCCAGTCTTTCATGGAATTATATGAATTTATGTAATATGTATATTATATATTCTACATATAGTATACTGTATATATTTATGATGATGATAATGATGCGTTGCAACCTGGAGAGAGCATAAGGAAAAGATAGGAAACATTTATTCATATACACAAAACATTAATTGAACTTTGTGCAAAAACTGTCTCGTCTTTCCTATTAGATAGGCCCTTGGAGTGAATGGCTTACATTAGTTCTCTATCTCCACAGGTACTGTGGTACTACTTGGTACGTAGTAGGTACTCAAAAAATGTTTGCGAGTGAATGAATGGCTACTTCTAAGTTGGTTTGTATGTCAGTGAGTAGTTGTATCTGGATTTTTTCTCTATGTGTTTTGGAAATGTGTAATGTGTTTATATTATATGCCCATATATTCTGAACTCCATAGTGTTGTCTTAATCTACCTTTCTAGCTTCATGCCTTCCCATTGTTCTTCTCTCTGCCATGGTAACTACTCCCTACTGTAACTGTCCATGTTCCATACTGTCAGACCTCAGGCCTTTGGCTGTACCCTCATGTTATTTCCATATCCTTGAATCCTGTCATTGGCATCATCATCTGTCAAAATCATAAGCTTCTTTTAAGGCAGGTGTTGCCAACTCAGATGCCTACAGAGGTTAATCAGGTAGCATAATTTGAGTGAAGTGGATTTGCGTGGGGGATTGTAGGGAGCTGGAGAGCAACTGCCCTAGCTAAAAGGGCCCAGCGGCTATTTAGCACAAGCTAGTTATTACAGAGTTGAATGTGGGCCCGGTGTTGCTAGATCTTTTAATTTTACAAGTTAGAAGTTGGAAGCCTATATTTTTATATGAAGTCTGATTTTTAAATGTTGGCATCTAGTTTTTGCAAAGGTTAAATACTGTGCAGGCCAAATAAAAACATCTGTAGGCTGGATTTGGCACTTAAATTCCCAGTTTGTGACCACTACTCTAGGCTTATTTCAGGTACTTTGTTCATGAATTACGTTGTCTGATTCTAATGGAGTTCTGTTTTTTTTCAGCATTTTGTGTGTTGGATGGTCTGGCAGGGATGTTTCAGCATTTTGTGTGTTGGACTGAATGCAGCACCTGTTATAGTGCTGCATCCAGTCTGCCTTAGTTTTAATATGCCTTTCTTTTCTAATACATTAGAAACATTTTGATAGCATGGGTTGGGTCTAATTCTGCACTTAGTACATATCAGTACATACCTACAGCGTGTGTGTACATATGTGTGAGATGTATTGATTTCTACTCTGATAATCCTTGGTTATCCTGGAAACTAGTGTCTGTTCTTTGTAGAGACACCAATAGTATCTTGGCTTTAATTGCCAAAGAGCTCTACATCTGGAAGGAATTGAATTGAGTAACACTGGTATTCAAAAGTTGATCTGACATAAAGCCAATCTGATGGCTTAAATTTCATGATGTCCTGGAAAAATTGAGGTAGGAATGATTAATAACTAGTAAGATTTTTAAGGACAATAAGTAAAAGGAAAAATTGATAAATTATACCTCATTAAAATTAAAGACTTGCTCTGAAAGGCCCAATGAAGACAATTAAAAGATAAGCTACATACTGGAAAAAAATATTTGCAAACCACATATTATACAGAATATATGAAGAGCTCTCAAAACTCAACAGTAAAAAAAAAATCTCATTAGAAAATGGGCAAAAGATACAAAGATATTTCACTGACAAGGATATACAGATGGCATATAGGCACATGAAAAGATGTTCAACCTTATTAGGTCTTAGAGAAGTACAACTTAAATCCACAATGAGATATCACCACACAACTGTCAGAATGGCTCAAATAAAAAATAGGGACAATGTCAAATGCTGGCAAGAATGCAGAAAAACTTATCAGTCATACATTGCTGGTGGAAATGTAAAATGGTGTAGCTAGTCTGGAAAAGAGTATGGCAGTTTCTCATAAAACTAAACATGAACTTAACCATATGACCCAGCAGTTGCACTCTTGGTCATTTACCCCAGAGAAATGATAGCTTATGTTCCCCCAAAAACCTATACATGAACTTTCATAGCTGTTTTATTTATAATAGTCCCAAACTGGAAACAATACAGATATCCTTCGATGGATAAATGGGTAAATTGTGATACATCTATACTATGGAATACTACTCAGAAATAAAAAGGAAGGAATACTAATACAACTTAAATGGATCTTGAGGGGCTTATGCTGAGTGAAAAAAGTCAATGTCAATAGGTAATATGCTGTATGATTTCATTTATATAACATCTTGAAATGACAGAATTACAGAGATGGAGGACACCTGTCCATCAGAGAGATCAGTAATTGCTTTGGGTTGGAAGGAGTGTCGGAAGTGGTTATGGCTAAAAAAGGATAGCACAAGGGATCCTTGTGATTGAACTGTTCTGTATCTTGATTGTGGTGATAGTCACACAAAGGTATACATGCGATAAAATTTTATAGAACTAAATACAAATGAGTGCGTTTAAAACTGATAAAGTCTGAATGAGATCAGTGGATTGCATTGATATCAGTTTCCTGGTTGTGATATTATATTTGTGTAAGTTTTACCATTGGGGGAAACTGGATGAAGGTATATGGGATCTCTGTATTATTCCTTATACTTGTATGTGAATCTATGATAATCTCAAACTAAAAAGTTTAAACAAATACTTTATACCAAAGAAGCCTATATAAATTTTTTTTGGGCTTTCATTTTACCAGCTGATGTTCTAATCATGTCAGATAAAGATGATATTGAGACTCCACTGCTAACTGAAGCAGCCCCCATCCTTGAAGATGGAAACTGTGAGCCAGCCAAGAATTCTGAGTCTGTTGACCAAGGTGCCAAACCAGAGAGTAAATCAGAACCTGTAGTTTCCACTCGGAAAAGACCAGAGACCAAACCTTCCAGTGACCTTGAGACTTCAAAAGTTCTCCCTATTCAGGTATCACAGACCACAGAAAAAGTAGGGTATCTATTAAAATATTAGGATTAAAAAATGTTGGGGCTAAAAGAAATTTGGCATAAATACCAATTTAGAATTGCTCTTATTTCTTTCTCTTTACAACCCTAAAATACAGTCTTTTCAGTTCTATAAATGCCTTTATGAATAATTGCTTTTGCTATGTGGTACTTACATGCTGATAGCATATATCTGCCAGTCAAGCAATACATTTCTTTAGCTAAATAATATGTATTTGTTCACCCATGCTTTTGGCTAATAATTAGATACCTTGTCTGTACATTCTGATTTTCCTCTAATTTTTTCATTTTTCTTTGCCTTTTGTTTTTCTGCCTACTGGGAAATTAGGATAATGTTTCCAAAGATGTACCCCAGACCAGATGGGGTTATTGGGGGAGCTGGGGCAAGTCCATACTCTCCTCAGCCTCGGCTACAGTAGCTACAGTAGGTAAGATCATCAGTCATTTAGTTATTTTTGTGTGTGTATTTATTTTATACAGATCTGCATTGCATATGACTTGGTTAAAATTCTTCTTCCTTCCATGTTTACTCAAAGGCTTTATAATTTGAGGATGCATTAGTAATGATGGGCTGATATATACTGCCACTAGAGTTTGTAGCATTTCCTCATTAGAATATTGAAGTCTAGGAATTATTACTGTGAACTTATTCTTTGGTGATGATGAATCAATTTTTTTAAGGAAATAGTGCCAAGATTAGTTATGTATTGTCAAAATAACATGTCTTGTGGTCCTAAATGATTTTAAAAATCTTCAAGTTTGATTTTTGTTTCTTCAGTTTTGGTGACAAATAGCAAAAAAAAAAGTTATTTTTCTCATTAGGACAAGGCATTTCAAATGTCATCGAGAAGGCAGAGACTTCCCTTGGAATCCCTGGTCCCAGTGAAATTTCAACTGAAGTCAAGTATGTAGCAGGTCAGTATATGGAAACATAAAGACCTAGAATTATGAATTGAAATGGAACAGTTGAACTAATTTTTCAGTAGGTATTTATTGGACATCTGATACTCAGGGCATCGTGGGACTGTAGTGAGAAAGAGTATTTAGAATCTTTAGTTCCCAATTAGACATCTATGTCCTTTAACTGCTTATGTGTCCCTTTACTTCACTTTCCACATCTGAAATAGAATGATATTTTATATCTCAAGTGACTGTTATAAACATTTAACAAATAAGGCCATGAATATACAATATAAAAATTGCTTAGCATTTTGCTTGGCATAATTGAATAAGAGACTAATAAGAGTTAGCTGAATCTGAGTCTGTTGTGACATGATAAAAATATTTTAATGTATTGTTTTGGGGGTGTATTCCTTTTGTGTTCAGATTTTTATGAAGACTACGTTTAATTCTAGAGGCTAGCCTTGATCAGACAGAAACCTACTCTCAAACTATGAAGGCTAGAATTATAACCAGAAATCGAGAGGGCCTGGGACCAGAAAATAGGAATCTTTTCAAGGCCTGGTTTGCATTCTTCATCTCTCATGGGCTTTATTGTCTCTCACTCTTGTTTCTTTTTGCTGATCTGTCTCAGTTTTTTTCTTGAAGCAGACTGACTTTCGCTGCTTATTTTCCTCAGCTCCAGCTTTATATTGAATCCTGGCATCAGTTATTTCCACTTCTGAATTCCTAGGTAAAAGAATCAGTCTAAACTTGGGTCATATGTCCATGGATCACTTATGGCCTGGAGACAAGTCACATGTATAAACATGGCTGCAAAGGACTATGGATGTGAACTGGAGGCACTGTTCTTAGTGATGCCTGCATCAGTTAAACTATTTTAGCTGCAAGTAACAGCATGTGTGAATGAAAGTCAATATATTTTTCTTACTTAAGGACTCTAGAAGTAGGCTGTTCCAGAGTTAGTTTAGTGGCTCAATGATGTCAAGGTTCTGGGCTGGCTTCTCTACAGTATTCTTTGTTGATTTCTTTATAGTTTCTTTATGGTTGTCCGATAATACTGCAACTCCAAGTATAGTGTTCTAAAATAACCATGCTCAAAGTCAGGAATGAAGTAGATGGGAAGTGTCATTTTTCCTCATGCATCCCTCTTTCTTTAAAGAGGGGAAATGTTTTCCAGGAGTCCCAAGCATGTTTCTTCTCCAATGCCATTGCCTAGAACAGGATCTCATGTTCTTGATGTAGCAGCAAGAGATGCTGAGAGAGTGCGTTTTGGGCATTATCAGAAACCTCAAGATCAGGATATGGGTTTAGCAGCCAAGGAAAAAGGGGGTTAGAAGTGGCTTTGAATATGTTAACAGCAGCATCTTCATGACACTGAAAGATATCTACCACAGAGGGCCATGTTTTAAGAAGGGCTTTGAAAAACTGGGTGAATCCAGAAAAGAGTCAGCTAGATAGTGTGAATCAAAAAGTGTCTGAGACAGGTCTCAATCAAGTTAGAGGTTTATTTTGCTAAGTTTGAGGATGCACCTGGGAAAAAGGAACACAAACCACAGAAACAATCTACCTTCCATACTTTTTTTGAAGAGGGTCTGGTGACTTCAATATTTAAAGGAAGAAGAGTGGGCTCTAGGGGAAAGAGGAAGTAAAGAAAGGGGAGGGTAGATAAGAGGGGCAAGTGGTTGCCTTCTTTTGAATCTTTGATCAGTGTTCACTGAATCCACATTTTACGTGTAAAAGGAAAGAGCAGAGGTAGAGTCAATTATGTATTTGTCTTATGCTCAGTAAATTGGCAGTTTACATGAAATAAAGTAAACGTAGAGTAGCTACCTGTGGAAACATCTGGCCTTCTGTCTGGCCTTTCTGCTTAGGAACAAAAGGAAAGACAGTTTTTGTGTAACTTAGCTTTCAGCTTAACTGTTCCCTTTGGCATAGTAAATTTGGGGTCCTGAGTTTTATTTTCTTTCACAATAGTGAAATGTCTAGAATTAAAGTCTTACAAGAGAAAGTCTTATAAGAGATTGAATCTGGTAATCTGGAGAAGGGAGATTGGGAGAATATCCTGGTCTTTTTCTGAAGACTAGCATGGAGAAGAGGATTAGGTTTATTATTCATGGTTTATGGGGAGAACTAGTAACTAGTACCACTCAGTGGAAGTTATATAGAGTTAAGTTTTAGTTTAATAAAGAGTTTAACAGGGAGAACTTTCCAAAATTACAATGGACTGCCTTTTGATACTAAACCCCTTCTATCTTCTAAAGTTCCTGAGGAAGGAGGTTAATTCCTCTGCCAAGGATGTGTCTTGTAGTCAACATGTATATTTTCAGAATTTTGAGATAAGCATAGGCCATTGATGGAAATCATTGATCATCTATTAGGGATTTTGTTTTCTTCCTTTAAAGGGGGCTATCTTCTGCTTTCCTTTTGTCGGCGGGCAGTTAAGGTATTTGCAACTTAAATTGATGCTTTAAGGCTTTTTTTTTTTTTTTTGGAGAGGGAGTCTCACTCTGTCGCCCAGGCTGAAGTACAGTGGTGCGATCTCAGCTCACTGCAGCCTCTGCCTCTTGGGTTCAAGTTCTTCTCCTGCCTCAGCCTCCCAAATAGCTGGGATTGCAAGCATGGGCCACCATGCCTGGCTAATTTTTGTACTTTTAATAGAGGTGAGGTTTTGCTGTGTTGGCCAGGCTGGTCTCAAACTCCTGACCTCAAGTGATCCTCTTGCCTCGGCCTCCCAAAGTGCTGGGATTACAGGTATAAGCTGCTGTGTCTGGCCAAGACTTTTTGTAAAGCTTGTTTAGGGTGAGTCTATAGTGGCCTTTACTCTAACTAAGTACTGTTTATCTCTGCTGCTAAGGCTTGACTCTTCCGAAGTCTCCACCTTAATTCCCAGGTGTTTAATATAAAGTCTCTGCTTTTGTGGTTGGAGGTCAAATGTCTCTCAGCCTAGCGTGAGCTCTGGGGATTGCTTAGCTTAGAGCTCCATGGTAGTTCTTTGTACAGACTTATGGAGCCTCCCAGTGCCTCAGCAGTGCAGTATTTAAGCAAAAACACCTAAAGGTGTCTTAGGGCATGCCTATGCGGATTCTTAGAACTTTTTAGCTATGTAGCTTCCTCCTCTACGGTTTTCTGACCTGCAAATTCCGATTGCTTCAGCATTCCCAGATTCCAGTCTCCGTTTCTTCCACTCAAACTGATTGCCATGCCCTACTTGGGTTTCTCCTCCCTCTGTCATGGCCTGGAAAGCTCCTCTATACAGAAAGCCAAGCCAATTGTAAGGTTTACTTTGTTGTTCTTCTTGTGTGAACCGAAGTCTTGTACTGCCTATTGTCCTATGTCTGAAGACAGTTGCTTCTTATATATTGTCCAGTTTTTCAGTTGTTGTGGCAGGAGGTCATATCTAATACCAGTTAATCCATCATGCTAGAAGTGGAAGTCCTCTCTATAATATTTGATAATACTGAAATTATTTGGTATAATGGTTGTTCTCCTATGTGAAATTTTTAAGTTAATGGATTTTTGTTTTGAAACATACCTATCTTTGTAATGTATGTCTGTTTGATTTCTACTAATCATAATTTTCTAGGATAAAATTTAAAATAGACTGGATTTTTAAAAATCAGGTTTATCAAATTATAATTTACACACAGTAAAATTTATTCTTTTTAGGTGTACAGTTTTACATGTTTTGATCAGTATATATACTTCTGTTTATACTGTGTAATCATAGTACACTGTGATTATACAGATATAGAAAACATTCTATATAGAATGATCAATACAGATATATAGAATGTTTCCTATATCTGTATTGATAATTGAGACATAAGAAAATTTTTATTACCCCAAAAAGGTTCTCTCACGTCCTTTTGTAGTCACTGTTCTCCTTACTCTCAGTTCTTAGCAATTACTGATCTGTTTTCTGACCTTACAGTTTGACCTTGTCCAGAAGATTATATAATTGGAATCATACAACATATAGGCTGTTGTATATATCAGCAGTTTGTTTACAAAACTGGATTTTATTTTCGAAATGAAAAGAAAATGAAAACTGCCTATCTTAGCTTTCATTTTAAAATAAGCAAATGGTTTAAAATGATAAAAAGGGCTAAGGCCTAGTATGTAGTAAGCAGGGTCTAGTTTTAAAAAATTCACATAGATGCTAATAAAGCCTGAGAGTTAAGGGACCTTCCCTTCATGTTTACACATCCCCTCCCTCTTGTAGGAGAGACAAATGCCAAAGAGAATGAAAACTCCTCCCCAGTGGCTGGGGCATTTGGTGTATTCTCTACCATCTCTACTGCTGTTCAGAGCACAGTAAGTAAAAAAGTGCAAGGTGGTCTGTTCCTTTCCATTATTATAATGGGTTTGCATATCTTTCTCTCTCTTTTCTTTGAACAGCCATGTGGACTGATTACTTTTAAAGGAGTCCAAGCCACTGAAGATCGGTCACTTTGGTCTTATGGGTGGAGTGAATGCTACTTGAAAACTTTCATTAAAGCAATAAGGAAGAAAGTAGGAAATAAAGGAGTAGCAATAAATAAGGGAGTAGGAGTTACAGAGAGGCAATATACGTATTATTTTATGGATTAGGAATTCTTAATTTGGTGGCCCTAAAAAATGTCTACTTTACAAAAATATTTTTCTCATAGTTGCATCTTTTAGGCAAAGGGGAAATGTGATCTTTATGACAGATATTTGCAAAACTATGTATGATTAAAAACATTTGTAAGAGGATTATCTAGGAAGCTAAATATCTTTGCTACATGAGGATAGATAGCTAGTTTTTTTTAAATTTTAACTTTTTATTGAAATATACATACAGAAGAATGTAACAAGTGTTGTTTGAATTTTCAGTGTGAAACACCCAGAGTAAGAAACAGTATTACCGTAATCAGATCTCCCCACCATCTTGTGTCCTCTCCCAGTTTTCTGTGTCTTCTGCTCTCCCCCTCTCCTGCACCAAGATAACCATAATCCTGACTTCCACCATCATAGGTTAATTTTGCCTGCATTTCAGCTTTACATAAGTGGAATCATATATAGTATCTAACTTCTTTCATGCAACATTATATTTGTATAATTTACCTATGCTGCAGTTTGTGTGGTAGATTTGATTTTCTTTGTTGTATTTCATTGTGAAGCTTTGTCACGTTTTATTTATTCATTCCACAGTTGGTGAGCATTGGGGTAGTTTTCAGTTTGTAGCTATTACAAGCAGAGCTGTTATGAACATTTTTGTGCATGTCTTCTGATGAACCTCTGTACTTATTTCTGTTAGGATGTAACCATGAGTGGAATTTCTGGGTCATGCAGCTGGAGTAGATATTGACAAACAGTTTTCTAATGTGGTTATACCTATTTACGTTCCCACAAGCAGTGTGTGATTGTTTCATTTGCTTTACATTCTTGCCAGTGCTTGGTATTGTTAGCCACTATTTTTATATAATAAATACATAATAAAAATGCATAAAAATATGTTTTCTTAATATTGTTGTAATGAGGTTGCATGTATTTTCTAGGGAAAGAGTGTTATAAGTGGGGGTTTGGATGCCTTAGAATTCATTGGAAAAAAGACAATGGATGTGATAGCAGAAGGGGATCCTGGATTTAAAAGAACCAAGGGTCTGATGAACCGAAATGCTACACTATCTCAGGTACTGATTATCCTTACCTGTTTACTTCCTGTTTCTGTTTTGATCTGTATTTTTGCCTTTGTTTACTTGGAACCTTGTTAGTGTTTTCTTTTCAAGCATTTTCAATAATGTTTATTCAGGCGTTTTTTTGGGGGGATCAGGGATGGGTGAGAGCTCTACTGCTTACAAAAATACCCAGCTCTTTTTCTCCTCCTCTTTCTGCAGGAGCCTCCCATCAGTGCAGTGCAAAATGCTAAACCCTGTCAGGGTTTTTTGTTTGTTTGTTTGTTTGTTTTAATGTTTAAATCACTTTCAGAGAAACACCTGGTTCCTTGGGTGTGATTTGCACTGTCTAGGATCAAATTATGTGGTCAGGCACGGTGGCTCACGGCTGTAATACCAGCACTTTGGGAGGCCGAGGTAGGTGAATCAGTTGAGGTCAGGAGTACAAGATCAACCTGACCAACATGATGAAACCCCGTCTCTTCTAAAAATACCAAAATTAGCTGGACGTGGTGGCGTATGCCTATAATCCCAGCTACTTGGGAGGCTGAAACACGAGAATAGCTTAAACCCGAGAGGCAGAGGTTGCAGTGAGCAGAGATCGTGCCACTGCACTCCAGCCTGGGTGACAGAGTGAAACTCCGTCTCAAATTATGTGTGATCGTTTTTCTTTCTGCAGCTCCTGAGCCCACCAGATTTGAATAGCAGTGCCAAGAATGAAAGGGCAATCCTCTGTACTCTAACCTGTCTAAGCTTTGCTTCCTTCAATTCTCAGAACTCACCCTTGAGCTCTCATTGTTTGCTACAGTGTAATGCCTCCATCTCTTTTTAGGTTTTACGAGAGGCGAAGGAGAAAGAAGAGATACGGACCTCCAATGAGGTTACCGTGGAAACAGACAAGAAAACTCATTATGGGCTACTCTTTGATGAATTTCAAGGCCTTTCACATCTAGAAGCTCTGGAGATGCTTTCCCAAGAAAGTGAAATAAAGGTAATTCCAAGCCAAAATCTCAACTGGAAAAAGTCTTCAAGTAAAAGAATGCTGCATGGTTTCCTTTCTCTTTGTACATTTGGAAGATGAAGTGTATGTTTTGTTAGAGGCTTGAGATGCCTTCGAAATACTACCACAAAATAAATTTAAAAACTAATGTTTGATTGAACTAATTGCTAAAAGCAGAATTAGTCAAGTATTATTTCTTTAAATTTAAACAAAAAAGGTTAACAAAGAGGTCTTAATAGGACATGTGTTATTTTTCCTTCGTTTTGGTCTTTTTTTTTTTTTTTTAGTTTCTTTGGCCTAGGCTGCCAAGAAACCTGTTGACTTGAGCTGCCAATTTGTGTACAGTTACCTGTTAGCTTTTAATTGATTTAAGATTATCTAATTTTTTTGTTATTTCTAAGCTGTTGCTAAACACTGATAATTTCCAGGAATTTCTGGCTGGTATTACTTTTAGAAGCACAGAGTCTCCCTACCTTTCTGTCATAACCAGCCTCTTGTGTTAAGGTTCTTAAGGAATAACTTGTGCTGGCTGATGAGCTCATAATTTTGACTTCAATATGATCTTTTTATAGTCTCTTCCCTATTTGTGAATGTTTTTCTTTTCTTTCATACTCCTACAACATTTTGTTCTTGTATCCATTCAGGTGAAATCTATCCTTAATTCTCTGAGTGGAGAAGAATTAGAGACTCTAAAAGTTGAATTAGAGCAACTCAAAGAAACATTTTCTCTAGCAGAATTTTGTGAAGAAGAGGAAGAAGAGAAAAAAGGTAATATGAAAATTTAGTATCTGAGTGGAGAGGATGCAGTGTGTTTGTATGCAGTGCATTGCCCTTGAAATAAATTATTTACTCTTATTACACTGGCTTGATTTTACTTTTTTGGTGAAAATTTTTATGCAAATTCTCTGTGTAAAATTCTCTGCAGCCTTGCACCTGACTAGGCATTGATGGGGGCAGTTGGCCTTATGCCCATGTCTCCCTGCCTCCTTCCAACCAAACCCTTTGTGGCTTCTCAAGGTCTAATCTTGCAACTCACATCTTTGCCTATTTTTGCAGTTAGAAAGCTGTTCTCATCAGATTCTTGCCTCAGTTTGACTGGTCATTCATATGAGCTTTCATATTCCTAGGTACTTTACCTCTGCCTCTCTGACTCTTGTAACCCCTGATTCTGTCTTGAATTGAAGCATGCAGGATGGCAGTTATCTAAAATGTGGGTGATAGTTTGTCTTTTTTTATTTTGAAAACTCTTATACCATATTTTAATATCTTCATTTCTCAGAAAATGTAAATGTAGATACTATGTATATTTGCAAAATTATCAGGAAATGAGATGGGTCAGGAAATGAGATGGCTGACGTAAAGTATAATTGCCAGGCAACTGAATATTAAGTTCTAAGGGTTGTTTTATTGACATTTTAGCTGGAAATATTTCTAAGATATACACTAACTGACCTTTTTTTTTTAAAAAAGTGGAATCTAATGAATACAGTTTTGCCTTTTCTTCATGAAATAATCAGTTATAAACATTAAAAGTGAATGGAAAAATTCTCTCAGGTTTCATTAAGACATAGGGCCAATCACCCATGTAGTAGGTTAAATCAGTGATGAACAAAGTGTGGTCTGTAGACCCTTGAATTCCCAGAACCCTTTCAGGGAGTCTATGAGTCAGAACTCTGCATCATAATACTAAGATGTTGTCTACTTAGGAATTTTTTAAAAATTATAATGAGTTTTTTTTCTGCTTTGGCATTTGTGCTGTTGGTGAATAACAATGATGCATAAAATTGCTGGTGCCATAACATGGATCAAGATGTTAGCAGACTCTACTAGTGTCATTGCATTTTCATTGCCATGCATTGGCAGTTAAAAAAAAAAGTGCCAGTTTTATTTAATCTTGTCCTTGATGAAGCAGTAAAAATTATTAATTTTATTAAATCTTTACCTTTAAGTATGCATCTTACAAATATTCTGTGTGATGCCTACTGAAGTATGATGGTTGTCTCAGGAAAAGCACTTACATTATTTGAGTTGTGAGCTGAACTATGTGCTTTTTTCGTGGAATACCATTTTTACTTGAAAGGATAACAGTCACAGAGACTATTCAGAATAGGATAATTGGTACACATTTTCCTGAAAATGAATGAAGTGAACCTTTTCTTCAAGGAGAGCAACTAATTTATTTGTGAGTCATGATAAAAATTTAAGTGAAGGTTGAAACTTTGTAAAACATATTTGCTGCTGTGGTGAGCTTGACAGCTTCCCAGTGCTTATAGACTCTTCTTATGAAATTGGTGGTGATCATATTTGTTAAAATATCACTTTTTGATATTTTAACAAGGAAATGTGTCAGCATTTGGAAAGTCTGCATAACTCAGAGAACCAATATTTTCTAAATGTCAAATCACCATGGGTAAAAGACCTAATGGATTTTAATTTAGTGTACAAAATTTTATGATATGGTTTCAGGTATACTGCAATATGGTTCATTGCAACTAATTTTTAAGAAACGACCACTTGTTGAGTTTTAATGTGGTATTAAAGAATATTAATAATGATCTGAAAAGGCTATTAAAATACTTCTTCCCTTTCCAACTATGTATCTTTGTAAAGTTGGATTTTCTTCATATACTTAAAGCAACATAACAGACTGAATATAAAAGTAGATAAGAGAATTTAGCTGTCATCTGTTAAACTAGATATTAAAGAGATTCAACCCTGATGGCACTGTTCTCACTAAACTTTTTCTTTTTTGAAAAATATAGTTTTTTAAAATAAAAAGTAGGTTTATGTTAATAAGTGGTATGGGTTTACTGTTTTGAATGAATTAATAAACACTTTGTTTTAGCTTTATATAAATATTTATAACTTTTTATATGTATATGTATAAAACTTACACTAAAAAAGCTCTTTAATGTTCTCAGAAAGTTTTACAAGAACAAGGTCCTGAGACCAACAAGTTTGAGAATTACCAGATTAAATGACCTAAACTGCAATGCTTTTTAGAAATGTCTCTGATTGCTTTTTAGAATTGTACATCTTTATTTCTTTCTGTTCATTTATCTGTTCATCTTTTACTTCACTGTTAGCTGGCTTCTGATATCCCCTGAATCTTATTTGGTTTTCTATTTCTAATCTGTGGGTGAGAAACCAGGTAACTAATTTTATTTGAGATGTCTATTAAAAGCAAAGAGCTCTGAGTGAGGGTCTTAGAGTCTTTCTTGTGACAGGAAACATAAAGTTAACTGTGTGGATTCTCTACAAACAGGGACTTTTTTTTCTTTTTCTTTTTAAATCAGTTAAGGAGAAGAAATATACATGTATATCATTTATAATTACATAGTTATCTTTACCAGTGCTTTTTGTCTTCTGTTTTTTTCAATTTTTTTTATTTCCATAGGTTATCAGGGAACAGGTGGTGTTTGATTACATAAGTTCTTTACTGGTGATTTGTGAGAATTTGGTGCACCTATCACCTGAGCAGTATACACTGCACCCAATTTGTGCACCTGAGCAGTATACACCACACTCCCTTCCCATCCTTTCCCCCTGAGTCCCCGAAGCCCATTGTGTCATTCTTAAGCCTTTGCATCCTCATAGCTTAGCTCCTACTTGTGAATGAGAGCATATGATGTTTGGTTTTCCATTCCTGAGTTACTTTACTTAGAACAATAGCATCCAGTCTCATCCAGGTCGCTGCGAATGCATTAATTCATTCGTTTTTATGGCTGAGTAGTATTCCATCATGTATATATATACCACAGTTTCTTTATCTACTCGTTGATTGATGGGCATTTGAGTTGGTTCCACATTTTTGCACTTTTGAATTGTGCTGCTTAAACATGCGTGTGCAAGTATCTTTTTCTTTTTTAAATTATTTTATTAGTATACTTTAAGTTTTAGGGTACATGTGCACAACGTGCAGGCCTGTTACGTATGTATACATGTGCCGTGTTGGTTTGCTGCACCCATCAACTCATCATTTATGTTAGGCACTTCTCCCAATGCTATCCCTCCCCCATCCCCTGACCCCACGACAGGCCCAGGTGTGTGATGTTCCCCGCCCTGTGTCCAAGTGTTCTCATTGTTCAGTTCCCACCTATGGGTGAGAACAAGTGGTGTTTGGTTTTCTGTCCTTGTGATAGTTTGCTCAGAATGATGGTTTCCAGCTTCATCCATGTCGCTACAAAGGACATGAACTCATCCTTTTTTATGGCTGCATAGTATTGCATGGTGTATATGTGCCACATTTTCTTAATCCAGTCTATCATTGATGGACATTTGGGTTGGTTCCAAGTCTTTGCTATTGTGAATAGTGCTACAATAAACATATGTGTGCATGTGTCCTCATAGTAGCATGATTTATAATCCTTTGGGTATATATCCAGTAATGGGATCACTGGGTCAAATGGTATTTCTAGTTCTAGATCCTTGAGGAATCACCACACTGTCTTCCACAATGGTTGAACTAGTTTACACTCCCACCAACATTGTAAAAGCATTCCTATTTCTTCACATCCTCTCCAGCACCTGTTGTGTCCTGACTTTTTAATGATCGCCATTCTAACTGGTGTAAGATGGTATCTCATTGTGGTTTTGATTTGCATTTCTCTGATGACCAGTGATGATGAGCATTTTTTCACGTGTCTATTGGCTGCATACATGTCTTCTTTTGAGACATATCTGTTGATATCCTTTGCCCACTTTTTGATGGGGTTGTTTGATTTTTTCTTGTAAATTTGTTTAAGTTCTTTGTAAATTCTGGATATCAGCCCTTTGTCAGATGGGTAGATTGCAAACATCTTCTCCCATTCTGTAGGTTGCCTGTTCACGCTGATGGTAGTTTCTTTTGCTGTGCAGAAGCTCTTTAGTTTAATTAGATCCCATTTATCTGTTTTGGCTTTTGTTGCCATTGCTTTTGGTGTTTTAGTCATGAAGTCCTTGCCCATGCCTATGTCCTGAATGGTATCGCCTAGGTTTTCTTCTAGGGTTTTTATGGGTTTAGGTCTAAGTCTAATCCATCTTGAATTGATTTTTGTATAAGGTGTAAGGAAGGGATCCAGTTTCAGCTTTCTCCATATGGCTAGCCAGTTTTCCCAGCACCATTTATTAAATAGGGAATCCTTTCCCCATTGCTTGTTTTGGTCAGGTTTGTCAAAGATCAGATGGTTGTAGATGTGTGATGTTATTTCTGAGGCCTCTGTTCTGTTCCATTGGTCTATATTTCCCGTTTGGTACCAGTACCATGCTGTTTTGGTTACTGTGGCCTTGTAGTATAGTTTGAAGTCTATATGATGCCTCCAGCTTTGTTCTTTTGGCTTAGGATTGTCTTGGCAATGCGGGCTCTTTTTTGGTTCCATATGAACTTTACAGTAGTTTTTTCCAATTCTGTGAAGAAAGTCATTGGTAGCTTGATGGGGATGGCATTGAATCTATAAATTACCTTGGGCAGTATGGCCATTTTCACGATATTGATTCTTCCTCTCTATGAGCATGGAATGTTCTTCCATTTGTTTGTGTCCTCTTTTATTTCGTTGAGCAGTGGTTTGTGGTTCTCCTTGAAGAGGTCCTTCTCATCCCTTGTAAGTTGGATTCTTACGTATTTTATTCTCTTTGAAGCAATTGTGAATGGGAGTTCACTCATGATTTGGCTCTCTGTTTGTCTGTTATTGGTATATAAGAATGCTTGTGATTTTTCAACATCGATTTTGTGTCCTGAGACTTTGCTGAGGTTGCTTATCAGCTTAAGGAGATTTTGGGCTGAGACAATGGGGTTTTCTAAATATACAATCATGTCATCTGCAAACAGGGACAATTTGACTTCCTCTTTTCCTAGTCGAATACCCTTTATTTCTTTCTCTTGCCTGAGTGCCCTGGCCAGAACTTCCAACACTATGTTGAATAGGAGCGGTGAGAGAGGGCATCCCTGTCTTGTGCCAGTTTTCAAAGGGAATGCTTCCAGTTTTTGCCCATTCAGTATGATACTGGCTGTGGGTTTGTCATAGATAGCTCTTATTATTTTGAGATACGTTCCATCAATACCTAGTTTATTGAGAGTTTTTAGTATGAAGGGCTGTTGAATTTTGTCAAAGGCCTTTTCTGCATCTGTTGAGATAATCATGTGGTTTTTGTCGTTGGTTCTGTTTACGTGATGGATTACGTTTATTGATTTGCATATGTTGAACCAGCTTTGCATCCCAGGGATAAAGCCAACTTGATCTTGGTGGATAAGCTTTTTGGTGTGCTGCTGGATTCGGTTTGCCAGTATTTTATTGAGGATTTTTGCATTGATGTTCATCAGGGATATTGGTCTAAAATTCTCTTTTTTTGTCGTGTCTCTGCCAGGCTTTGGTATCAGGATGATGCTGACCTCATAAAATGAGTTAGGGAGGATTCCTTCTTTTTTTATTGATTGGAGTAGTTTTAGAAGGAATGGTAACAGCTCCTCTTTGTCCCTTTGCTAGAATTCGGCTGTGAATCCATCTGATCCTGGACTTTTTTTGGTTGGTAAGCTATTAATTATTGCTTTAATTTCAGAGGCTGTTATTGCTCTGTTCAGAGATTCAACTTCTTTCTGGTTTAGTCTTGGGAGGGCGTGTGTGTCCAGGAATGTCTCCATTTCTTCTTGATTTTCTAGTTTATTTGTGTAGAGGTGTTGATAGTATTCTCTGATGGTAGTTTGTATTTCTGTGGGATTGGTGGTGATATACTCTTCATCATTTTTTTATTGCATCTATTTGATTCTTCTCTCTTCTTTGTTAGTCTCGCTAATGGTGTATCAATTTTGTTGATCTTTGCAAAAAATCAGCTCCTGGATTCATTGATTTTTTGAAGGGTTTTTTTGTGTCTCTATCTCCTTCAGTTCTGCTCTGATCTTAGTTATTTCTTGCCTTCTGCTAGCTTTTGAATTTGTTCGCTCTTGCTTCTCTAGTTCTTTTAATTGTGATGTTAGGGTGTCGATTTTAGATCTTTCCTGCTTTCTCTTGTGGGCATTTAGTGCTATAAATGCAGTGTTCTACACACTGCTCTAAATGTGTCCCATAGATTCTGGTACATTGTGTCTTTGTTCTCATTGGTTTCAAAGAACATGTTTATTTCTGCCTTCATTTTGTTAGGTACCCAGTGGTCATTCAGGAGCAGGTTGTTCAGTTTCCATGTAGTTGTGCAGTTTTTAGTGAGTTTCTTAATCCTGAGTTCTAATTTGATTGCACTGTGGTCTGAGAAACAGTTTGTTGTGATTTCTGTTCTTTTACATTTGCTGAGGAGTGCTTCCAACTATGTGGTCAATTTTGGAATAAGTGCAGTGTGGTGCTGAGAAGATCCAGTTTCATTCTCCTACATGTGGCTAGCAATTATCCCAGCACCATTTGTTTAATAGGGTGTCCTTTCCCTACTTCATGTTTTTGTTTGCTTTGTGAAAGATCAGTTGGCCTTAAGTATTTGGGTTTGTTTCTGGGTTCTCTATTCTGTTCTATTGGACTACGTGCCTGTTTTTATACTAATACCATGCTGTTTTGGTGACTATGGTCTTATAGTATAGTTTGAAATCAGGTAATGTGATGCTTCCAGATTTATTCTTTTTGCTTAGTCTTGCTTTGGCTGTGTGGGCTCTTTTTTGGTTCCATACAAATTTTAGGATTGTTTTTTCTAGTTCAATGAATAATGGCGGTGGTATTTTGATGGGGATAGTGTTGAATTTGTAGATTGCTTTGGGTGGTGTGGTCATTTTCAAAATGTTGATTCTACCATCCATGAGCATGGGATGTGTTTTCATTTGTTTGTATCGTCTATGATTTCTTTCAGCAGTGTTTTGTAGTTTTCCTTGTTGGGGTCTTTCACCTTCTTGGTTGGGTATATTCCTAAATATTTTTTTTGCAGCTATTGTAAAAGAGGTTGAGTTCTTGATTTGATTCTCTGCTTGGTCACTGTTGGTGTATTGAAGAGCTACTGATTTGTGTACATTAATTTTGTATCCAGAAACATTGCTGAATTCTTTTATCAGTTCTAGGACTTCAGAGTTTTCTAGGTAAACAATCATCAGCAAACAGTGACAGTTAGTTTGACTTCCTCTTTTTTGATTTGGATGCCCTTTATTTCTTTCTCTGATTGCTCTGGCTAGGACTTCCAGTACTGTGTTGAAGAGGAGTGGTGAGAGTGGGCATCCTTGTCTTGTTCCAGTTCTCAGAGGGAATGCTTTCAACTTCTCTCCATTCGGTATTATGTTGACTGTGGGTTTGTCATAGATGGCTTTTATTACATTGAGGTATATGTCCCTTGTATGCTGATTTTGTTGAGAGTTTTAATCATAAAGGATGCTGCATTTTGTTGAATGCTTTTTCTGCATTGATTGAGATGATTGTATGATTTTTGTTTTTAATTCTGCTTATGTGGTATATCACATTTATTGCCTTTCATATGTTAAACCATCCCTGCATCCCTAGTATGAAACCCACTTGATCATGGTGGATTATCTTTTTGATATGTTGTTGGATTTGGTTAGCTAGTACTTTGTTAAGGATTTTAGCATCTATACTCATCAGGGATATTGGTTTGTAGTTTTCTTTTTTGGTTATGTTCTTTCCTGGTTTTGGAATTAGGATGATACTGGCTTCATAGAATGATTTAGTGAGGGTTCCCTCTTTATCTTGTGAAATAGTATCAATAGGATTGGTACCAATTCTTTTTTTAATGTCTGGTGGAATTCTGCTGTGAATCCGTCTGGTCCTGGACTTTTTTTTGTTGGTAATTTTTAAAATTACCATTTCAGTCTTGCTGCTTGTTATTGGTTTGTTCAGGGTATCTAATTCTTCCTGATTTAAGCTAGGAGGGTTGTATCTTTCCAGAAATTTATCCGTCTCCTCTAGGTTTTCTAGTTTATGCGCATACAGGTGTTCATAGCAGCCATGAATGATCTTTTGTATTTCTGTGATGTCAGTTTTAATGTCTCTCATTTCGTTTCTAATTGAGATTATTTGGATTTTCTCTCTTCTTGGTTAATCTTGCGAATGGTCTATCAATTCTATTTATCTTTTCAAAGAATCAACTTTTTGTTTCAGTTGTCTTTTGTATTTTTGTTTGTTTCAACTTCATTTAGTTCTGTTCTGATCTTGGTTATTTCCTTTCTTCTGCTGGGTTTGGGTTTGGTTTGTTCTTGTTTCTCTGTTTCCTTGAGGTGTGACTTTAGATTGTCTGTTAGTGCTCGTTCAGACTTTTTGATGTAGGTGTTTCGGCCTATTTAACTTTCCTCCTAGCAGTATCCCAGAGGTTTTGATAGGTTGTATCGCTATTGTCATTCAGTTTGAAGAATTTAATTTCCATCTTGATTTCATTTTGACCCAGAATCATTCAGGAGCAGGTTATTTAATTTCGATGTATTTGCATGGTTTTGAAGAGTTGATTTCTAGTTTTATTCCACTGTGATCTGAGAGAGTGCATGATATAATTTCACTTTTTTTAATTTATAGAGGCCCCTTTTGTGGCCTATCATATGGTCTGTCTTGGAGAAAGTTCCATGCACTGTTGAATAGAATGTATATTCAGCAGTTGTTGGGTAGAATGTTCTGTGTATATCTGTTAAGTCAGTTTGTTCCAGGGTATAGTTTAAATCCATTGTTTCTTTGTTGTCTGTTTTGATGACCTGTCAAGTGTTGTCAGTGGGGTGTTAAAGTCCCCCACTATTATTGTGTTGCTGTCTATCTCATTTTTATTTTATTTATTTATTTTTTTTGAGATGGAGTTTCGCTCTTGTTGCCCAGGCTGGAGTGCAATGGCACGATCTCGGCTCACCGCAACCTCTGCCTCCCAGGTTCAAGGGATTCTTCTGCCTCAGCCTCCTGAGTAGCTGGGATTACAGGCATGTGCCACCACGCCTGGCTAATTTTGTATTTTTAGTAGAGACGGGGTTTCTCTATGTTTGTCAGGCTGGTCTTGAACTCCCGACCTCAGGTGATACACCTGCCTCGGCCTCCCAAAATGCTGGGATTACAGGCGTGAGCCACTGCACCCAGCCTATCTCATGTCTTAGGTCTATTGGCAATTGTTTTATAAATTTGGGACCTCCAGTGTTAGGTGCATGTATGTTTAGGATTGTGATATATTCCTGTTGGACACTGCCTTTTGCCATTATATGATGTCCCTCTTTGTCTTTTTTAATTGCTGTTGCTTTAAAGTTTGTTTTGTCTGATACAAGAATAGCTACCTCTGATTGCTTTTGGTGTCCATTTGCATGGAATGTCTTTTTCCACCCCTTTACCTTAAGCTTACGTGAGTCCTTATGTTTTAGGTTAATCTCTTGAAGGCAGCAGATGGTTGGTGAGTTCTTATCCTTCTTGCAATTCTGTGTCTTTTAAGTGGAGCGTTTAGGCCATTTACATTCAACATTACTTTTGAGATGTGAGGCACCATTCCATTCATTGTGCTGTGTTGCCTGTACACCTTGTTTTTTTTTTTTAATTGTATTTTTGTTTTATAGGTCATGAGATTTATGCTTTAAGTAAGTTCTGTTTTGATGTGTTTCCAGGATTTGTTTCAAGATTGAGAGCTCCTTTTAGCAGTTCTTGCAGTGCAGTTCTTGTACTGCTGGCTTGGTAGTGGCAAATTCTCTCAGCATTTGTTTGTTTGAAAAAGACTGTATCTTTCCTTCATTTATGAAGCTTAGTTTCACTGGATACAAAATTCTTGGCTGATAATTGTTTTGTTTGAGGAGGCTGAAGATAGGGCCCCAATCCCTTCTAGCTTGTAGGGTTTCTGCTGAGAAATCTGCTGTTAATCTGATAGGTTTTTCCTTTATAGGTTACCTGGTGCTTCTGTATCACAGCTTGAGATTCTTTCCCTTGTCTTAACTTTAGATAACCAGATTACAATGTGCCTAGGCGATGGTCTTTTTGCGATGAATTTCCCAGATGTTCTTTGAGCTTCTTGTATTTGGATGCCTAAGTCTCTAACAAGGCTGGGGAAGTTTTCCTCGATTATTCCCCCAAATGTGTTTTCCAAACTTTTACATTTCTCTTCTTCAGAAATGCTGATTATTCTTAGGTTTGGTCATTTAACATAATCCCAGACTTCTTGGATGCTTTGTTCATATTTTCTTTTTCTTTTGTCTTTGTTGGAATGGGTTAATTTGAAGGCCTTGTCTATGAGCTCTGAAGTTCTTTCTTCTGCTTGTTCAATTCTATTGCTGAGACTTTCTACAGCATTTTGCATTTCTGTAAGTGCGTCCGTTGTTTCCTTAAGTTTGGATTGTTTTTTTATTTATGCTATCTCTGTCATTGAATATTTTTCCTGTCACTTCTCATATCATTTTTTTGATTTCCTTAAATTGGGCTTTGCCTTTCTGTGGTGCCTCCTTGATTAGCTTAATTACTAACCTCTGAATTCTTTTTCAGTTGAATCAGGGATTTCTTCTTGGTTTGGATTCATTGCTGGTGAGCTAGTGTGATTTTTGGGGGTGTTAAAGAACCTTGTTTTGTCATATTACCAGAGTTGGTTTTCTGGTTCCTTCTCATTTGGGTGGGCTGTGTCAGAGGAAAGGTCTAGGGCTCAAGGGTGTTGTTCAGATTCTTTTGTCCCATGGGGTATTTCCTTGACGTAGCACCCTTCCCCCTTTTCCTAAGGATGTGACTTCCTGAGAGCCAAGCTGTAGTGATTGTTATCTCTCTTCTGGATCTAGCCACCCAGCAAGTCTCCCAGGCTCCAGTCTGGTACTGGGGGTTTTCTCCACAGAGTCCTGTGAACTGTCTGTGTGGGTCTCTCAGCTGTGGATACCCGCACCTGTTTTGCTGGAGGTGTCGGGGACGAAGTGGACTCTGTGAGCATCCTTGGCTTTGGTTGCTTAATGCACTATTTTTATGCTGGTTGGCCTCCTGCCAGGAGGTGGCACTTTCAAGAAAGCATCAGCTGTGGTAGTATGGAGAGGAACAGGCAGTGAGCAGGGCCCTAGAACTCCCAAGAGTATATATTCTTTGTCTTCAGTTATCAGGGTGGGAAGGGCAGGGTTAGGTGTGTCTGAGCTCAGACTCTCTTGAGGCAGGTCTTGCTGTGGCTGCTGTGGGGAATGGGGATGAGGTCCAGGTCAATGGAGTTATGTTCCTAGGAGGATTATGGCTGCCTCTGCTGTGTCATGCAGGTTGTCAGGGAAGTGGGGGAAAGCCAGCAGTCACAGGCTTTTCCATGCAACCCAAAGGGCCAGTCTCACTCCCACTGTGCCTGCTCCCCAACCACACTGAGTCTGTTTCCAGGCAGTGGGCAAGCAGGGCTGAGAACTTGCCCCAGACTACCCACCTCCCAGCTGTGAAAGCAAGTAGGACTTTCATTTTTCCCCTGCCTGTGGAGTCCACACACTGGATTCATGCCCTCTCCTGAGTTCTGGTCAGGAGACTTCTCCATCAGTTCAAATTGTTGCGAAGTTCAACTGGAGGTTTCCTTCTCCCTGTGGCCTTTTCCCAGTGCCTCTGGCCATCCTCCCCAAGGACCCCTGTGAGGCAAGATGGAAACTGCTTGCTAGGGGACCCAGCGAGCCCACAGGGGTTTTCCTACTGCTTCCTCTACCCCTGTATTTCACTTGGCTCTCTAAATTGACTCAGCTCCAGTAAGGTCAGATTCATCTCCCTTTAATCTAGACCCTCAGGTTCCCCAGTGGGGTGTGTGTTCTGGGGTAGATGATCTCCCTTTCCACTTCCACACTATTTGGGCACTCACAGTATTTGAGATGTCTCCCGGGTCCTGCAGGAGCAATCCACTTCCTTCAGAGGGTATATGGGTTCTCTTGGCCTTCCTGATATATTCCTGTAGTCATTCTGGAGCAGAAGTTTACGATGCGAGCCTCCACGCGCTGCTCTGTCCATCCAAGTGGGACCTGAAATCTCTTCCTGCCTCCTGTCCGCCATGATCTCTCCTACTTTCAGGACTTTTTCTTTTTTGTTTCCATTTCTGTTCTGCATTGTGTCCTAAGAAGTCAAACTGGCTGGTTATATAGCATCTTGCTAAATGATACCTTATTCTATGTAAAGGTACTTGTCCTGATTGGAAAACGGTTCTTGAATACAAGTTTCTAAAGCTGCCTTGAGATATTGAGAAGGCAGTATAGCATGGTGAATAAAAGGATGGGTTTTGGAATTAGACTTGGATTCAAAATCAAGATCTGCCATTTACTAAGCCATGTGACTTTGAGAAGTTACTTAACATTGAGCTTCTGTTTCCTAACCTGTAAGAAGAGTATGCTAATTCCTCTCAAGTAATAAGGATTAAATGAAATACTATATTTAATATGTGGCATATAGTAAGCACTCAATAAATGTAGCTGTTATTACTTTCATTATTAGGAGGGCATAAATAAATAGGTAAAAATATGCATTTTAAAAGTCTTAGCAGGAAACCAAGAAATTAATTTTGATTTTCTTAAGTTGCTCCATTGTTCCTAATTTCCTAATCAAGCCTTGACATGACAGTCCTCAGTTATTTATAAACTTATTTGTTTGTAGTGCCATTAACAGTATTTGTTCAATTTACTCAACATCTGGCTTTGCATAGTAATCAGAAATCTCAGTCTTTAAATACCATTCAGAGAACTCCAAGTAGTTTTCTAAACAGATGGATTTGTGTCTATGATATTTTTTTCTCCTACTTGTTCACCAGAGATCAGAACTCTGAAAAGATAGCACTGGATTCCCCCCACCACTCACTGTGCCCCAGCCTTCCCCAGTGATTTTGGTTGAGAATGCAATAGTGACCTTAGTATTTAATTATGTCTCTATGAAGCTGTTTTTTAAAAAAGTGGTGGTATCAGAGGGGAGAGAATACCATAGAAACTGGTTCTGGTTATGATGTTGGTTATCTTCATTTTCCATGAGCATCCTGGGCTCTTGCCCCTCTACCATATGTACCTGACTCCTTTTTTCAGAAGGAGTCTTCCAGCCCCTCTCCAGAGTCCCTCCAAAGCACTAAACCAGTCTCTTTTCCATCCTTACACATTTTTATTCTAATGCAATAACTACTTTTTCTACTCAATTCTAAACAGTAGATGACAGTAATCTTCAAAATTTTTTTATCACAACTCTAAGCAGTGTTTCACATTCAGACATAATATGTGGGTATTTGGATGTTTATAAATTATATAATCTGTAAATTCATATAAATTATATGTGAATATAAATAATTTATATGTAAATTATATAAATTATATGTACTACCATAATAATGTATAATTAACATTCTAAAATATACCCTAAAATAGAATTTTTAATAGAATGAGATAAATCTCTATAAATAAAAAAGTCCATTTTTTTTCCTGCCCTCCATTGAATTATTTTGTGAACCTCTTTGGGTATATGCATCCCACTATGGGTTCAGATTCATCCCTTGTATCCAAATTATAAATTACTTGAGAAAACAAAATGTCTACCTAAATAGTAGGATATTATTAGCAGTTGTTTAGATGAGTTATGTAGGAAGAGTTGTATCAGTTAGTGAGATCAGCTTTTCCCAAACCTTATTATACCTGAGATCACTAAATCATTTAATTCTCTGCCTTAAACACCAAGAGAGAGGGACAAAAGGATAGTGGATGGAGAGAGAAGAGCCAAGATACACTGTTTTATTCCTGGGAATATTAGGGAAGATGCTGAGTATGAAGCAGTAATGATTTGCCCTGGCAAACTATAGTGAATTAAGAAATATTCTATAGACTGTAAATAGATTGCTAGAAGATTTCTATGTACAAGAGTTCTCTTCTGCATTCCATGTTGCAGAGAAGCCTTGGGCTGGACCACAAAGTGGGGAGTGTATAGGATTCAGATGAGTGGAGAGGGAAAGAGAGCATTTCGCACTGATTGGATTTGCTAATTGCTTTTTGATCTTGAGTCACCCATTTGCTTGCTTGTTTCTTTGTAAGTGTTCCTGGTTCTCCATCATCTTTCACAAGACTAACTCCAACAGCTTCCTTACCATCCTTCCAACGTTCTGGAATCCCCTTTGCTTCTCTTCTTTTTATTTTTAATTATTATGGATGCATAATGATTGATCCTTTTTTCTTCTTATCCACCATTTTGTCTTACCTGGATCCTAGATTATTGCCTCAGCCTGCCTCTCTTCTTTTCCGCCTTCTAATCCATTCTCCACCCAGCCACCAAAGTGATCTTTCTAAAATTTAAATGTGATTCTGTTTCTGCTTAAAACCATTCAGTGGTTCCTCACTTCCTCATTATAAAGTTTGAATTCTTCACCATCGATTATATGGCCTTTATTATCTGGATCTTACCTTTCTAGCTTACCACTTCTCCCCCTTACGTTAGATATTCTCAATCATATTAAACTTCTTCCCATACTTTCTTTCACCTTTGGCTTTTTACATTTGTTTCTCTGCCTGAAACTCTTCCTATTCTCCTGGCTAACTTGTACTCAAGTTTGATGTCCCAACTTAAACTCCACTTTCTTGGAAGCGCATGTACAGTACTTGCTTAGTCTATGCTGTCACCATTTCTATATTCTTGCTCTGGATATAATGCAAAAAGCACAGCACAGGGTTTGGACTGGGAGTAGGAAGACTAAGGTTTGACTACTAATCTTTGCTATGCAGTCTTGGGGAAGTCACTTAATGTCTTCAAGCCTTTATCACTTCATCTCTAACATGGAATAATGGCACTTTTCTCTCAAGCCCATTGAAGCATTTATTGATATACGTAAAAGGATTCTATAAGCACTAAAGCACCATGCTCATGTACATTACTGCTGCTACTATTGTTATTACTACTACTGTCACTGCTATTACCACTCCTCTCCTCTTCCTCCTCGCCTGCCACCTCATGATCCTCAGCAGTCTTTCTGGAGTGTTTTATATGGGACTTGGTTTTTTAGGGGATGAAGATTTTACCAAGGACATAACAGAGCTGTTTTCCCAGCTGCACGTTTCCTCCAAACCAGAGAAACTTGCCAGGGTAAGTTATTGCTTCTTGGTGATTTTCATTATTTTACTTGTAAAAATGTAGTGGATAAAGAGCATAAGATTATAAATTCCTGGCAGAGGTGTCACCAAAATCGAAGGTATATTCTCGTTATACCCAGAATTGGGTTCTGCATCTACTTGCCTTCTGCTCCTCCAGGTTAGTGTGTTGAAGCCACATCTGCCCCACAACACGTGTCCCATCCTTACCTGTTTTCATTTGGGATGCTTTGCTTATCTGAAAGCTTAATTTAGTCTACAATGTTGGTCATTAAAAGTTGGCAGTGATGACCAGCCTCATGATTCCAGTGGGTGAGCCTCTGTCGAGGACTCACTGTTCTCAGGGATCTGAATGATTTAGAGATGATATGTGGCCTTGCCCATAGGGATTAGAGGTTGTCATTACCCAGAGCCCAGTGACTCAGATAATGACTATTTGGCGTGTGGAAATGAGAGAGTATTATGACCAAGGCCCTTATTTTTGGTGCTGATTCTGGAACTATTTTCTTATATTTGGAATGTGGAGAGACTTTAATCAAAGCTCAGAGTGGGTAGGGAGGTTCTGTGGCAAGTATAAGCCAGTGCCTGCTCTTGGGACACTGTTCACTGGGTCATGGATTGCTTGCTACCTCTTTACCCACCTCTACCAATCTTGAGAAGCATTTCAGGACCAGTCAGCTGCAGGTGCACATTGTTTCCTGGCCAGGGAGAGGTGAGAGCTATTGCATAGTCAACCCAGTCACCTTGTCTCCATCCCCCAGGGCAAAAACTATGATGTTTGGTGTGTTATCCCACTCTCCTATGCCCATCGAAAATGCTGCATTCTCTGAAAAAGCTCTTTTAGATCATCCCCAGGCAGCTCATCTCCCTCACCTCTACTGTAACACTTTACTAAAGCACTTTTGATCTTATAGTGCTTTTTATTTTGGAAATAATATCAAACTTAGAGAAAAGTTACAAGAGTAGCACAAACAATATTTGTATACCTTTTATGCAAATCCAGTACTGTTAATACTTACTTCATTTGCTCAAACATTTGTGCTTTCACATGTGTTCTTTCTCTGTGTAAATACATGTATACATATATAGATAAACACTTTATTTTTGTAACTATTTGAGAGTAAATTGTAAACATTATTGCTCTTCTAAATGTTTCAGTATGTGTCTGCTAAGGATAGGGATATTCCCTTACATAACCACAGTGTAGCTATCAACTTCAGTAAATTTAACATTAGTACTTTTGTTGTACTAATTTGTTGTAATCTATTTTCCATATTTCAGTTACATCAGTTGACCCAATAATGTCCAATAATACCAAACTTTTTCCTCTACCACTGGAGCCAGTACATGATCACAGATTGTATTTAGTTGCCATGTACTTTTAGTTTCCTTTAATCTAAAATAGTTCTTCAGTCTTTTTTTGTCTTTTTGTCTTTTATGACGTTGGTGTTTTTGAAAAACAAGCTTTGGAGTTTCTCTAATGCTTTCTCATGATTAATGTCAGTTTATACATTCCTGGCCAAAATACTCCATAAGTGATGGTGTGTCCTGCCCAGGGTATCACATCTAAAGGTACATGATATCCATCTGCCCCTTATTGGTGATGTGTTGTCTGATTTTGTTCTGTACAGTTAAAGTTTATTTTCCTATCTTGCTAATAAACTTTCTGTGAGGAGATACTGTAAGACCATACAAATATCCTGCTATTCATCATAATTTCTCTTCTAAATCTAGCATTTATTTATGATTCTGGCACCAATATTTAATGTGAAGATTTACCAGTTGGCTTTCAGCATTCTAGAATAGTCATGACCTCTCCTTTCTCCCCCATTTTGTTCTTTTTTTAATTTGTTATCAGTATGCTTTCATGGAGTTCTGCTTTTCCCCCATTGGCTTGTAATTCATCACTGTCCTTAATTATTTTGATGTTCAAATTTGTCTTTCAAGCTGGCTCCTAGGTGGCATGCCTCCATCATTTTTGGGTGCTTCCTTATTTTCTGGCATAACAAGATATTCTAGACTCATCTTATGCCTTCTGTGCCCCAGCCCTGCAACCAGACATTTCTTTGAGAAAGCATGATTCATTCCCTTTTGGTTTTATAGACCAAGACATGAGTACTAAGTGTACTCATTGCCACTGGCATGGCTTTGATTCTAGGCTGTCAGCAGAGCTGGAAAATATACTCAGGTACATATACACCTATATGTGTTATGTTTGTAGATACATATGTGCACGTGTACACCTATATGTATTTTAGAAATCATGACTTCACACACAGTATAACTCCAATTTTAATCCATCCCTACAGGGTTTTTCCTTGCCTTTCCCCATTACACATTTGTATCTCCCTTCTACAGTAGGAACCTTGTCTCCCAACAATATTAGCACATTTCCTTAATTATGAGATGTATCTGAAATGGTTTTATTGCTTTGCCTATACTATAGATTGAGTATCCCTTATCCAAAATGCTTGGAACAGGGAAGTGTTTCAGATTTCAGATTTTTGTTTGGATTTTGGAATATTTGCATACACACACAAATAAACACACACACACACACATACACATATAGTGCTGTATCTTGAGGGTACAATCCAAGTCTAATTACAGAATTCATTTATATTCATGTATACCTTATACACATAGTCTGAAGATAATTTTATACAATATTTTAAAAAAATTTGTGCATGAAACAAAATTTTCAATTCATTTTGACTACAACCCATCATATGAGGTCAGGTGTGGAATTTTTCATTTGTGGCATCATGTTGGCACTCAAAAAATTTCAAATTTTGGAGAATTTTGGATTTTCATATAAGGGATACTTGACCTGTACTACAAAAGTAACCTACAAAAAATTGTTTTATTTGCTGCCCTATGTGTTAATTTTATTTTTGAATATGTACAGTATTAATACGCTTCCAAAAATCAAACTGCACAAAAAATATACTCAGGTCTCTCCATCCCACTCCCCTTCCACTCCATTCACCTGTTTTTATAGGTATTCATCTTTCTTGTTTCTGGCTTATCCTTCCTGAGTTTCTTTTTGTAAAGATAAGCAGATATATTTTCTTATCTCCTCTGATGGAAAAGTCAACATACTATATTTGTTCTTTAGCGCTCTGCTTTTTTCACTTAGCCTTGTGCATAGGTATTTTTATAAATTTATTATAGTTTTTAAAAAATATGTGTATCTTACCTCCTATCCTGAAGCTTAAATTTCTTGAAGGCAGGATCTGTACATACCTACTCCTTAAAATTCCAGCTCTACTACCTATTACTTTCTGTGTGACCTTTGGCAAATTGCTTGACCTCTGTGAGCCTCATTTTTTTCTATCTGTGAGGTGAGTTGTAATAATGTAGAGTTCCTGTGAGGTTTAAATGTGTTCACACACATAGCTCTTACAAAGGGCCTGGCTCATAGTAAATAAATGCTCACTGTTGATGGCTCCACAGAAGACAGCCCGATGTCCTCTACATGTAGCTGTTCAATAAATATACATATGTGTTCAATAAACCTTTATTATGCTTAGTAATTTGCTAGGTGCTAGGGAAATAATCATGAAAAAGACATAGTTTACATGCTTAATGAGAGATCACATTAATACGTATTTTTGTAAGGCCAGTAACTCCTTATCTGTCTGGCAGTTCTCGCCATTCTCTGAAAGCAATCTTCAGATTGTTTAAATTTTAGGCATTGAGACTTAAGATGTAGATTGGTTAAGGATCAAGGCCTTAACCATTGGCCCTCAAAAGATTTATATGGCAGGCTGTGATGTAGGGGAAAGAGCACTGAATTAGGAGTCCGGGAATATGATTCTGTGATTCTGATTCTTGTTCTAATACTCACATGTGGTGTGGCCTGGGGCAAATTCATTTTCTTCTGTGGGCCTCATTATTTTTCTGTTGGAAATAAATAAGCTTTTGGAGAAGCCAAGTTCAAAGGTACCTATTGAGATCTGCAGATCTCAACAAGTGGGAAGTTCCAGACTGAAATGTGGTCGTGGATGACATTAATTATTTTGGGAAAGGATAATAAATTACCTTGAGTTGGCACAATAGTTCATGATGATTTCACTTAATATATTTATTACAAGAGAGGTCACTTTGGGTATGCTCTATGCCTACTAAAATATCTCCTGGCCAGGCGCGGTGGCTCACGCCTGTAATCCCAGCACTTTGGGAGGCCAAGGTGGGTAGATCATGAAGTCAGGAGTTCAAGACCAACCTGGCCAAGATGGTGAAACTCCGTCTGTATTAAAACTACAAAAATTAGTCAGGCGCAGTGGCAGGTGCCTGTAATCCCAGCTACTCGGGAGGCTGAGGCAGGAGAATAGCTTGAACCAGTGTGGCAGAGGTTGCAGTGAGCTGAGATCATGCCACTGCACTCCAGCTTGGGCGACAGAGTGAGACTCCATCTCAAAAAAAAAAAAAAAAAATCTCCTTTGGGTATATTAAATTTATGGTATCCGTTTTTTCTTTTATGTGGTCTATCACTCTCCATTTTTCTTTTTTAATCTCTGATAAATTAATCCTTCATTTTTTTACTCAATTTGTCTCTTCAAAGATATTGCAAAGAATTTAACATATTGTTTGTATTATTAGTCAACTGTTATGATTCTTTCCAGCCTCATCTCTCAGTGTTCTCTTCTGTAAACCTCACTACTCCAACCTAATTTTCTGTCACACTCCTCATCCTCTATATTCTTCCTTACTGGCCTTTATTCTGTTTCTCAGGTGTACCAAGCTGATTTCCCTGTGCTTACAACTCTCTTTGCCTAACTATTTGTATGGCCAATTCCTTCAGATTTCAGCTGAAACATAACTTTTCAGAGACCCTTCCTGACCACCCAAACTCAAGCCACCTTCTACCCATACCCACCGTTACTCCATTTTATTTTCTTTATGTATGTTTTTGTTTGTTTGCTTGCTAATTGCCTTATTAGGAGAGAGAAGAGCAGACTCCTAGTTTGTATTATTCACCATTGAATCCCCAGCACTGGCACAGTGTTAGTATATATTTGCAATAAATGAATGAGTAAAATGCCAGTATCCTATATTTTGGTCTTGCTAGATATCTCACTGTTTGCCTACACACTTTGCATTTTTCTGTTTCCAAGCCTTTATATAGTTCATGCTGTTTGGTGTTTTGAATTTGAGAGGTTAATGCTTAAGTAATGGGAAGGTATAGATCAGAGCTAGATTGTTCCTGAATGTTTTTGTGGGAGGATATAGGGAAAGAACCCTACAGTGAAATTCTGGGAACACAGGTCTGCTTTAGCTCATTCGGGTAGCCTTGGGTGTAGCCCCACTTGCTGATCCTTCAAGGCCTAACTCCAGTACTGTATGTGTAATAAAACCTGTTTTCTCAGTTAGAATGACTCTCAAAGTCTTCTCTGGATTCCTATTACCTCATGACAGCTTTGAACACATTCTGTGTATGTAAAGTTAATAAACTAGGTGGTAATAAACAGTTTCTGAGAAACCAGGACTCTTTCACTTGCAAATGACAGAAACTCAAGTTAAGAAACTTAAAAAATAACAGAAACTAATTTAAAAGAGGGGAATTCAGTAGCTCAAGAAAATAGAAAATCAAGGAGCAGAACTGGCTTCAGGCATGGCTCTATTCAGGAACCTATCTCTATCCCTATCTGTGTCTTTCGGCTTGCTTCCTTTTTGTTTTGGCTTCATTCTTAGGGAAGCTTTTCCATATGGTGGTAAAATGACCATTGGCAGCTTCAGGGTGGGTGACTTTTTTCCATTTCGGTAACTCTTACTGAAAGAACACTTCTTTTTGCTGATAATTTTACCAGATGTCCTGAGACTGATGTCCATTGATCTGGCTTGGGTTACTTTTTAATCTATGCACCACTTACTCTGTGGACAGGGGTATTAGTATTCTCAGTAGCTAAATCTGAATGGTTTGCCAACTTTTGGAGCCAAAAGATGGAAGCAGCTGCACCCAGGTCACATGAACTAAGGAGAATCTAGAACCTGCCACCAAAAGAAAGGAGATATGGGTGCTGGTCATATCCATATCCAAAACAGTAGATGTTCTTCACAGTGTGCTGGACACTGGGTGTGCAAAGCCAAATAAAACACTCTCTAGCTATCCTATAATACATAGTTTAGTTAGGAAACAGATAATTCTACTATATTTGGTTAAGTTCTGAATTTAAGTTACCTGAAAGAGATGATGTCTGGGTAGAGGATTGAAAGAACAAGTACAGTAGAGGTCATTCTTACCAGAAGATAAAGTGGAAAATGATAAGAGATGAGGCTGGAAAAGTAGGTAGGGTCTAGGTCATGGAGACCTGTTACATCATGTAAAGAGCATGATCTAGTTGATGAGGAGCCATTGAAGGAAAGAGGAATGGTCAGCCCTGGGCTTAAGACAGATCACTGGTAGCATTTTGGAAGATAGATTTAAGATAAACAGATCAGAAGCAGAGAGACCAGTCATGAAGTGGATCTGAACTCAAGTAGTGGTAATAGGGAGGAGGAAGACGGGAAGAGGATGATGAGGGGCTTGGATAAAATCAGACCATCTTGGTGATTGGTTGGAGAGGAAAAAAATCTAAGATGGCCCCTATATTTTGGCTCAGGTAACTGGTACCTGGTGGCACCTCTAAAACTTTGGGAAATAAAAGAGGTTGAAAAATTTGGGGTAAGAAGAGAAAGACAATGAGTTCAAAGTTTTTATTTGTTGTATGTGTGATGCCTGCAGAGTATTTTGTCTAGCAGACATTTGGAATAAGTTTTCAGGAGAGGTCAGGTCTAGAAATAAGGATCTAAGAGTCAACAGCAGGTTGAGGATAGTTGAAACCACTGGCATAGGATGGATGGAGAGGGAATAGGATGAGACGAGTAAAGAGTGAAGGCTAGACCTCCAAATAATATTGGCGTTTAAGAGACTGGCCAGTTAGGATCAATATATAAAAGATACTGAGGAGAAATGGTCATAAAGGTCAGAGGAGAACAGAAGAAAGTTGGGGTTACAAAAACCAAAGAAAACTAGATTCATTATCAGGAGAATGGATAAATTGTGATATATACAATCATGCATTGCTTAATGATGAGGATATGTTATGAGAACTGCATCATTAGGCAGTTTTGTCATTGGGCGAATATCAGAGAGTGTACTTACACAAACCTAGCTGATGTAGCCTGTTACACACCTAGGCTATATCGTTTAACCTATTGCTCCTGTACAAAACTGTACAGCATGTTACAGTACTGAATACTGTAGGCAGTTGCAACACAATGGTATAGAAAAGGTACAGTAAAAATATGGTATTACAGTCTTACAGGACCACCATTATATATGTGGTCTGCTGTTGACCCAAACATCATTATGTGGTGCATGACTGTATATAAAATGAAATACTACACAGCAGTTAATATGAATGAACTAATACATGCAGCAACATGGATAAATCTAACAGACATTATGTTGTGCTTAAGCCAGACACAAATTAGAATGAACTTATATTTCTATTTTTATGCATTTTAAGATTAGGAAAAATTATTTATAGTGAGCAGAAGAGGGTTTGTCTTTGGGCAGGAGGAGGGGGACATGGTTTGAATAGTATTGGCTAGGAAGGGACATGAAGGGACCTTCTAGGGATGAGGAAATATTCTATATCTTGATCACGGTTTCGTAGGCATATACACATAAAAACATTTCTTAAGCCATACTCTGAAGATTTGTGCACTTTATGTAAATTATACCTTGGTTTTTTAAAAAGCTGATTAGAGGCCGGGCGCAGTGGCTCATGCCTGTAATCCCAGCACTTTGGGAGGCTGAGGCAGGGGGATCACCTGAGGTCAGGAGTTCGAGACCAGCTTGGTCAACCTGGCGAAACCCCGTCTCTACTAAAAATACAAAAATTAGCTGGGCGTGGTGGTGGGCGCCTGTAATCCCAGCTACTCGGGAGGCTAAGGCAGGAGAATCGCTTGGACCCAGGAGGCAGAGGTTGCAGTGAGCCAAGATTGTGCCATTGCACTCCAGCCTGGGCAACAAGAGCGAAATTCCATCTCAAAAAAAAAAAAAAAATACTACCAATTAGAGAATTTTGAAAAGGAATGATGGACCACAGTGATAAGTATTGCTGAGACTAGTAGGATAAGGACTGAAAAGCTAGATGGTACGTTCAGGTAAGAACAGGAGCCCTTACTTCTAGGATGCTATTGTGTTCCTGGTAGGTGCACAGTAATTTTGGTAAACTGAATTGAATTGTTGATGGCCAATATTTTTCTTATTTAGGCAAGAAATACCGCCCACGAATGGATCAGGAAGTCTCTGACCAAGCCATTAGCAGAGAATGAAGAAGGAGAAAAACAGTCGGAAGCAGAAAATACTGAGCAAGTCAACAAAAATTCAATAGAGGTAGCCAAAGCAACTAAGCCTTTTTTGTTTGTTTTAGTAGATTTGAAATGTGTCACAATCAGGGACCCAGGCTCCTATTTTTACACTGCTGTCCGTAATTTCAACCTTGTGATCTAGGATTGTAGCATCTTAGATCCAGACTATAAGATTAAAGGAGGAGTGAAGAAAAAAAGAGAGAAAGGATGCGCGTGTGTTTTGTCATGAGGAAGGTTCCCAGAAACTGCTGCCTGACACTTGTTATCTAAATCATTTGGCCAAAACTTAGTTACTTCGTCACACCTGACTTCAGGGGAGCCCAGCTGTAAAATTATATCACTACTGTGGAAGAAGAAGACACTCTTTATTGGAAGGCAACTATTAGTCTCTGCTACAAATCCTGTAGTATGAGAGAAGTAAGGTGGTATCTTTCCACCAAATGTTTTGTTTTGCTATGCTTTGTTTTGTTTTTCCATCCAGGATATCCATGCGTTTGCAATCCGGAGCCTGGCTGAACTGACTGCCTGCTCAATTGAACTATTCCACAAAACAGCTGCATTGGTTCTGCATGGCAGGAAGCAGGAAGTGACAGCCATAGAAAGGAGCCAAACTCTTTCCCAGTAAGTGTAATGAGAATTCCTCTAAATGATGCAAATTGCAGGAGTTTTCTTGGCCTGTTTCCAAAGTTTTATAAACGTCTCTCTCAAGAAACCATTCACGTCACACCCATCCACATATTAGATGGTTTGTTCATTTTGGTTGTTTTTTTCTTTTCATTGAACCATGATAAATCAATATTATAAATATGCCCTTTTTATTAACCAACTCATGCTCTGAAGACTATTTCTTTACAGATAAGTTTTAATAGGAATGGAATTTGGTATAAGTGAAAACAGAGAAGAGTTCTAAGAACCTCAGTTCTTAATAATAGTTATTATTGAGTGCTAATTTTATACCATTCCAAGTGCCATGCTAAGGGATTTGCATGTATAATTTCTAATTTTTATACCTCCAAAAGTAAGTAATTAGTCCAGTTTTAATCATGAGGAAATGCAAACTGGAGGAGTTAAGTAATCTGTCTGTGCTGTATGGCCTGGGATTTAGCCCCAGGTCTGACTGAGTGTCCTGAACCCATTCTTTTTTTCTCATTTTATTGCTGATTTGTACAAAAATTTTTCAAAAATAGTATAGATAATCATAGGTAGGGAAGAAAAAGCCCAGTAGTTTCTAAGCAAATGTCCTGATTAAAATAATGAGAATTTTCATTGGAAACAAATGTATAAGAGTGCCCATTATTAGAACTGGGAGGGGCTGTCAGTCTTCTGCAGACTTCCTCTTTACTTGCACCATCACCATCCCACTACAGCACCCCATAATAGGGGGCTAATTTGTCTTCTTGAACTTCCTTAAGGATGAGAGACTCACAACCCTAAAAGGAGCCTGTTCTGCGGAAAAGAGGCTATTTCTGCTACTTGGAATGTTCTTTGAAATGGGGTTCACTCCCTCTCTGAATTCAAGTCTACTCAAATGCCACCTTTTTAGAAAAGCCTTCCTTCACCACAAAGTCTAAAATAGCAACTTCCACCATTCTCTGTCCTTTTACTCTGCTTTATTGTCTTAGCTTATATCACCAAGTAGGACTTACATGTATATGAATATATATGTGTGTATATGTATACATATGTGTGTATGTGTATATATGTATATGTATATAGTCTCCCCCTTAATTTAGCAAGTAAGTTGAAATCCATGAAAACTGGGACTTTTCTTGTTCACTGATATGTTCCCATTGCTTGAAAGACTTTAAATAAAATCTGGCACACACAAGACTTTAGGTAACTATTATTAAAGATGGACTAATCACTTACTTTTGGAGTTGTTGTAAAAATTAGAAATGATACATGTAAATCCCTTAGCATGGTGCCTGGCATAAAATTAGCACCCAGTAACTAATAACTAATAACTAATAACTATTATTAAGAACTGAGAATTAATTAATACATATTTTAACTTTTCTAAATGGAATGTAGGGTATTTTGAGTATGATGTTGTCTCCTTAAAATGTATTTTAATTATTTTCTATTTGATTTAACTGGAACATATACTGCTTTCTAGAGAATTTTGTAGAGAAATGTTTTTCTAAGGACTGAACTTCCTTTTTATGTAGCATGAGTGCCTGCTCAGATGGGTCTTCTTATACCTCAGGTGGCTGATTTAGGCATACAGTAGTAACCCCTTATCTGTATGGGTTATGTTTTAAGTCCCTAGTGGATTCCTGAAACTGTGGATAGTACCAAACTTGATTGCCGTCATTTGGAACACATTTCCATTCATGTCTTCCACCCACAAATTTAATGCCTTTTCCGTCTTTTTAAAAAATATTTTACTGATACATAATATATATATATGGGGTACATGTGAGTGTTATATGCATAGAATGTATAATGATGAAGTCAGAGTATTTGGGGTATTCATCACCTTGAGTATTTATTATGTCTATATGTTGGTATCATTTCAAGTGCTTTACATTATTTTGAAATATACAAAATATTATTGCTAAGTATAGTCACCCTATTCTGCTATCAAACATTAGACTTTATTTTTTTCTATCTAACTGTATGTTTGTACTCATTAACCAACTTCTCTTCATCCCCACCCACTCACGCACCCACCTTTCCCCATTTCTGGTATCACAATTGTTCTGTTCTCTATTTCCGTAAGATCATGTTTTTTTAGCTCCCACATATGAGTGAGAACATGAGGTGTTTGTCTTTCTGTGCTTGGCTTATTTCACTTAACCTCGTGACCTGCAGTTCTATCCATGTTGCTGCAAATGACATTTTTTTTAAATAGCTGAATAGTATTCCATTATATGTGTGTGTGTATACACATATACATATATACACACACATATATATACACACACATACATATATACACACACACGCATACACACCACATTTTCTTTATCCATTTTTCAACTGACTTAGGTTAATTCTATATCTTTGCTGTTGTGAATAGTGCTGCAATAAACATGCAGGTGCAGGTATCCCTTTGATATAATTTATTTATTTATTTTCCTTTGGCTAAATACCCAGTAGTTTGGTAGTTCCATTTTATTTTTTGAAAAATCTTCATACTGGTTTTCATAGTGGTTGTACTAATTTACATTCTAACAATGTATAAGAATTCTCTTTTCTTGGAATTGTTGCCAGCATCAATTTTTTTTTTTTTTTTTGAGATGGAGTCTTGCTGTGTCACTCAGGCTGGAGTGCAGTGGCGCAATCTCGTTCACTGCAACCTCTGCCTCCTATGTTCAAGTGATTCTTCTGCCTCCGCCTCCTGAGTAGCTGGGATTACAAGCGTGCACACCATGCCCAGCTAATTTTTGTATTTTAGTAGAGACAGGGTTTCACCATGTTGGCCAGGCTGGTCTCAAACTCCTGACCTCAAGTGATCCACCTGCCTTGACCTCCCAAAGTGCTGGGATTATAGGCATGAGCCACCATGCCCAGCCATTTTTTGTCTTTTTAATAATGATAGCCATTCTAACGGGGGTGAGATGATAGCTCACTGTGGTCTTGATTTCCATTTTCCTGATGATTGATACATCAGTGATGTTGAGCATTTTTTCGTGTATCTGTTGGTCATTTGTATGTCTTCTTTTGAGAAATGTCTATTCATGTCCTTTGCCCATTTTTTAATGAGATTTTCTTTTATTGTTGAGTTCCTTGTATATTCTGGATATTAGTCTCCTGTCAGATGAGTAGTTTGCTTTTTTTCATCTTAGTACATATCACACACTGTTACTATAACTTTTGCAGTTAGTGGTGCAACAGCAAAACTAGCATGATTTCTTTCTCCTTCTCACAGTTTTACGGATAGAAAATTCATTCTTATTGTAGATTTAGCTGCCTCAGCATATGTTTTTGTTTTTCTTACTAAGTGAAGATCTTTTACCTTTTCACTTCAAGGAAGCACTTTATAGCTTCTCTTTGGCATATCTGAATTGCCAGCATCACAACTCTTGGGCTTTGGGTCTGCCTTAGCCCATTTAATGTTACTGTAACAGAATATCTGAGGCTGGGTAATTTACAAAGAAAAGAGGCTTATTTGGCTCATGATTCTGGTGGCTAGAAAGTCTGTTACTGTAACAGAATATCTGAGGCTGGGTAATTTACAAAGAAAAGAGGCTTATTTGGCTCATGATTCTGGTGGCTAGAAAGTCCAAGAGCATAGCAGTGGCATCTGCTTGACTTCTGGTGAGGGCCATGTACTGCTCCACAACATGGTAAAGAAGCAGAAAGACAAATGGATGTGTGCAAAGAGACCTGCATGAAAGACTGGACTTGCTTTATAACTACGTGTTCTCTGGGACCTAATTTATTCCCCCCAGAGTGAGAACTCACTGACTACTGTGATATTGCATTAATCTGTTCATGAGGGCACCTACCACTTGGTCCCACCTCCTAATACTGCCATGTTGGGAATCAAATTTCAACATGAATTTTAGAGGGGACATATCAAAACCATAGCAGGGGCCATTATTAGGTAAAATAAGGGTTACTTGAACATAAGCACTGTGATAACACAACAGTCAGTCTGATAACCGAGATGGCTAATATTAATAGCTGACTAATGAGTGGGTTCTGTGGATATGCTGGACAAAGGGATGATTCATGTCCTGGGTGGGATGGAGAAAACAATGAGAGATTTCATCACACTACTCAAGATGATGTGCAATTAAAAACTTATGAATTATTTATTTCTGGAATTTTTTATTTATTATTTTCAGATCATTGTTGACCATGAGTAACTGAAACTGCAAAAAGTGAAACCACAGATAAGGGGGGGATACTGTATTTACTCCCTTGAAAAGCTTTCTTCTTTCACATTTAGTACCAGAAGTGATTTGTTCTCTTCTGACAATTGTTAAATATAACTTATTTTTTTAAAAAAAGAAAAAACGTTTCTGACTTTTCCTTTCTTTCCTAGGATGACAATTGTGTTGTGTAAAGAGTTGTCCTCTCTGTCTAAAGAGTTCACTACCTGCCTAACAACTGCTGGGGTAAGAATCCATGCCTCTTACTGCAATAATGTTTGTCTGGTTTCTTTAGCAGTTTAAATATCATAAAATTTGCTCACTTTAAGTGTACAATTCAATAGTTTTTAGTTTTTAGTATATTTACAGAGTTGCGCGGCCATTTCCATAGTCTAATTTTAAAACATTTTCATCAGCCTTCCCCAAAACTCGTACAATCCCCATTCCCTTTCACTCCACATTTCCCCAGCCCTACGCACCATGAATCTGCTTTCTTTCTCTATAGATTTGGCTGCTTTGCATCTTTCACATAAATGGGATTAAACAATATGTGGTATTTTGTGTTTGGTTTCCCTCACTTAGCATAGTGTTTTTGAGGCTTATCCACATTGTAGCATGTATTAATACTTTTTATTACCAAAAAATCTGTCTTATGGATATATATCACATTTTATTTGTTCATCAGTTAGTAGACATTTGGATTATTTCTGCTTTTTGGCTATAATGAATAATGTTGCTATGAACATGCATGTATGTTTTTATGTGAATATGTTTCCATTTCTCTTGGGTAGATAGCTAGGAGTGGAATTGCTGGGTCATATGGGTGATATGGGTCATTAAGGAATTACCAAACTGTTTTCCAAATTGGCTGCACAGTTTTACATTCTCACCAGCAGTGTGTAAGGGTTCCAGTTTCTTCGTATCCTTGCTAATACTTATTGTTTGTTTTTATTTTAGCCATCCTAGTGGGTATGAAATAGTATCTCATTGTGGTTTTGATTTACATTTCCCTAATGTACATCTTTTTTTCTTTCTTTCTTTTTTTTTTTTTTTTTTTAAGTTTTGCTCTTGTCACCCAGGCTGGAGTGCAATGGCATGATCTCAGCTCACTACAACCTCTGCCTCCTGGGTCCAAGTGATTCTTCTGCCTCTGCCTCCCAAGTAGCTGGGATTACAGGCACCTGCCACCATGCCCAGCCAATTTTTGTATTTTTAGTAGAGACAGGGTTTCACCATGTTGGCCAAGCTGGTCTCGAACTCCCGACCTTAGGTGATCCACCTGCGTTGGCCTCCCAAAGTGCTGGGAGTACAGGCATGAGCCACCGTGCCCAGCGCCAATGTTGAACATCTTTTAATGTGCTGGTTGGCTATTTGTCTGGCTTCTCTGGAGAAATATCTATTTCAGCAGTTTACTTGTTTTAAAACTTGGGTTGTTTGTGTTTTTATTATTACTTGTAGGAGATTTTTTTTTTTTTTTTTAATTTTCCTAGTACAAGTTTCTTATCAGATTTTTGATGGGAACGTATTTCTCCAAGTCCATGAGTTGTCATTTCGCTTTTTGATCGTGTCCTTTGCAGTGAAATTTTACTCCTCTGTTTTCTTCTAAAAGTTTGGTTGTAGCCCTTACATTTATGTCTGTGATCCATTTTGAGTTAATTTTTGTGTATGGTGTAAGGTAGGGGGCCCTGCTTCATGCTTTTGCATATGGATATCCGTTTGTTCCAGTACTATGTGTTGAAAAGACTGTTCTTTCCTCCGTTAAATTCTCTTGGCTTCTTTGTTGATAATCAGTTGGCCATAGATATATGGGTTTGTTTCTGGACTCTGATTTTTAGTCCATTAATTTGTATGTTTATCCAAATGCCAGTGTCATATCGTCTTGATATTGTAGTTTTGTAGTAGGTTTGGAATCAAGAAGTGTAAGTCCTCCAACTTTGTTCTTATTTTCAAGATTTTTTGACTGCTTGGGGCCTTGTGCATTTTCATATGACTTTTAGGATCAGCTTGTCTATGTCTAATTCTAATTAATTTTTGTTTTCTTCTGTTTATGAAGTTTTCAGTATTTTTTATGCTATCTTCTGAGACCTATAATGGAAATATAGACCTTGATAAAATTCAAACTTCAGATTTTGACTCTGGTTTTAAAGAGCAACTCTGTACTTAGACTATGGCAGTGCTCACAGTATGCAGTTGCCAGCCGGTGGGAGAGAAGTAGTTAAAGCTAAAGTCTTTTGGGGATTTTAAAAATTGGAATTGTAAAAATTTATGAAGATGTGTGAGCTATGGAAGATGATTGAGAAACCAGTAATAATGAGTTGGGATAAAATCAAGAGCATTTTAAACAAGCAAATGAAAATTACTTTATAGTAAGTATATCAGTGTCAGTGTAGCAGCAAAATTACTGTGGGTTCTTAAATTTTATTTATTTATTTATTTTAAAGCCCTAGTCATGAACATTACATTTGTTTTAATTAAGACCATGGCCTAAGTTAATTTTTTAAAATTTGAGTTTAGATTATTCCTGTAAAGGATAATCTTTTGGTACAGCTTCACTTTTCCCTGTAGTATTTTCTTGACAAAAGGATCTGGGTTTCCTGAAGTTAATCTTACAAGGCCAAATCTTTCTGTGTGTTCCATAAAGATACTTTAAGCCAGCATATCAACTATAAGATGCTGACACATACAAGTATTAAATTTACATTATTTATTTGTAAGATTTTTCTAAACAGCTTGTGTTAAAGACCCTTGAGTTTTTTGAGCACATGTTCCATATCTACATGTTTTGTTTTAAAATGGTTCTAAGGTTTTGTGGTCAAATGAAGATACTTTTTAAAGTCAATAAAAAGGTATAAAACAATACACTGTCAATATGGATAGCACAGAAAGATATTAAGAAAGAAGTTTAAAACACTTAGAATTTCCATTCTAAAGATGACATTTTGCTCTCAGTCCAGACTTCTGTGCTTATATTTAATATTTATGTATGGGTGTGTGTGTGTGTTTTAAAGTGTGATCGTACTCCACTTACTGTTATTTAACCTACTCTGCTCACTTAAAAATGTATTCGTTATTCCAGGTCAAAGAAATGGCAGATGTCCTTAACCCATTAATCACTGCAGTATTTCTAGAGGTTAGTAATTGTTTTTAAGTCTCTGACTCCAAAGGTATTACGTATAATTAACTCTTCTGAAGCCTTTTGCTTTTGGCTTTTTTATTTTATTCACCATATTGGTAGTTTAGCCATATTGATGTAGATATGACAGAAATAGTGTATATTTGATGTGTATTCCTTCCTTATTAATTAGAAAGCATACAGTTGAAGCTGCAGGGTACTGGAAGAAGCAGTAGATTGTCATTACTTAGTACTAATCCTTGACAGCTTAATGGACGGTTCACAGTAATGAAACACCTTCTGAATACCAGCTGGTAAACATGAAGGGCTGAAAATTATAAACAGGTAAGCACTGCTTCCTAATTTAGGACTAAAGTTTATGCAGAGGTTTGTTACAAAACAAAACATGTTGTCATTTCCTTGCCAGGAAATCATGCTTTGTTTTGTCAGAAAGGTAGTGTTTACATTATCCTCATCATTCCATTAGATTTGAGAAGGTAGATGGTTTAAGTCAATGGAAAAGAGGATCCTGTGACTGATTATATTACCTCCCTATGTGATGTTTTCTGGATTCCATGTTTTAAGAACTCTACCTTGTAAACTAACTGTGCAGACAACATAGACTTTTTGATGATTTGTTTAAAACATGTTTATGTAAGTCTGGGGGGAGAAAATATATTTGATAGTTAAGTTTTAGATGTTAATTGAAAAAATGTTTTAACTACCAAACTCTTACTTCTCTAGTTTTAAATTCTTTTGACATTACCATCAAGGAAATGATTTTAATTCTTTAATTACACAGTTTTAATCAAGTAGTCAGGGAAACTATTTTGATCATTGTAATAATTTTTAAAAATATAAGTTTGTGATTTAGTAAATGGCAGAGTGGTGCAGTAGAAAAGACTTTGTAAACCAGGAGCCCCGTGTTGCCCTGGATCTTCCTTGATTTGTTGTGTGACTCTGACAAACTTCGTTATTTTCATGTGCAACATAAGAGATTTAACTAGACGATATCTGAGGTCCCTTTTGTGTGGGAAATTGAGTATTAAATGTCACACTGAATTTTAAATAGTACTTGCCATTGATAAATTTTAAAAAGGTAATATCACTTGATATGGGCTCCCTATTATTTTTAGTGGATTTTTTTTTTGGATACAGATTTGAAACACTCTTGTCTTCGAAATTATACATTTTTATCTTAATGAGCTCTCTGTTGATATTCTTTTGAAAGGTGAGGGCTTTTCAGTATAAATGAAGTCCAGCAAACTGAGGGTAATGATTCTCTAACACTTCTGAAAAATGTTGTTCAAGATAGAAATATATCTATACTGTCATCTTTGAAAGCAGTATATGTGTGAAAGATGTTTATGTGTGTGAGCAGTTATTGTGCTCACTGATCGCATTGAGTCCATGGAAAAAGAGCTATCATAATGGGCTAGAAATTCTATAGGTGTAGGATTTATAGCCTTCTGAAAGCCTCTTTCAGTAATTGACCACAATATTGTGACAGAATCTACCCTACTCAATAAAGGAATAAATAAGCTTTGAATGCCAAGTCTGACCATGTTGCCAAAGAAAAGCTACCATGTCTGATGGGCAAGTTGTACAAAATGCTGACATTCTCTTTTGGTGCTCATATCATCTTAAGAGCTAAATTCTTCTCCCTATAATAGAGTTTACCAAAATGGCCAAGTCACTGCTCTTACTTGCCAGGCTATGAATTCAGTTAGATTACAAAAATTAATCTGTTCCCCTGTTGCCTTACAGTATATCTTCTCTTTTAAATAACTAATATTTTCTTTTTCTTGTTTTTTCAATCCTGGCAGGCATCAAACAGTGCCTCCTACATCCAGGACGCCTTTCAGCTACTCTTACCTGTGCTAGAGATCTCTCTCATTGAGAACAAGATTGAATCACACAGACATGAGCTGCAGGGCCAGAAACCTTTGTTAGAACATTGAAGAATGGAGACGTTTTGACCTGGGACTTGTGACGGCCAAGGAATGCCACCTTATTCTGGCTACTCCTGCAGAAATGAAGGAGTGGGGTTATTTTAGTATATAAAAATTCAGGCAGGAGAGATGGTTTAAAGAGGAAGATTGTTGCCTTCAGTGTTTGATTGAAGTATTCAGGTTCTCACAGTATTCTTTCCAGTTGTTGTAATTCATAAATTATTTGAAAAGAAACTTTTGTAGAAAGTCCAAGAATAATAACTCTAGATAAAGATTAGTGGGACACTCAGGCAAAAATGTTGGTCTTTCTTTGACATGTTGCAAAATGTTATCAATTTTGTCATGGATATAATTTGCAGCCCATGGATATAACTGGTTGATAAGCCAGAGAAAAATAATTTAGTGTTCTAAAATTCATGGCATGTGTGGTTTATTAATGCCATGTACTTTCTCCTTTCTGGAATAAAATCTATGGCTTTAAGAAAACTGAGCATATGTAAACTCTGTGATGATTACCCTTTATCACATGAATTCTTGGAAATAGAAAGTTTCATCTGCTTTTTTAAATTCTTAGTAGATATTTGGCATTGAGGAGAAACTTGTAGACTATTATAGCCATGTGAATTAACTGTAGCAAAGTGCCCTTTTTCTTCAAATTGCTCCCCCTCCCCAGGATGACACACTTCATGTCATAGCTGAACCCTACTCTACTGGATTCAAGGCCAGTAAATGCAATTTAGAGAAGCAGTTTTATGTTTGCAGATATTCTGAGTCTCTTCAGGATGTGTTTCGTGTCTACCATATATGCAGGATAAATTCTTTAACAGCAAACTCCAAAGGAATGTTGAAGCTGTTTTAGCAATGAGGATTTTTTTGTTTGAGTGTTGAAGTGGGCCATAGTCCTTTAGAAATGATGTTCATTTATGATAGGATTTAACTTCTAAGGCATAGTTTATTTTTTCCTCTTTCCTTTTTGTTTGTTTTAATGTATTCTTTAGCATGTTTTTGATATAACTTTTATCCTCCAGATCTTAAGCTTTCTTTTGCTCTCTTCAGCAATTTAAGAGACTATTAAGCTGTCGTCTTCCTAAAAGCTATTTTGGTATCCACTCTTTTTAAAAAAATTCTCCAACTTTGTGGTTTTTTAATGATTAAGGTAATTTGTTAGCTCTGCCCCTCATCTTCTAAAACCTTTGTAATAAAATGTATTAATCATGTTATTTGATCCTTTCATTTACTTTTGTAAACACGAGCCCTAATATCTTACTTAGACCAAAAAAAAAAAAAAAAAATAGCAAAGCAAAGCCATAACATAGATTAGTATAAAGACTGTTTCTACGTAATCTTCTTTGGGGCAGGAGTCAGTTAGTAAGCAAGGAAGAGAAATAAATTTGGTTTAAAAAGGTATACCAACAGCACTACAATGTTACTCTGCCTATATTCTGTCTTAATATGATCAGAAAGTTTTTGAATATTCCTTTTTAAAGACAAATTTCACCCTTTCCAGCTTGAATATTTCTGAAGTTTCAGAAAAACAGTTGCCTTCTGGTTACAAAGGCTGGTGTCACCAGTTCTGAATTGTTGCCTCAAGCTTGGTTGATGTGTCTGAACCTGTATCCCTTGAGGGCAAAGTTTAGAAACTGGTCACTCTGCCTACTGTCTGTTCAGCCTCTTGTACAATGGCAGTTTGGCAGCTTTAAATCCTTAACCTAGAAATGTATTTAAGGTTTTTCTTTCAAGAAATGGGGTATACATATGAAGGAGAGAGTAACAACTCTTTTTATACACCTATTCAGATTTCAGCCCTGAATTTGGCAAATTTTAGATTAGGTCTCACATAAGGTAAATATGACTCACTAACTCTTTTTTTCTCATCTTCCCCACCCCCCCATATATATTTATTTATTTTAATGGAGTTAGGGACCACTAGTGAAATGATGAAAGGCCCAATTCTGAGTAACAATTGTCTACTCTTCACATAAAATATACTGAAAAAGAATTAAGATTCCTTGATCCAGTAGACATAGAGAAACATAAACATTCATGACAGATGAGTAGGTAAATTCAGGGATCACTTTGGAACTTGCTGGATTATGGTGATGGTTTTTGGATAGTATGTGCTTCATTATTTTATTTGGGGTAGTTACAGTGTTTTAGTTTTTTGTTAACAGCTACACTTTTGGTACTATTTTCCTTTTAAATTTTTGGTGTCTAAGATTTACCACTAATTACTAATATATGCCTTTCCAATTCACTTAAAACCTTAATAAGTGAAATGTTCAGGTATTGCTAGGGTAAATGTGTCTTTTCCTACTATTGAGATTTTAAAAGGCTGTGATTAAGAGAGACTTTATTAATTTGATCTGAAAGAAGTAGAAACCTCTATGAAACAATTTTTATTTTCCTTTGCATAATACCTTAGAAATGTGTTAAGGACAAGCTATATTTTCCTTACTTGCTTTTGATAGTTTTTTTTTTTTTTTTTAAGCATAGATATCCAGGTTGGCAGGCCTCTGAAATGTGAAATTGTAATTTTTATAGATGGCATTACTATGAATCTGAAATCAGTGCTAGGTGTACAAATGTGAATTTTTCAATCCTGTAATCAAAGAACAAGATCTTGTGGGTTCCTACTGCTGAAAAAGGATGCTTTCTTTTGTACTTGTTTTTAGTGAAAGACCTTTTTGAGGGAGAGCTATTTTATAGGTAGTTGCTATTGATATCTCCATTTGAGAAATAGACATTTTTCTGTATTTCTAGAGGTGTTCTGAATTTTAAACCTGAATTCTTCAGTTTAGAAAACCCAGAATAAAATTATACCCACAGTGGGCACTCAACAAGTGTGATATTTCACAAATGTCAGAGACTGAGCTGTTTTATTATCTCTTTGTGTGTGTGTGTGTGTGTGTGTGTGTGTGTGATGGAGTTTCACTCTTGTTGCCCAGGCTGGAGTGCAGTGGCGTGATCTCGGCTCACCGCAACCTCTGCCTCCTGGGTTCAAGTGATTGTCCTGCCTCAGCCTCCCGAGTAGCTGGGATTACAGGTGTGTGCCACCACACCTGGCTAATTTTGTATTTTTAGTAGAGACAGGGTTTTTCCATGTTGGTCAGGCTGGTCTGGAACTTCTGACCTCAGATGATGCCACCTGCCTCGGCCTCCCAAAGTGCTGGGATTACAGGCGTGAGCCACTGTGCCTGGCCCTTTTATTATTTCTTAACAACACATGATATCTCTTTTCATAAAAGACTTAAAAAGCATTTGAGAAATGAGAAAGTTCTAAAAATAATAAGCCTCTTAGTTAACATGTCATAAAGGCCTCTGGCAACTGTATGAAGAGAATTTTGAAAACTTGCCCACTGGTCTGACTCTCTGAGTATATCCTTGATGTTCCTCAAACACTAGTTCATTCGGTCCTCCCTACTTAACTTGAAGCCCATCCTTCCCTGTTACTGTATCGTCCAGCCAAATCCCAAAGGCCCTTCATGTTTAATTATCATTTCCCCAGGCAAGTCCTAAAGACAATTTTTTTAAAAATCTGAATATTCTCTCAACTCATTTGTCCTTTGAGCTAAAAGCAAAGAAAGATTCATTATAGCTGTCACTTCACCCTCACAAGTCAATGTTGAACTTACCAGACATTTAAGTGTCTGACTGGCCTACCCTTATAAGAACAGATACAGAAACTGCAAATTGAGTGAAACCATCATCTATTTCTACTTGTGTCAGTCCCACATTTGTCTCTTTCTGTATACATTAGCCATTCTGTGCTCTCAAGTGAGTTATAAAGCTGTTCTGTATAGTGGAAATAGGTGATCAAAGTATGGTTTCACAAATCACATAGGTTATTTCCATAGAGAATGTTGTAGCTTCACAATGCTTAAAGAGGGGGAGAATAATGAGCACAAACCTCACAGGGAATATACTGTATAGAAGAGGTATGTTAACCATATAGTAAGTGAGTTCCAAAATTATTAAAAGTCTAGTTGCTCAATTAGGATAGGAGCAGACCTCTGTGGAGAGTAAGTCTAGTTAATGTTTGAGATACACCTTTCTACAAGTGGTTTTAGGTGGAAGCTGGGTTGACCACAGTGGAGACACATGCGACAGGTGAGGTCCCTCTAGGGCCAGTCTTCAGAGATTAGCATGAAGGCTACAGGGTGTCATCCTGTCACAGGATGACAGAGCACAGAGTCTGAGCTCTCTGTGTTTGGAGAGGTGGCTGACGAGTGTAGCTCTGCCTAAGCTCTCCTGGTGTCTGTTAAACTCTTGAGTGTATATGTATTTTTGAAGTCCAGTAGTTGAGGTCGGTAACTTGGTAATTCGCATATGGGGAGTCTGATAAGGTTTAATGTAACAGTCCCAAGGGGAGGGGGGCTCACACCAAGTTCTCACATATGGAATCTGATAAAGCGTCATACTCTTGAAGGGAGGGGGGATTTCACTCCAAAACATCAAATGGTGTAAAAAGCTACATTACAAAAGAAGTCATTTTCCCAACTTGACTGTGAATGTACCAATATGTTTAATTTTTTAAAGCGCATTTGTAAGTTGGAATGGAGGTAGTTTGCTACAGAGTTTCTACCAGCCATCCTCACCTGGCTAACTGTTGCAGTGACCTTGGCAGTTTCAGCCAAACCTGTTTAAACCTGAAGTGTCTACATAATTTCTGTAGCTGCTTATGTCGGAATTGTAGGACTTCTCTTAAGTGTTCATTACAACTGGGTCTTCCTTTACTTCTCATTGGCATATCATTGAGAGCAATAGAAACTGCAAAATTAGCTTGTATGTTCAAGCAAACATTCAAAATAAGAATTGAATAGTATGCAGTTATAGTATTCAGTAAATCAACAAACACTTAAGTACTTTTTTTTCTGCATTTATATTGCTTACCATTGAGTTCCCAGCTTCTGACATAGGGTCTGGCATGTAGTAGGAAATGTTTGTTGACTGACTGAAAGAAAAGGAAAAAATAAAAGAAGAAAAGGAAGGAGGAGGCAGGGGAAAAGGAACTAAAGCTAAAAGCAAAAAACAAAGAGTGGCCTACTGTTTTGCTACCAGCAGAGAATATAGAGCTGGGAGGGACTCCAGAGTGTATATGGTTGAAACTTCTCATTTCACTGCTAGGGATGTTGATGCCTCATAGGAGGAAGTGACTCTCCCAAAGTCACACTGTTGGTAGGAGGCTCAGTTGGACCTGAACCCAGGTCTTCTGATCCCTGGCATGGGGTTCTCTGTGTTATACCAGAATCTTACTGGGTTTCTGCACATATACTGAGAGGTTACTCCTTCCCAGACAACTGGGTTAAGGGCTGGGAGAACAAAATGCAGAATATGTGATTCCTGTCCCAGAGGAGCTCACACTCGTGCCAGTGGCTGAGCAGTCTCTGCATTGTAGCTGCAAAGCCCTCTGAGAAAGTGAGGTAAGAGACCAGCAGGACTTGTTTTCTGGTCACCACCCTGCTGTTCTATTCTGGACAGGAACTGGTCCAGATAGGGTAAAGTTTAAAAAACCAGCAGAAACCAGCAGATGGTGACAAAGGTGATCTCTAGTTGCCCTCATTGCTCATTGGCATAAGACACTCCCACCAACGCCATGACAGTTTACAAATGCCATGGTAACAACTCAGAAATTACCACCCCCTTTCTAGAAATTTCTGAATAACCTGCCCCTTAATTTGCAGGTAATTAAAAATGGATATAAATACAGCTAGCCAGCAGCCCACAAGTACCAACTCTGGGCGCATTGCCCATGAACCCTGCCCTGCAAGGAGCAGTACCATTCAATAAATGATCACTGTCTAACACCACTGGCTCACCCTTGAGTTCTTTCCCAGGTGAAGCAAAATCCCTCCTGGGCTAAGCCCCAATTTTGGGGCTTGCCTGTCCTGCAACATGTAGCAACCACAAAGGGATGAATACAGCGATCAGGAGGCAGTGACCAATTCAGCAATAAGACGGTGGGGACAGTGGCAATAGAGATTGGTGGAGAGGCAAGATGACGAGAGATGGTGAGAGATGGTGACTGACAAGGAAGTGGGAGCCAGCAATCAGCGGTCAGTTGGATAGTAGGATGGCAAAATGGAGAAATGGTCATCAGCACTATGGTGATCAAAGCTGCAGAGCCAAGGGCTCTTTTAAGAGCCGTCTTTCCTGGGAAAAGCCAAAAATGCTCCTGGGCAATTTTGGGGCTTGCTTGTCTTGCAACAAAAAGAAGTGAGACAGCTGCTTGGTTGTAATGAATTGTGGTTGAGTTGGATGGACATGTCCCAAATCTGGTTGTGATTGTTGAGTCAGGTAAGCATTGCAAATGTTTGTAGATGCATCTGTCAATATCTTCAAATTGCTACCTTTGTTTTGGTGATTTATGTCTTAAGGGGCCAATTTCTGCTATGTATGGAACTACAGAATCATCTACTGTACATCAGCCACCGGTTGTTAAAAGAGGAAACTAACATGTATAGAGCAGTTTGAATACCAAGCATCATGGGGTACATTTTTCTTTGTAATCCTCACAACTGCTCTGTGAGGCCAGGCAATGGCACTCCCAGTTTATGAGCTGCCAGGAGGGTGTAGAAGTTAAGAGCAAAGACAGGCTCAAAAAGGAATCTCAGCTCCCTCATCTTCCAGGCCTGTGACCATGAGCAAGTGACTTACTCCCTTAATTCAATTTTGTTATCTGTAAAATCAATCTCATAACAACACTTGTTTTATAGTTATTGATAGGATTAAACAAAATAATTACATAAAGTGCTTAGAACAGTGCCTGCCACATAACAAGATGAGCTTATGCTCATGAACTCATAAGCACTATGCCAGGCATTGTTCTGAACATGCATTACATGTATTAATTATATGTATTAATTCAATCCTCACAACAACCCCATGAGACAGGTACTGTTGACATGCCTATTTATAGATGGAAAAACTGAGGCATAGAGAGGTTAAGTAACTTACCTGGGGTCACAGAGCCAACAAGTGGTAGAACCAGGATTTAAAGTCAGGCAGCTTGGTACCAGAGTTCCTGCTTTTCACTATTTCATTGCACTGTCACTATAAGCTGTTGGTAAAGAAACCTCAACAACTATTAGTTATTTTATTATGATGAGTATGATAGAGATTCAGAGGGTTAAGCGACTTGCTCAAGATTTCACAACTATACATGGCAGAGCTCTTGCAGAGTGAGTCTAGGTTTTCTGGTTCCCTAACTCATGCTTGTTCTGTTGTATTTCTTTAAGGGGAAAGGCTTGGGAGGTGCCTACTTAGAGATAAATGTCCGTGGGGGAGCATCTGGACAGAGTATCTACAGCCACTAGGAGTTGGCATAGAAAGGACAGTGTGGTGACAAGTCATGCTTGCCACAGCAGGAACAAGGGCTTCAGTCAGGTAGGAGCGTCTATATCAATTCCTGATCAGAAAGAAAAGAGGAGTACACAAATGTTCTTAGCAGCTTTATTTTTAATAAATAGAAGATACTTTAGTAAAAGATGCTTTATTTGTAAGAGCCCCAACCAACACAGATATCTTTCAGCTGGTAAATTAAATAAACTGTAGTACATCCATACTGTGGATTGCTCTCAGCAACGAAAAGGAATAAACCATCAATACATGCAAAAACTTGGGTGAATCTCAAGGGAATTATGCTGAGTGAAAAGATCCAATTCTAAAAGATTGCATACAATATAATTCTATTTATATGGCATTAAAATGACAAAAGCTTAGAAATGGAGAACAGATGAATAATTGCTGGGTATTAGGGATGGGGGAGGAGGTAGGGTAGGTGTGGTTTTAAAAGGGCAACATAAGGGATCCTTGTGGTGATGCAGTACCTTGACTGGTGGTGGTTGGTAAGTGGACACATGAGCCTACAAATGTGATAAATGTATAGAACTAAAGGCGTGTGTGCCATACACACATACACACACACCATATAAATAAGTACTATTTATATTTATTTATATAAATTTCTTACATGCATGCACACGCACGGACACACACACACACCATATAAATAAGTACTATATATATTTATTTAATGACACCGTAGTGTTGATGACCATTTCTCCATTTTGCCGTCCTGCTATCCAACTGACCGCCGATTGCTGGCTCGCACTTCCTGAGGAATCAGAGTAAGATAGATGGATTGTATCAATGTCAATATCCTGGTTGTGAAAGGACACTTAGTTTTGCAAGCTGTTATCATTGGGGGAAACTGGATAAAAGGTACACAGGATTTCTCTGTTTCTAATAACTGCACATGAATCTGCAATTATCTCAGTTATTTCAAGTATTTTTAAAGGAAGAGGAGGTCTTTTGTGCCAGGGATCCAAAAAGTCAAGCAATGTGGCCCACTCCCCAGGAGTGGAAACAAAGACCTAGTGGGTCGTCTGGTCCTTTTGAGTGTCCCTATCATGAGCACCCGGAAGCAGGAATGGTGGCAAGTGTGGCTCAGACTGGCTCCTCTCAAAAAGCAGGTACATTGGTAGCCAAAAGTGGGATGAGAGGAGTGCACGAGTTTGAGAAGGTTTCCGGAGGGGTTCTATCATTCTTCATTGAAATCCACCAATTTAGTAGAAAAGATGGTTATGGAATTCTGTTTCCAGCATCATTAACACCATATGCTGCATTAAACAGATGAAGGAAACTCTACAAATTAAATGAAAGTTGCCCAAGACAGTTGAATACTAATTCTGGCTCCACCCCTACCTCACAGGATTTATACTGAGATACTTTCTATCTATTAATCATGATAACAGCTAATATCAACTGAGTAGTTACTGCATGCTAGGCCACTGTGCTGGAGGTTTTAAATACATTATCCTATTTATCTTCACAATAGTCCCACAAAGATGGAACTGTTCTTATCTCTGTCTACAGATGAAGACACTGTGGCCTGCAGAAGTTAAGACATCAGCCTGAGGTAATCTGGTGCGAGGGTGGTAGAGTGGATTCAACCCCTGTTCTGCCTGTGTGCATAACCACTGCACTAACTGCTTCTCAGTTCTCAGCCATAAAAAGAAGAGACTGAGCTAAAGTGTTTGGATTCTTCATGGTTAGAGTGATGTTGAGCCAGTTAGCTAATTCTGCCCTGAACTTAACAGGAGACAGTAAAGAAATAATTTAAGAACTCCCAATTTTGCCCTATGGGGAAGAAGACAAACCTGGGCAGGTTGAGGGATAGAGGCAGCCAGCACAGACAGGGTAATGGAATGACTGTCACCCTTTGAAGAGATGTGACTTACTGAGGATATCCTGTTATATCCTGATTGGATGTGAAAAATAAGCCTGCTCTCTCCAGCAGAGTTCAGGGTCTCTGAAGAGTCCTGATGGTTGAATGCATGCCTGTCTCTTCATTACCTAAAATACAGTAAATGGGAAGACAAAATATCTGTGAGCTTGCTCAGTCAAATTCACAGAGCCCGCCTGGAAAGGCAGCTGGTCCTGCTAAGAAGTCACAGGAAGGAAACCAGGACAGGATGCACCAAAGGTGGAAGGTGGAAAAGAGATGCCAAGACCCAAATTAAGAGGATAGAGAATCAACAAACACAACAACAAATAAAAACAAATATTGCCAAAGGTTCTCTGTTTTCCTGCATCTTGTAGTTCCTTGGGATTTAAGGAGGAGACTGGGTGGTTCTTGCTGCTTCTGTATCTTCAGGGTTGCGTCCCCACTCAAATGGAATTGGGTAAGGGACCATTGCCACCTAGCATAGGCAGCCCCATCAGCTGTCAGTGATCATTTAAAATCCACTTCGGCTTGTAAGCTTTTTCCTGCTCATTTTCCCTTAGGAAGCAGAACAGCAATAAGTTTAAGAGTGAGCTCTGGAGCCAGAGAGCCTCAGTTCAAGTCCCAGTTCCACCTTTTATTGCCTATGTGCCCTGCTCATCCAACCTCTCTGCACCTCAGTTTGACAATCTGTAAAATGGGATGGTACCCACTTCACAGGGTTGGGTAAGGCGATGCACTCCACCCCATCAATGTTAGCTATAGTTGATTATGACTATAAGATGGTGGAGGATATTCTGAGACACCAAATACTTCCTCATATTCTGCCAGGCAAATTTGTGTCTGTCTTAATTGTATGGCTCTGGGGCCTCCTGAAGGATGAGAGGAGAAGTTGGGCTTCTTGCCTTAGTTTTTTAGCTTTTCTTTCTCAGCCTCAGTTTCCTAATCCATAAATGAGAATAATAACATCCACCTCTGTTTGACTTGTGACATCTTGGGCATCTCTTAACATAATGTATATGGAAATACTTTATGGAGTATATGGAAATACTTTATGGAGAATAAGGCCTGGTGGTGAGGACTAACATTTTAAGAGATATTCTTGAGTAAATGATGACCACTCTGAGGCTGTGTTCTCCACTTTAAAATGTGAATAATAATACCTGCTTCCAAGAGTGAGGATTAAGATGATAAAGCCCTTGGAACATGGTACCAGTACAGAATCTGCTTCTCCCACCCTTTGCGGTCCCCTACCTATGATCATGTTTCCTAGTTAAGGAATCCTCATTTGGATTTCTGGGTTGGCAGTGTGAGAGGGGAGGGTGGTTGTCGGGTGAAGTAAGCCCATGACTAAGCCTCATTCTAGCCACCTCAGCCAGTTTCAACCTGCAGTATTATGGTTATTTCATCCATCCTGGAGTCAGAGCTACTGGTTGGATCCTATCCCCCTTTCTTCCTGACCTCCCACACTTTGTGAATAGTGAGTTTTGCTTACATATTTGATTTAGAGAATGGCAGGAAGGGATCTGGGATCCTGAATAAAGCATTTGGGGCCAAATGATATTCCTGTGATCACTAGGCTTCTCTCAAGTCTCTTTCTTGCTACTTCCTCAAAGAAGATGCAGTCACTCATATTTCCAGTACCCAGTGCATTCACTCATGCATAGGCAAATAATGAATACAGTGAAAACAGCCAGCTTCTGGCCAGTTCTTGCTGATGCAGGCAAGGTCAGATGGTGTCTAATAGCCATGGTACCACCTTTGATTTGTACCAGATTTGTAAAGAACTTTCACATAAGCATTTCCACTCCTATTTTAACGCGAGGCAACTGAGGTCCCCAGGAGTCAAGATAGGGACCAAAGTCACTCAGCTAGTAGGTGACGGTGCTGAAATGTGCACCTTGTGGGTTTTTTTATGAGACCCATTCAGCTTCCTTCAGAGAGTGGAATCTCACACAGTGGATGAAACCCTCGTTTTAGTGGACCAGGCAATAACTTCTCAGCAGACAGTAAAGATATTTCCTGTTGTGAGGGCTTTGCCTTCTTCACCCAGGTGAGAAGCTGACCCTAGTGTGAATAGCGATGACCTTGATTGTGGTTACAGGGCTCTGGAGGGGATCCTCACATATGCAGTTGCCTGACTTCCTATATATAGTGCAGTGTTAAGATCATGAACTCTGGGATCAAATTGACCTGGGTTCAAATTCTGGGTAAGCTGCTAGCCGTGTTATCTTGGGCAATATACTCTCAAAGCTGTACTTCTTCTTTTATAAAATGGAATAAAATGAACACATATCTTACAGGAATATTATGGCTGGCTACTCAATTTGTAGGCTCCAGGGCAAACCGAAAATATGGAGTTTTTAATTCAAAAAGAGAAGAAGACAGGGTCTGGTGGCTCATGCCTATAATCCCAGCACTTTGGGAGGCTGAGATGGGTGTTATTGCTTGAGCTCAGGAGTTCTAGATCAGCCTGGGCAACATGGTGAAACCCTGTGTCTACAAAAAATACAGAAATTACCTGGGCATGGTGGTGCATGCCTATAGTCCCAGCTACTGGGTCGGGTGGTGGGGATGCTGAGGTGGAAGGATCCCTTTTGCCCAGGGAGGTCCAGGCTGCAGTGAGCCATGATGGCACCACTGCACTCCATTCTGGGTGACAGAATGAGACCTTGTCTAAAAAAAAAAGAAAAATATTTTTCCTTTTGTCCACAGTGTCATTGGCCTGCCATGGTGTTTTTATTTGCTATTTAACGTTTTGCTCCCTCAGGCATGGGGATAGTTGCCAGGTAAGTGCAGGCTCTATAGGTACCTGGGCCCTACCTAAGTGCACTGGGCCCCGGGGGAACCGAGGCTCCATGTCCCAGCACGTGTTTCATTGTCCCATTGGGCTTCTCTTAACAAGTCGGAATTCAAAGATGAAATTATTAAACACCTCAAGATGGGACCACAGAGATTAAAGCCCCAAATGTCGGCCTTTCTAAGTGTGGTCTTGAGTGCCTATACTGGTTGCATATCCATGAAGGCAGACCTGAATATTCCTACAAAACATTTAGCACAGTCTCTGGCCCATAGTAAGGACTCAGTAAGTAGTCAGTAGGAGGAGTCAATTTTGCTCACTCACTGGTCACCTTAGGAATCTCATAGCTCAAGCCTTCACTTGAGCTTTGCACCTCCAGCCTGGCTCAAGGAAGAGGCAGAGAAGGTATCATTATTGCCTTTGTACAAATGGGAAAACTGAGACCCCTGAGAGGGAATGGGTCTTTGGCTACATTGAATCTGTAGTTAGTAACGGAGCCAGAACTGAATGGTGATTTCTAGACTCTCAGTCAGTGCTAAGCATCTCAAGCTGAGGACCTATTCTGTACTCAATACTGGGTAATTCAGAGTGTCCACAGCATCTGTCAGGGACTGCAGCCCCTGCCCAAGCCCCTAACATAGCTTTCCAAACCCTGGCTCAATACCAGCCTCCTCCAGAAAGCCTTCCCTGCCAAGAACCTCCCCAGAGTATTTTTTCCTTCATATACACATTTATCCAAAATTTATTCATATGGAATATAGTTTTATTCTGTGTTTCTTACATTACCAAACATTATGAGCATATTTGCCTAATAAGACAATAATATTTTTAACCTTATTTTTAATAGCTTTATATTTCATTTTAGAGAAGCTCTAATTTATTTGACCAATCCTTTTGTAGGACACTTAGGTGGTTTCTAATTATTTTTCAGTTACTAAAGGGAAATGTACCAAGTTCTTAAGAGCATGTGCTCTAGAGGCAAACTGGGTGTAAATCTAGGTTAGATGTGTGAACTTGAGCAAGTAGTTCACCTCTTGGAGCCTCAGTGTCTTTGCCTATAAACTCAGAATATTAGTGAGGATTAAATAAATTAACATATAAATAGCATTTAGGAAATGAAATGAGTATCATATATGTGTTAGCTAATATTATTCTGTTATCTCTATTACTTTGATAATGCTCTAGTTGATACCATTTTACATACATCTTTGAACATATAAGTGATTATTTCCCAGAAGTTGCATTACGGGATCTGAGGAATGAGTGTTCTAAAGGTTGGCATAAAATGTCTCCACAATTTATGGAAGCTCCCTGAAGCTGACAGGGAGATCAAAGGGGCTGAGGTTGGGGTGGGGTTTAAGATTAAGCCCCAGGCTTTGGCTGGAAACATTTGTCATGATGTGAGTGTGATGCATGGGGACATTTGTACATCCAGTTTTTCCACTTCAGGGCTGAAAACAGGAAGGATAGAGAGTATAAAATCCTTCCAGAGCACCCCAGAAAGCATCTAGTAGGCCAGCAGAGAAAGCAGTTTGCTCTCCAGCTTCAGAATGGTTAAGTGGGTATTTTTCTCTGTTCTCTTCCTTGGTTCCTGCCATGACTAAAGAATTTGGGCCTTGGATTCATGGGAGTTGAGATGATATTGGATGGGACCATTGAGTCATAGGCAGCCAGGGATCTGTGATAGGGCTGCCACTTCGGGTATAGGAACAGGGAGGATTAACGGCTGCTTTTGTGGTTTGCCTGCCCCCTAATATCTCCTTTGTCAACAGCCGTCCATGATGGATTTATGGCTTAAAAAGCAATTTGTTTTTATGATGTCCTTTGTACAATTCAAATACCCAGGGAAGATATATATTTCACAGAATGAGAGAGTCATAGAATTTGAGAGATGGAAGGGAACAAATTCCATCCAATAATTCTTTTAGAGCAGACATTCTCAAACATTCCTTTAGGTTTTTAGGCCCACACTTAGTCTGATTTAGGGTCCCAGCAATCTGCCTCTTTAAGAATCTGCCCAGGACATGCTAATGCAAGTGGGTTACACTTTGAGGAAGTTTGTTTTATAACATCCCCAGCAGTTGGTTACTTCTGGTGTTGGGGGGCTCACTACTTTGGGAGACAGTCTATTCCATTTTAGAATAGGTCTGACTATAATAAAGTTATACTTTATATGGAGCTAGAATCTGCCTTTATATAAATTCTACCCACTGGTCCTAATTCTACCTACTAGGGCCACATGGAGAAGGTCCAATTCTTCTACCCTTGGATGGGCAGTGAGACTTGATATTTATACACCACGAGAGTTTGTGAGTCAAAGACAAGTTAGAAGAGAGCACCTATACCTCTGAGTTGGCTGTGCTGTGAGAAACTCATCTCCCTTTCTTTTCTTTTCTTTTTTTTTTTTTTTTGAGATGAGGTCTCACTCTGCCACCCAGGCTGGAGTGCTTTGGCACCATCTTGGCTCACTGCAGCCTGAACCTCCTGGGCTCAAGCCATCCTCCCACCTCAGCCTCCTGAGAAGCTGGGACTATAGGCTTGTACTACTGAGCCTGGCTAATTTTTGTATTTTTTGGAGAGACGGGTTTTACCGTGTCACCCAGGCTGGTCTCAAACTCCTGGATTCAAGTAATCCACCCACGTTGGCCTCCCAGTGTTGGGATTACAGGTGTGAGCCACTGCACAGGGCTTTATCTCACCTTCTCACTAGGCATGGATGCCTCCTTCCAAACTCAGGCTGAGTGGTCTTCAGATCAGACGGCAGACTCCCTGTGGAGGAGAAAAAGAGTAGTTGGGAAAGTCAAGGGGGCTGTGAACTGATTCCTGTGATCCAGAGATGTCGGGGGGCTGAGCAGATGCATAGCCAAGTGTGGGACCTGGGTTCTTCCCTGAGTTCTCCAACTCCCTAACAGATTTTGAGCACCTCCCTGCCTCCTTGGGCCTCAGTTTTCCCTTATATAACTGTTCTTCCAGTCCTCACCATCTGCAGTCCCATTTTTAATGCCCTGTGCTCTCTGCTCTGGGCAAGTTTTCTGTTGAAGGTGGCAGCGGGGAGGTGTCGGCATTCTTAGGAAAGAATAAAACAATCCAGGCTGAGAAGGAACACACTTGCTCATCCAGCACAGCTGTGCTTGTGGAGTTCAGGGCTGGGTGGATTTATGAAGAATAGAGGTGTAGACTCTAGATGGTTGTCATCCCTCCTCTGAAACAAGGTATCAGGGCTGTGGGTCCCCGGAACCTGTGCTCCCCGGGCTGGAGACACCCTCCCTGTGGGGGGGTCTGTGTGCGGAGCACCATGGTGAAGCCTTCCCTATGGAGGGGAGCCCTTCAGGCTTGTGGGCTCTTTGAGGCCAAGGCCTTGATGAGGGAGACATAAGATAGGAGAACAAGGAGGTATATGCAGCTTCAAAGGGGCCTGATTCTGTACCCCACCTTGGGCCTGACCCAACTCTGTCTTTTGTCGGGAGATATCTGAAGAACTCTGTGTGGCCGCTGACTCCCTGTGAGTGCTTGGGAAATTCCTCTAACCCCTATGAGCCTCCATTTCTTCATTTATCAAATGGGCTAACAATGTTTATCTCATAGGGCTGAGTGCTCCTCAGGTAAGATAATGTTCATAAACCAGCTGTCTGTATCAGAATGTCCCAGGAAGATGTCAGCTGCTATTATTCTTTGTTCTCAGGTTGATGTACACAGAAGCAATACATCTCAGTTGAGACGAATTCTGTCCTAAGGTGTGAGTTTCTGTGTTCCTGCTTATATGAGATTGTTTTCTCTGTATCCTAGGCATGTTCTTCAGGGGGCTGTGACTTGGGGTGCAGTGGAAGAAGGGGGCTTATCAGCAGGAAACTATCTCCAGAGTTGCCAGAAATCTGGATTAGGATCTACAGAAAATGTTGTCTGTCAGGTAGTCTGGAACTACAGATAAACAATACTGGGGTCAGAGGCCATGCGAACTATGAGCAGAAATAAATGGCCACTGGGGAACTTACATCTGTAAATTGTTGAATTTCAGATGCACTAGCTCATGCATGTCATATGTACATGCATCATCTGGTTACGCTTGTGTCATTACATTATATCAGGTGACCGCATACCCATTCTGATAGCCCACAGGAACCCCAAAGGCTGACCCCAGGCTGTGCAGTGCTTAGCAGGGGCTCCGGGTCTTTCCTGGGGTGTTCTTAACTATAGCACCACCAGTCAATGTTGATGTGTGAGCTGGGATGTTTCCCTCATTCATAGTCCTGCCCTACTTGGCAGGACTGGGAGGAAGGAGTCTGAGGTTCTAGTCCCATGGCAACAGTTTTCTTGTATCATTTTAGAAATGTCTCCCTCCTTCTGTGGACCTCAGTTTCTTCTTCTGTAAAATGGGTTCCTAATCCCTTCCCTGCCCACCTTGGAAAGTGGCAATGAGGCTCTAATTGAATAATATAATAGATGTGAAAGTGTTTTAAGAAAGCTGAAAAAACCTGATACACTTATAAGAGTGAGGAGAGGGAGGATGGGAGGTGGATAAAGAGGAAGCAGATCCTGATCACTGCAGGTTGTGTTGTTAAGCCAGCCTCTCACCTGAATCTGTTTTCTCTCCATCATCCCCTCCAGGGTTTGGCAAAGATGATTACAAGAAGACGCCGCGGAAAGAGAAGGGGAAGCTGCAGAGTAACCTCCGTGAGGAGCAGCAGAGGTGGAGAAGGTGGTGAGTCTCCTGGACCCCTACTGGGTCAGAACAGTCAGGAGGTGAGGCTTATTGGTCATAGCCACCAGCCCGTATGGATGTCTTGCTGGAGTGACTGCGCTGCCCAGGTCGGGCTGATCCTAGTAAGTAGGTGTCCTGGGAAGAGGAGAAGCTGGCTTTGCTCAGGGATAAGAGGACCCAGGAACAGTGCTATTGGCCATCTGAAGTGACTTTGGTGCTTCATGAATAAACCAATCAACATTAAATAGCTATATGGATGGATTCAAAACCCACCTATAGAAATTAACAAGTTGGGCTGAGAGGCCTGGGAAAAGGGACTGTGGCTTCATAGGGCAGTGGTGACTTTATGGCCACTGTTCCTTTCTCCAGAGCTGAGGAACTTGGCTGCTGATTCCGAGCAGAGTTGGGGAAAGAGTTCCCGCTCCATCAAAGAGTCATTTGTCTAAGTCCGGTGTCTAAGAAGTGGTATTCCCAGAAAACATTCTCCTTTCTCTCTGGACATGTATCTTCCAAGGAAACATCTCTTTAACCTGTGTCGTTGCCTTCTGGTTGGAGCAGCTTTGGAGATGTCCTAAGGTAGGAAAAGTTAGTTTTCCCCTTCCACTCCCACAGATTTTCTCTGGTTGCTTCTTTCTCCTCTATCCTCTCCTTTCAGCTCCTCAATGCCTGGGGCCCTCTCCCTCCTTCTACCTTTATCACGCTCTCTGGAAAGTATCTGATAGCAGCTGTTTATATTTTAGGGTGAATTAGGTTAAGGCCGTAGGCTTCTAAAAGCTACTGTCGGAATTTGGACTAAAGTATCTGTTTCCCCAGTGCCATGTTTCCTTCACTGTCCCAGGTCATACTTCTCTGTCATTGCTTCTCAGCGTAGCTCCCTATAATAACTTGTTTTCCTGTTTAGTGCCCTGTGCATGTTCCATACCTAGCTGGGTCTGGGGAAGGGGGAGGTCCTCTGAATGCAGTGGGGGCTCCAGATATGGTGGGAGGACCTAGCCTAGCCCCAGGACCCTCATGTGGACATGATGTCTCCCTGGCAGGAGGACAAAGGCAGTGAGACGGACAGCAGCAGCAGTGACAAGGAGCTGGCAGGAGTGCTGGTAAAAGGCATCAGACTGTGGTCTTGGACCCAGTACTCTGAGAGCACACAGGGAAACTGAGTCCTGGAGGGTGAAGGAACTTGCCAGAGGTCATGTCAGGAGTCATAGGAGAGCTGGGTTGGGCCCCAGAGCTGCTAAATCCCAGGGCAGAAGTGAACTGAGTGGTGAGGCATAGGACAAGCTCTGGCCAAAGGGCTGATGTCACCCCAGGGTGGGTGGAGAGAGTGCTCAGTGTCACACAGGGAATCAGAGCAGGGTCAGACTCAGACCAGGGTCCCTTGACTCCCAGCACAGTGCTCCTTCCACTGCCCTAAGCAGCCTGAGTTTTCTGACCTTGAGTCTGGAACCTCTGTCTAGAAGAAAACTTTGGGTCTCTCTAGAGAACCACCTATACCTTTGAAACAGACACTGTAGAATTACGTGTGGGACCGCAGAGATTGGCGTGGTTCCCAGCCCTGCCCCTGAGCAGATGGGGGACCTTGAGTACATCTCTTACTGCCTTTGTGGCTTTAGTTTCTGCTCTGTAGCCCTAGAATTAAAAATTCGACAAATAAAACTGTTTCGGATTCCAGGGCATTTGGCTCCATCTTCTGGTCAGTTTTTGTCACTGTAGCTTTTTGCAGCATTGCCTGCCATCCAGTGTGACCTGAGAATTTTGAGGCTTCTAGGAAACTTTCTGGCTGTGGTGGGTGGGAAGTGGAATAGGACAGCAACAGAGTTATCCTAAAAGTCTAGGGAATTTCTGTGGTCTTTGGGTCATATTGGCGCATGTTATTCAGCCTTCTGCTGATAGTGGCTCGGTAGAGAGTCAGGGAGGCAGCCAGTGATGGACAAGCCCAAGTGTTAGAGGAGGAAGGTACATTGGAGAACAGTGAATGTAACCTCCTCAATGTACAGGTGCAGAAACTGAGGCAACCTTCACCTGTGGAGAAGTAGAGTCTTGCTTCAGGTCACACATGTAGGTTCCAGGTTTCCTGACACCCAAATCCATACTGTCCCCCACTCTGTCTTGCTGCCTCCTCTTTCTCCCAGCTTTCTATCCCAGCTGATTACCTCTTCCCCTTGCTTCTGAGACAGGGCCATCAGCCTAACAAGCACACTGCTCCATCCACTTGCTACCACAACAACCCACTCCCTCCTGGTCCCAGCTCCAGCCCTCATGAGGTGGAGTGCTCCCCTCCCACCCGCCCATCTCTCCAAGCCACAGCTTTCCTGGAGGAAATGGAATGAGGACATGGAAGGAAGAGGGAGGCAGAGGCCTACATTCTCCTCCAGCTCTGCCCTTTTTCCAGCCCAGCCTCTTGGATCCTCAGTCTTTCCATCAGGTACACAATCAGCTCCATGAGATTACTGAGATTAAATGGATGGTTGGTGTGAAGGTGCTTTGTGAATTCTTGAGTCCCCTGTTAAAATAGAAATTCAGATATGTCTGGGTTCTTCTCAAGCCACATAAAACCCCAGGTGCTGATTGGTACCAACTTAGCCCAGGTGCTATGGATCCTCAGAGGAGGGAGATGCATGGAAGCTGGAGGAATTTGAAGGCTTCAATGAGAGGGTAGTACTTTATTTTTCAGCCCAGAACGTATCTCGGAGGCATTCCCACTGACCCAGAGTCCAGTCTTTAAAAGCTCAGCTGTAATGGAAGAGGCACAGGAGGATTAATTGACTCTTGTATCCTCCCTTCTCTTCTCTGGAGATAAGATGTATGGCCTCTAGTTTATTTATTTATTTATTTATTTATTTTTTAATATGTGTATATTTTTATTATACTTTAAGTTTTAGGGTACATGTGCACAACATGCAGGTTGGTTACATATATATACATGTGCCATGTTGGTGTGCTGCACCCATTAACTCGTCATTTAACATTAGGTATATCTCCTAATGCTATCCCTCCCCCCTCCCTCCACCCCACAACAGGCCCCAATGTGTGATGTTCCCCTTCCTGTGTCCATGTGTTCTCATTGTTCAGTTCCCACCTATGAGTGAGAACATGCGGTGTTTGGTTTTTTGTCCTTGTGATAGTTTGCTGAGAATGATGGTTTCCAGCTTCATCCATGTCCCTACAAAGGACATGAACTCATCTTTTTTTATGGCTGCATAGTATTCCATGGTGTATGTGTGCCACATTAATCCAGTCTATCGTTGTTGGACATTTGGGTTGGTTCCGAGTCTTTGCTATTGTGAATAGTGCCGCAATAAACATACGTGTGCATGTGTCTTTATAGCAGCATGATTTATAATCCTTTGGGTATATACCCAGTAATGGGATGGCTGGGTCAAATGGTATTTCTAGTTCTAGATCCCTGAGGAATCACCACACTGACTTCCACAATGGTTGAACTAGTTTACAGTCCCACCAACAGTGTAAAAGTGTTCCTATTTCTCCACATCCTCTCCAGCACCTGTTGTTTCCTGACTTTTTAATGATTGCCATTCTAACGGGTGTGAGATGGTATCTCATTGTGGTTTTGATTTGCATTTCTCTGATGTGTATGGCCTCTAGTTTAAAGAGTGAAGCCCAGAGAAAGAGGTAGACATTGAAACCTTTCCCCACTTGGATCTTCAGCTCCCAGTGCAGTCTTGTTTCTGTTAGAACTTCAGAGTGCTAGAGAAATAGAGAATGAGAAGGGTAGCCCTGCCTTTCTTGTGTGCCCTCAAAGGCAGGGAGAAGACTGCCCTCCACAGAAAGCCCAGTTCCTAGTAAGGCAGCTCTAATCCTTTGAAAAGTCTCACTCAGCATTTCTCAAGGGTGGTTCTGAGACCCCTTGCACCAGAGTCACTGGGGGTGACTTACTGAATCAGACCGTCTGGGATGGACCTGGGAATCTGCACCTAAAACAGCCTCTGCAGATGAGGCACGTTGAACTTCAGGAACCACAGATCCCCTTCTCTGGCATCTCAGGAATAACAGCCCCTTGCTCTAGAGACAGTTCTTACCAACTCTTGCTTACAGGACATGATTTTCTCTTTTTTAAATGTTCTGCTTCCTTGCCATTTTCCACGTTCTCTGTTTTTCCTAGTCTCTATGTTTTTTTTTTTTTTTTTGAGACAGAGTCTCTCTCTGTCACCCAGGCTGGAGTGCAATGGTGCAATCTCAGTTTACTGCAACCTCCACCTCCCGCGTTCAAGCAATTCTCTTGCCTCAGCCTCCCGAGTAGCTGGGATTACAGGCGCCTGCCACCACGCTTGGCTAATTTTTGTATTTTTAGTAGAGATAGGGTTTTGCCATGTTGGCCAGGCTGGTCTTGAACTCCTGACCTCAGGTGATTTGCCCTCCTTCCTTGGCCTTCCGAAGTGCTGGGATTACAGGCATGAGCTACTGCGCCTGGCCTCTATACCTGTTTTGTAAGTAGAATATCATAGAATTTGGGGGGCTAGAAGTATTTGTAACAGGGTACCTTATCCAATTCCTCATTTTCTAGCTGGAATATTTTAGACACAGCAGGGTAGTTCCTGGCCTCAGACCACACAGTGCTAATAGGAGACCCAATCACCTGACTTCGAATTGAGTACTCTTTTCACCATGCAGTTCTGTCCTGCTGTAGGAGCCACACTTTAGGGTGAGTGTCCATCCCAGACCCCTTCTTAGATGAAGGAATGGACCCCTGAAGCTATCTTGGTGACTCTCCTTGGCTGAAACTGTTAGACCAGGAATGGTCATCTTGAAAGGGAGTTATCACTGGGCGTTGGAACTAAGAGGTCAAGTAGACTCCAGGGTTGAGGTGGTAATTTTCTTTCTCTCACCACCTCGAGGGTTGAGGTGGTGACAGAAAGGGTGAGGATGGAGAGAGGAGATGGGGAGAGACAGGGAGAAAATCACATACATTCAACAGGGAGAAAGACACAGAGACACACACACAGAGACAGGGAAACAGAGAGAAAGACACCGAGCGAGACACACAGAAACACAGATACACACACACAAGAGAGGAGGAAGAGAGAGACACACAGGAAGCAAGAGACTGAGTAAAGATGGGGGGAGGAGGCAAAAAGGGAAAACACATTCACAAAGAGATGGAGAGAGACAAAGAAATATAAGCTCAGACACACAGGGAGAGAGAGACTGGAATAGAGAATCCAGATTGATTCAGAGAGAAAGAGATAATGAAAGAGAAAAAGTCAGAGAGACAGAGACAGAGCGCCTGCCCTGGCACTAGGTGTTTTTCCAGTTTTTCCCAAGGCCCAGCTGACCTTCTTGCTTTTGCCTTCTCCAAGACACCCCCAAATCTTCCCAAGAAACTCTGACTCTTGAACGGGCCTCAGTAGGTTTCTTTTTCTTGCAAAGACATGGTTCTCAACCAACCCAGCCTTGGAGGGACTTTGAGGAGGGGCCCTCACAGATACAGCAGGGAAGCAAATGTTGCAAGCTGGGGAAGCAAATGCTCCATTCTGCTCAACAGATCGTCTGTCACTTCTCGTTATCTCCAGGACCTGGAGATGACTCTATTCCTCAGCCAAACATCAACAAAGCCGCCAACTCCCAGTGGTTGGTTTGGTGTCTTGTCAACAGCAATCTTCTTGGAACAAACTCTCTGCTCACATGGAGCAGAGTTAATTAGGCTTGGGCTGTGCTCATTGGCACCTGCAGGCCTTTGCTGACTGATGCTTTTCCTGCCCTAGGACTGCACTTACTTTCCTCTCTGCTCATGCTTGACCCAGCTAACCTTCCCACTCCCAGTGAACCTGAGGCACACACGAGTCCTTCCCTTTGTAAACTTTCCTAGTGCCTACTGTCTCTCTTCTGTCCTTTGTCCATTTTGCTCCACAATTATGTACATAAAGGACTGTATTACTAAGTCATGAGATCCTCAAGTTACCATGTGCGTGGAAAAATCACTAAATTCACATCTTTTCAGATAATAAAGGCCATTAACAATATGGAAGTTTATTTGGATGCTATGAATCTTTCAGGTGCTGGTCTAAGCACTTGTTACTTAGTAATTCATTTGATCCGTTCACAGAACAGGGACCTAGGGCCCAGAAAAGTTAAGAAACTTGCTGAAGGTTAGATCTTCAGTAAATGACAGAGGACAAAGATTTCACGGCCCTGTTCTTCTGCCTTCCCATGTCGCTGGCCAGAGCCTCAAAATCTGCCATTGTAATTTTGTCCTTTTACTTTAAGGCTGTAATTCCTATAAAGTATAGGTTTATTTTTATTTCATTATTTATTTATTTATTTTTTCTGGCAGAAGGATAGCTGAGGAAAAGAAGGAAGGGAAGGCTTCCCAGATCATCATAAATTACCTCCTTTAGAGCTAAAATGTCTGAAAAGCCAGCTCCCTCCCATTTTCTGATTGTGACCACTGGAACACTAGTTTCTTGAGATGTTAAATAGGTTTTATTAAAGAAAAATGAAGCTGTCAAGTAAGTGTGAGAAACTCGAAGTTAAACAGTTGCCTTGCACCATGACCTCACAGAGCGTTAAGATGCTGGGGGCACTGGGCCTATAAGAAGGAGAGAATTGTATTCACCACACAAATTTCACCACAGGCCCTGTTCTTGCAGATCACTTCTCAAAATTAGTTCCTTTTTCATGAAAGTTTCTTTGAGAAAGCACTATCTGAACCCATTAGATAACGAAGTCACCATTGCCCACAATTGCTCGGTGTTTTTAGGGCTCCCTGAGGATGGATATCTGGCTCTCCTTCACTGGCATTTGGTGGGCTTGCCTGCTGGTGATGTCTCAGGTAGACAAGTCTGACTGACCCAAACTACCCACATGCTGTGGCTTGGATGGCCTGTCACCAACCAGCTGCTTTTACAGCATCAGGACCATGGAGCTTGTCCTTGCTTGACTTCCCTCACTCACTCAATGACTCACTCATTGTTTTAGAAACTGTTATTAGCACCTACAAGGTGCTAGACCCTGGAGGGATCCCTGAGGGAATCAGAACCTACTCTTGGACTGGGATCTGTTTGGGTGGATCAGATGAAGACACAGGGAAGGGGGAGAGGACAAAGGGAGGATGCAACCACGGAGAAGGGAAAGCTCATTTCCAGCTGTGGGGATCGGGGGGAAAGGTTGGATGCTGGCGGGGGTGGTCACCCAGGAAAGGTCCACTCACAGCTGGATTTGGGAGGGTGACAAGTAGTAACAGGTAGAGCTTGTGGTTAAGAGTGGGCAGGACTCTCCAGGGCAGTGGCAGCAGGTGAGCCCTTGGCAGGTACCTTGGCCCCCTTGGCCCCTCTCCAGTGGTTGAGAGTGGTGGAGCCCACAGCAGCTGCTGAGATTCTCAGAGCTTGAACGTGGCCCACTCATTTGACCATCAGGACCCAAGGGAGGAAGTGCCCTTCTGTGCTCTCCTCCTCCATGGCCAACACTCTGCAAATTGGTGAGGGAGGAGGAGGCGTTTGCGTCTGGGAATCCGGGAGGGCAGGGTGCGTCGGTCTGTCCTCAGAGTACCCGCAACCTGCGGAGGGACTCACAGCCCTCTGCTGAATGAATGGGTGTTCACTCCTGCTCTGAGCCCTTTTTCTCCCTGCTCTGCTTTCTTTTTATCCAGCGCCTGGTTTTGGCACCTATCCATGGATCTACTGAAAGGTGAGCTACTCTAGACATCATTTTATTTTCATCTGAAGCTCTTGAAGATCAAAAAAACAAGCTGCTTTTCACAAAATCGAAAGAGTCCTGGAATGTCAGAGTTGAATGAGCATTGAGAGGGTGCACTGACATGCAGAATGGTGGCTCCTGAGGCCCTGTGACAAACAGAGGGTGAACCAAGAGTAGAGGCAGGCTTCTATGCAAACATTTCTAGGCGATATTGTAAATAATACAGTTGTGTATCAGAAAGAACAAAGATTCTGAAATCCAGCTTGCTTCATATTCCAGTCTCACCTACAGACTGTGTGAGCTTGGTTAGGATTTTCTCAAGCCTTTGATTCTCTCTCTGTAGAATGATGATGTTGTCTATCTAAAAAGATGATTGTTTTTAAATGAGATAAAGCAGATGAAGGTGCTGTGTGAATTAACACACTGCTGTTGCGTGAGGGAAATGACTCTCCCACCTGGTGTTTTAGACCTGGAGCCTTCTGACCACAGGTTCTCAAGGATTTTTAGTTTCTTGCTTGCTCCACATTCTTTGTCATGTTGCTCTGAAACCTGCCTCCCTGTCACACCCCAACCCTCTCCTACACTGGGTTTTAATATTTTCCTCCTGAGGCTTTCTCTCCCAGATAACCTTAAGTGAGCCACATAAGCTCTCTGAGATCTGGTTTCCACATCTGTAAGACAGGCTAACTCTTTGTTCTCAACTATTTGTTGAGATTTTGCAGATGAAATGAGATAATATATACACATGTACATCATGCACAAGTGACCCTTCACCACTCCGAGTTGGAACTGTGCGGGTCCACTTACACTCAGATGTTCTTTTACCTCCGCCACCTCTTAGACAGCAAGACCAGTCCCTCTTCCTCCTCCTCCTCCTCCTACTCAATGTGAAGATGAGGATAAAGACTTTTATGATGATCAGCTTCCACATAATAAGTAGTAAATATATTTTTTTCTTCCTTAGCTCACTTTAGGGTAAGAGTACAGTATATAATACATGTAATACATAAAAATGTGTATTAATTGGCCAGGCATGGTGGCTCCTGCCTGTAATCTCAGCACTTTGGGAGGATGAGGCAGTCGGATCATGAGGTCAGGAGTTCGAGACCAGCCTGACCAACATGGTGAAACCTTGTCTCTACTAAAAATACAAAAATTAGCTGGGCGTGGTGGCACACACCTGTAGTCCCAGCTACTTGGGAGGGTGAGGCAGGAGAACCGCTTGAACCCGGGAGACAGAGGTTACAGAGAGCCGAGATCGTGCCAATTACTCCAGCCTGGGTGACAGAGAGAGACTCCATCTAAAAAAAAAAAAAAGTATTAATAGACTGTTTATGTTATCCGTATGGCTTCTAGTGAACAGTAGGGTATTAGCAGTTAAGTTTTGGGGGAAGTCAAAAGTTAGACAGAGATTTTTGACTGTTCCTGGGGTTGGCTCCCTAACACCCACGTTGTTCAAGGGTTAACTGTACTGCAAATAATGTACATGTATAGAAGGCGTATAATACATGTATATGTGTTTCATAGCACAGCGCCAGGTAGGGATGCTTATTAAATAGCTTGTATTTCTGATTCCATTTCCCTGTTCACACAAGTCGATATTATTTTTTCACTGGGGGGATTAGAGAAGGTTTCCTGGAGCAGGTGAGAATTGAGCTGGGCTTTGAAGGACTGGAGAATGTTCACAAATATGGAAGAATGAGGGTGTGGTTGGGTGTGGTGAGGGGAGGTTTGGAACAGAAAAATAAGTGGGAAGTCTCAGGTTTGTTTAGGGAATCAAGAAGAGGCCATTTTGGTTCGAGCTGATGGTTCATTGGGGGAACCAGAAAGACATAAATTTGAAAGAATAGATTGCAGTTCTGGAATTAGAAAATATAGAGTTGGAAGTGACCCAGGGGGTCACTGGCCCAATCTTTTATCTGCAGCAGGAATGAGTATGTGCGGCATGGTAGTAATGATAGCCTAGTCTGAGGCTCAACTCTCCTGTGTGTTCTTGGATAAATTACATGTCATCTCTGATCTGAATTTCTCCTCTGTGTGACAGAAATAATAATCCTTGACCAGCCTCCTCTGTTATTGTCATGAAAATTTAGGGAGGTTTGGGCTGAGGATTCATTAAGAAGTTGGGCAAGGGACTCCTTTCTCTTCTCCAAGCCTTGATTTTACTGTCCACACACACACACAAAACAAAGACCCCATCTGCCTCCAGGGTGTAGAGGTTGTGAGTCTAGCCAGGTTATAGGCACCCAGGAGGGGAGAGGAAGGCAACCTGGGAGGGGCCCAGGGGAGTGGAGGGGCTGCCGCTCTAGGCACAGCCAGGATTCTTTCTCACTCTCCCCACGGGCTTCTACTGTGGGGGCTCCTGTGGGTCCCACAGCTGGAATTCTCTCCTTGCTGCCTGCCTCTTCTTGCTGGGATGGGTCACACAGCTCATGGGTGACCAGCTCCTGATCATCCATTCCTGCACAGCCAGCCCCTGGATGCCCTGAAGGAGCTATGCCAGCTTCCCCTCTTCTCTCCATCATCTCCCTCCATCTCCACCCTGACTTTAGTGGCTTCATCTCCTAAGCTCATTCTCAAGGAGAGACCCCATGAGGGCAAGTACCTTACTATTCTGGACACTCCTGCTTTTTCATTTCAGCATTAGCATCACAGTTTCCAAAGCACCCTCCCTGTTGAGAAGCATGCCAGGCAGGACTCCTGGCCACATTTAGTGGGTGGGTAAATGGAGACAGGCCAAGGGAATGCCCCTGGGAGAGACAAAGCTAGACTCCTAGCCTGGTGCTCTCACACGATTCTGGAGGCTCTCAAACTTGGAGGGGCATAAGGATTGGGAGTTTGGTACAACACAGACACCTAGGCTGTCATCCCTAGAGAGCTGATCCACAGCAACATCAGGGGAGCCTGAGCATTTGTGTTTTTGATAGGCACTTGGGGATGGTGACATAAATAAGTTTGAGGACCCCTGCAAAGTACTTCACCTTTGAGATCCCAGGAGTGAGGTGGAGACATCCAGAGGGAAAAGTAACCTTTACGGAGTCACCAACTCTGTCGGGCACTTTATGTGCATTTTCACCATAGAATGAGACACTACTATTCCCGTTTCATATATAAGCAAACTGAGGCCTGGGGAGGTTAAATGGTTTATCCAGTCTCACAGCTGGTAAGTAGAAAAGCTGGGATTTGAACTTGGGTCTCATAGCTCCAGGGCAGCCTAAATTCCTTCTACCTAAACCTTTCCAGTGCAAACATCCCAGGCCCCTTCATCCTCATATCTAAGGCTCCTACCTGTCTTTTCTCTCTGGGGTTAAACATTACTTTCAGATCCCCCAGCCAGTGGGAAAGGTCTCTTTTCTTTGCAATGCTCCTCTTCAGCCAGCAGGTGTCAGCCCTGGACTGAGTATGTGGGTAAGGGGCGTGCAAAGCTAATGGGAGGAACGTAATCATTTGTTTTCCTCTCCCGGTTTTATAGCCCCTCCGTCCCTCCCAAATTCTAGCTATCCTTTTAGATATGTTTTTGCTAAGCTGGTGCTGTTACCTCACAATCTTCCAGGTTGGGATGCCCCAGGAATTCCGAATCCCCTAGAGCCATCCGGTGGTAGATTTGGAAGTAAGCTGCAGCTGTAGTTTACATTTGCCAAGTATATGCTTGGCACCCTGTTCCGAGCTTTCTATGCTTTACCTTGTTCAGTCCTCCCCATCCCCACAAACCTCCCTGGGTTAGGTGCTAGCAATTCACCCGTTTTCTCAGAAGAGGAAACTGGAGCTTTCAGAGGCTAAGAAAGTTGGCCAAGGTCAAGTTGCTGGGTATGTGGCAGAGCCAGGCTTGAACCTAGAAGCTCTGGCTACAGATCTGCGGAGGCGCGTGACCATTACACTCTCTTTTATGCAGATGAGGAAACTGACGTCTCGGCAAGGAAGGGATTTACTCCTGTGGAACCAAGTGCCAGGATGAGAACCCAGGACTTGTTGTAATTCTGGGCCTTCTCTAATTCTTGCCCTTGCCCAGCTGTGGATGAGGGCTTGGGCAGCAGGGAATCCCTGGGGAGGCTCCCCACCTCCCCACCCTCCCCAGGCACCAGCACATCGACCAGACAAAGGATAATTGGTGCATGCTGTGCTCAGAGCCAAGCTGAAGCGGCAGGGTCTCGACACCCCTCCATGCCCGGGGGGTGTGGCATCGCAGAGCAGGGACCTTGTCAGTCCTGTCACCATGCATCGCCAGCTCCTCGCAGGGTCTGGCATGGAGGTAGTGCTCAATTCATATTTATGAGTATGTAGACATTCCTCCTCTTTGGCTTTCTCCCGAGGCCCTGCTCCAGGCTTGCCGCAGGAGAGCATGGGTGGCCCTGAGCCAGCGCATTCCTCCTCTTTGGGGTCCGCTAGCCTTTCTGGGGGCAACTCATTTGGTTTCTTAGCATGAACTACTTGTTCTCCAACTTTCCAGATCGGCCATTTATCTCTCCTGCCTCCACTCTAGACGGCAAGACCCTAGGGGGCAACCTCTCAGAACACCTTATATGCTGCCTGGTGTCTAGCAAAAGATGGAATATAAAATAAACTATTTATGAAAAACTATAATCCATTATTTTATCCAAGCAGTACACATTCATTGTTGCAAAATGGAAAATAAGCTAAGGGAGGAAAATTAAAATCATTCCCATGATAATAGGATCCTTTCCTTCCATGATATTTTAATGGAATTGATTTTTTCCCTTTCTCTTTTTATTGTATAAGAAATACATTTCTTGTACAAGTGTAAAAATTACAGATAAGCATAAGCAAAAATGTTTTAATTTATTGGGAATACCACTTTCTAAACCTGTTAATAGTTCCATTAACAATTGTAATGGTAATAACCACCTCTATTTGTTGAGGGCCTACTATGTAATAGCAGTTTTACATAATTTTTTAGAAGTTTATTGAGGTGTAATTTCCATATATGAAGTCCATCCATTTTAATTCCTTAATCATTTCAATTCAGAGTTTTTTTAGTGAGTTTAAAAAGTTGTGCAACCATCAGCATAGTCCAGTTTTAGAATATTTCTATCATCGCAGTAAAACCCCTTAGGCTCATTTACAGTTAATCCTAGTTCCTACCCTCAGCCCCAGGTGGCCACTAATCTACTTTCTGTCTCTGCAGTTTTCCTTTTCTGGACATTTCATATAAATGGAATAACATACTAGATGGTCTTTTGTGTTTGATCTGTACACTGATGATTTTAGGTTCAGCCTCTCATTTACAGATGAGGAAACTGAGGCTTAGTGAGGACAAGTGATTGCTGGACATAGTTACACAGGGAGAGACTGGGGCTTCCTGGATTCAGCTGAGGTCTGTCTGACTCTCAAGTGTAAACTTGTAGCCACCCTCCTCCACCACCTTGTCACATTACATTACTTTTTATGTTCTAGCTGTTGCAATGATATATTCATATATATTTTTTCTCCCAAAAGGATCAAACTTATACATTCTGTTGCCACTTCTTTTTCATTCAATAATAGATCAATAATAATAACAATGAGTAGGATGTCTCCATGTGAATTAATATACGCCTGCAATACCTAGAGTAGATTTTCGATAAGTACAAGGTAGCAGTTAAGGGTATAGGCTTTGGAACCAGACTGCCTGGATTTAGATACCAATTCTGTCACTTATCAGCCATATGCTGTAGACAGAATGTTTGTGTCCCCCCAAAATCCACATATTAAAACTTAATCCCCAATGTGAGAATACTTGTGGGGTTTTGGGTAGGTAATTGGTTTACGAGGGCTGAGCCCTCATGGATGGGATGAAAACTCTTATAAAAGAGGCTCCAGAGAGATCCCTCTTGTCTTCTCTTCCTCATGTGAGGAAGACACAGCAAGAAGTCGGGTGTCTATGAATCAGGAAGCTGGCCTTCACCACACACTGAATTTGCTGATGTCTTGGTCTTGGACTTCTTAGCCATGAGAACTGTGAGAAAGAAATCTCTGTTGTTGATGCTGGAGAGGATGTGGGGGAAATAGGAATGCTTTTACACTGTTGGTGGGAGTGTATATTAGTTCAACCATAGTGGAAGACAGTGTGGCAATTCATCCAGGATCTAGAACCAGAAATATCATTTGACACAGCAATCCCATTACTGGGTACATACTCAAAGGATTATAAATCATTCTGCTATAAAGACACATGCGTATGTGTGTTTACTGCAACACTATTTACAATAGCAAAGACTTGGAACCAACCCAAATGCCCATCAATGATAGACTGGATAAAGAAAATGTGGCATATATACACCATGGAATACTATGAAACCATAAGAAAAATGAGTTCATGTCCTTTGCAGGGACATGGATGAAGCGGGAAGCCATCATTCTCAGCAAACTAACACAGGAACAGAAAACCAAACACCGCATGTTCTCATTCATAAGTGGGAGTTGAACAATGAGAACACATGGACACAGGGAAGGGAACATCACACACTGGGCCTGTTAGCGGGTTGGGGGAAAGGGGAGGGAGAGCACTAGGACAAATACCTAATGCATTTGGGGCTTAAAACCTAGATGATGGGTTGATAGGTGCAGCAAACCACCATGGCACATGTATACCTATGTAACAAATCTGCACGTTCAGCACATGTATCCCAGAACTCCAAAGTAAAATTATAAATCATGCTGCTATAAAGACACATGCACACGTATGTTTATTGCAGCACTCTTCACAATAGCAAAGACTTGGAACCAACCCAAATGTCCAACAATGATAGACTGGATTAAGAAAATGTGGCAGATATACACCATGGAATACTATGCAGCCATAAAAAAGGATGAGTTCATGTCCTTTGTAGGGACATGGATGAAGCTGGAAACCATCATTCTCAGCAAACTATCACAAAAAACCAAACACCGCATGTTCTCACTCATAGGTGGGAATTGAACAATGAGAACACATGGACACAGGAAGGAGAACATCACACTCTGGGGCCTGTTGTGGGGTGGGGGGACGGGGGAGGGATAACATTAGGAGATATACCTAATGTTAAATGATGAGTTAATGGGTGCAGCACACCAACATGGCACATGTATATATGTAACTAACCTGCACATTGTGCACATGTGCCCTAAAACTTTAAAGTATAATAAAAAAAAATAAAAAAGAAATCTCTGTTTTTGATAAGCAACTCAGTGTTTTGTTATAGCAGCCCAAATGGACTAAGAGACCATGTGACTTTAAGACTGTTACTTAACTGCTCTGTGCCTCAGTTTCCTTATCTATAAAAAGCAGATGTGAATGCCAATCTCATAAGGCTGCTGTGATAATTAAATGAACTAATATATGGAGAGCACCTAGTGCCCTGTAACCACTCAATCCATGTCAGCAGTGTTTGTTGCAACTGTTGAACTCATGAACAAACCCCAGAATTTGCACATCAATTTCAGCCTGGAAGCAGGCATCAAGGCGGGGGCACCACTTTATCTGACTAATCAATGAAGAAGGTCATATGATCTCCCTCCCACCTCCCCCACAGCTGGAATCTCAGCTGTCTCTGGATTGTCAGAAGAGGCCTGGTGAGGTCGGAAGATTGATAGCCTTGTTCTAACAGGAAGTCCCTTCCCGGGGAATTTAGGAGCTGAGCTCCAGAGCTGGGGAAGATGTTAGGATCAGTTCTAGTCTATGTGGTAAAGGGCCCCAGGGCTCATGGAACTGGGGAGGTGTCAGCTCCCATTCGGGTCCAGGCAGTACCTTGCCGAGGCTCCAGCCTGGCTTCTGATTGCCTGTACCCAGAAGCCAGAATGCTGTTACAGCCCCATCAGTCAGCCTGCAATTAGTGAAATGGAGGCACACATGCTGGTTTGCAGATTGTGGGTGGGAGGACAGGATGTGGTGGGAAATAGCTCTCACCAACTCAAGGGGCGGGGGTGGCATTTGTCTGTGTTCCCTGGTGATTTGGCAATAGAGGCTGCCGGGCACTCACATGGGGTTGGCAGCCTTTGCAACCCTCTTGGGGCCTTGGGCTCTTTCCTTCTTTCTGGTTACAGGTGGGGACATTAGCCCCTTGTGTTGGTAAGGCCAGAGCCAGGACAATCAGGCACACGCTGGGCATGGGGCACAGGGCTAAGGACAGGTGTGAAAGGAGAAAGGCCTGGCTGTGCAGGGCTGAGGACAGGGGTGAGAGGGGCAAGGCCTGGCTGTGCAGGGCTGAGGATAGGTGTGAGAGGAGTAAGACGTGGCCATGGGTGTGGGGTGAGGGACCAGGAGCTGCCAGGGTGAGGGGAAGCTCAGGCTGGGGTGCCGGAGCTCACCCCAGGGAAGCAGTCTTTGTAGGTGCCTATGGTATACATGCATGCATGGAAGTATTCAACAGATATAAACAACCTAAAGAGTTCTCATGGAGGTCCAGGTTTCTGACTTCTCTTCCCTGTCTGAACTGAAGGTTCAGCCACACAGTTTATATTTCTACAAGGCAGCATCCAAGCTAGGCTGTGCAGTGGCTTCCCTCTTTGGATGGGGCACCTGCTTTCCGGTTTGATACAGTCTCCACTACTCCCCTTCATCATCCAGCCCGTGAGTCCAGTGCCAGTGACCATTTGTCCACCTACACTGGGCCAGTTTCCTTCTTTTGAGTTTGTGGCCTTTGGCAGGGATATGCTGTGCTCAGGACCTGGCTGTCAACTCAGGGCAGTCAGGAGGCTCTGGAGGAGTGACTTCAAGCTGACACAGGGATGCCCAGCTCATCCTATGAAGAGTGTTTCAGGCAGAGGGTATAGCAAGTGCAAAGCTCCCGAGGCAGGAATTCCTGGAATGGAGTCCCCTGGGCTCTTGGAATTCCTGGAATGGAGTGCTTAAGACAGACTACACATTGAGAAGTGGAGAGAGCAACTTTCATTACAAGTTAGAAAGATATCCCAGCCAGGAGAGGGAAGAGGCTTCTGGACAGTGCAACAGACGGGAGGGCTCTCCAGGGTAAATGGGATGGTGGGGGGCTAAGCTTCCCAAGGCTTTTCTGCCCAGAGAATCTACAATCTACAGAGGCTGATCTGGATTCTCAGGAATGTCCACACATGTTTCTGATCATTAGGAAATTTGTGTGCTCCCCTTTTGAGGGAGCTCTCAGTAGACTGTCCTCACTCAGCAGAGTCTGAGGCTCTTTTCCCAGTTCTAGTCCATGCAGAGGTCTGTCTCCTTGGCTGGGACTTGATATTAGGGTCAGGGCCTGCTGCCCCTCAGCCTTGGGTCTCAGAGGGACGCTCCTGCACAGCTGACTGTTCTGCAGACTGACAGCCCCCAGGAGCCTGCCCATAGCGTGAGAGAGCAGATTTAGGGTTGCGAGTGGTGATGGGGGAGACCAAATGCCTGTGAAGAGCTGCCTTTTGCATTCCCTTTTAGGCTCTCCAAAGAGAGAGAGAAGGCTGCTCAGCTAAGCTCTCTATGTGGCTCCCTCTCCCAGGCCCCAAAGAGGCAACTGGACTCAGTCCTGCTGGCCCAAGAGCCAGCCTGGACACAAAGGGCAGGAGCCCAGCAAGGGAGCAGAATCCTGAGCGGGCAGGGGCTGAGCTGCAGGAGGACTAACTCCCCACGTGGGGCCATACTGAGCTTTGGGAGCATCTTGAAGTCTCAGAGAACACAAAGGCCTTTCTGTTCTGTTTTAAATACAATGGATTTTTCTCTAATTGTGGAAATAATGCATATGTATTTAATAGAAAATGTAGACAAGAACACAGAGAAAAATTAATACTTCCTGTAATTTCACCACCAAGGTTATACTAGGAACCTTTTACTGTCTATACTTCTGGGAGTTTAATCAGCAGAGGGGCACTCACAGCGGGGTGACACTGACAGTGGGGGCTGTAGGAGGTGAGGGGTACCCTAGAGTCAGAAGACCTGAGTTCAAAACCTCTTTCTGATACTCGTTGGTTTCACAGCCTTAAGTGAATGACTTGGTTTCCTTGTGCCGCAGTTTCCTGATCTGCAAAATGAGGATAATGGCATTGTCCCTCATGGGGCTCTCTAGAGAGTTAGGGCAGTGAGTGGATTCTGCTCAGCACCTCGTAAACAGTCAATACATCTTAGCCAGTATGTGTATGTCTATATAAATATACATCCATTTAAAAAATACAAGATGAGGAAGATACTGACCACACTTATTTTTGCACTTAGCTTTTATCCTTGGTATGAATTTTATGCCACATGTAAGAAGAGGCAGGTTAGTTCT